>NC_000001.11:117432622-117735653 GCF_000001405.40 Homo sapiens | reverse complement strand
AAAGAAGCCAGACAGAAAAGAGTACACACTGTGTGCTTCCATTCACATAAAATTCTAGAAAATGCAAAATAACACATAGTGACAGAAAGCAGATCAGTGGTTGTTTGAAATGTGAGGGTCAGGGTGGGTGAAAAGGAGGTATTACCAAGGGGAACAAGGAAATTTGTGGGTATTGGGGGCCTGGGGGATGAATATGTTCATTATTTTGATTATGGTGATGGTTTTGGTGATGTGTTCATGTGCTGAAACTCATCAAACAGGTATGTTTTATTATTACACCTCAACCAACTATTAAAAATACATAGCATTCCTAATGTTTTAAAATACAGGAAACAAAGAAAAGAATAAAAATAGCACGGACAAACTCCTAGCCTCTGTAGACACTAACTTTTATAAAGTAAACAGCACAAAATGAAAGTGAAAGAGGAATGCTGCTCGTCACATTGGCCCCTCCCTGTTTGAATTCCTCTCCTGAAAGGGAGTCACAGGAGCAAATTCTAATGTGAGACTCTGGTATGACTTTTAATGTCTTTTCACTGCTAGGAAATTTTATCAAATGAAAACAGGTCAAACATCCTTGGATGGCTTTTTAAAGAGAACTGGGCCATCCAAATCCTGTCTAAACATCTTTTAATATTCTAAATAGTCCAATAAAATAATTTGTTATTAGACTTCGAAGATTATTATAGCTAGTATATTAACTCTAGGTCAAATGTATGCAGAATTAAACTGCATCTTTACATGCCATATATATAGTTTTGTAGAATATCAAGCATCCCACCCTGTGTCATCAATGATTACAAAATATTTGCAGTCATTTTATAGCTCTCAAAGCAGAGTTGCATTATCTCATGTGAACAAAGAAATGTGGAATTTGGGGCCTCCAAGATATTGTTACTCCAGCAGGCTTAGGTTGAAGACAGGAAGGCACAGGGGGAAGGAAGCTTGAGCCAGGGTGGAGGATGAGCCTAACCTAGGTACAGTGGTCATCCTCTGAGAGAGAGGCAGGGAGGTCCAGAGATCGTGCAGTGAGGACACTATCACTGTGCTCACCAGCATGTTCATCCAAGGGGCAGGGCCTAGCACTCAGGCTTCCAGACAGCAGAAGGACCCGCAGCATGAAGGAAAGGAGGTCCTCTCCTTCATCAGTTGCCTTCTGGATGCTAGACATTTTGCTAGACACTCCAGAGCAAGCCTGGGGGCGGCTATGATGCCCTACACTTGACTGCTCAGGTGACTGAGGCTCAGAGGCAGAGTTAACTTTGAACAAATCAGGTCTACCTGATTCCAATACACAGGCCTTGCTCTAGGGGGACCAATTTGGGGTCTGGCTGGCTGCAACGCAGGAGAGGCAGAAAGACAAAGGGGTGCAGTGCTCACGTCAGAACCCCTGGGTGCTGGGTCTGCCGGCCCCAGTGGGCATCAGTGTGGGAGACACAAGGGTGAGAAAGAAGAGACCATAAACCCAGACACTGTCAGGCCTGGCCCAGGGACTGGCCCAGTGGGCTTATTTGGGGGATGCAGGGAAAAGAACAAGGGCAAGCAGGGTGAGGTTACCAAAATGGCCTTCAAGCTCCTCACTTGGTAAAGGAAGGAATGGGGATGAGCAGAGGTGAAGAGGACTTGCCCAGCACATGAGAGAACTGGGACCCTGAACTCGACATAACCTAAAAGGGTATGCTGAATAAACAGAAGGGATTGCTACTAACTGGCAGCATCAAATAGGCTTGTAACTGCAGACCTACTTATGTATTGAGTGACTAGTCTCATCAATGATTTTTCTTGCCCTTATCAATGGTTGGTTTGTTGCTGTGTCCTTGGCAAGAATATGTAGCCCATTTTTTTATTGGAAAAATGAGCAACTTTGCCTAGGTCAGTGGCTTCTAAAAACACTTTGAGCCCAAGAGCAGGACCTACCATTACCTGTGTCCCGAGCTCTCTGTACAGTGGAACTATGGAGGCTTGGTTTCTGCGACCTCCTTATACCTCAGTGTGAATCTGGGCCTTCTCTGCCCCTAGAGAACAGAACATTCTCCCTAGTTGATGGTGAGGAGAGGTCAAGGCCACGGGGAAGCAGCAGAATCTTCCTTCTCGAGTTAGAGCATGCCAGATTTTACAGCTGATCCCTTCCCCTTGTGCATGTTCTCTCTCTCCCTGGCTCCACGCATCTCACCTTGCTCAGCGCCTGGACTATCTTTCTGTCCTCGGTCCTTGTATTCAAGGCCTGGCAGGAAGGGATGGCACCCTCAAAGGAGACCGATGAGAGTTTAATGAAGGGACTATTCACAGAAATCTGGGCAGGGTCACAGGAGATGCCCAGGGACGAGAGGAGCAGGAGGGGCTATTAACCCCATAGGCCTGAATGGGCAAATGAAGGCAAGAGTATTAGCTGAGCCCATGAAAACTAGTGCCATGGAAAAGGGGCTGCCTAACAGGAGTCGTGGCTGCAGAGGAACATGGCACTGCCAGAACTGCAGCCAGGCCGGGAGGAAGTGGGGCGTTGAGTGCTCTGCCTGCTGTGTCCTCTTCTGCTCTCCCATCTGCTGCTGGGGCCTCCAACCAGCGGAGCCCAAAGGGAAGCCAGAGGGCAAAGGAACCCGGGAACTGCAGCCCATGGAGTTCAGCCCCGCAAGACATGGAGCAGCACAGAAAAGGGTGAGAAAGGATCTGGAGGGGGTGACAAGCAGAAAATAGCCCATAATCTGCACATCAGCTCTGTGAGGTGAAGGCAGTGGGCAACATCATTCCCATTTTCCAGATGAGAAAAACTGAAGCTCAGTGTCTACAAAATAAAAATGTAGAGATGAATCTCTAAATATACTGTTTTATTTGGGAAGAAAGAATTGCAATTTGGGGCATACATGAGCCTCGATTGTCTTTGGTATACCCAAAGAACAAAGAGAAGGTTAGAGGTTTTATAGAAAGGAGAAATGTTGTGTATTGCCCTTTAAGAAAGTTCATTGGCACTAGCAAGGGTTTGGGGAGATGGTAAGCTCCACTTGGTGAGCAACCACTGTGGGCAAAATTAGTCCTGTCTATCTTAGATAGCAAGAAGCAGGCTATCTCAGAAGCTGTAGATAAAGCTGGTTTCAGGTTACAAAAAGCAGTTTCTGCAGTCAGGCTTGCAGAGAATTACATTGTTGGATCAATGTTTTGTACCTTGAGTGCTTACCCCCACTGGCATCTCAACTCTGTTTTAGTTGGGTATGACAAGAGTGACCCAGTTCTTATGGTCAACTTTCATGCCAAGAAGTTCACAGGAACCCGCAGAAGAGACATGGAGGAACCAGATCCATAAACCAGGTCTCTGGCCCCCAAATCTGGTGCTCTTTTGCTTCTGTCCTCCAAGCCCAAGCTCCCTAAACACTCTGCCCAGCCTCGGCTGTCAGTCATTCAACAAGCTCTTACTGAGCACTTGCCAGGGCAAGGCTCTCTGTTCACAAAGCCAGTCTGAGTGGTGTATCATATCACCTAAGACTATTTCATGCCTTAATTTCTGACCTCAAAACTCCCACCCCTTCTTCCCAGCATCTCCTCATACCCACTCTCAGCTGACGACTCCAACTCACATTTTATTGAACAAATGGAAGTCTCTAGAACTGAGCTCTGTCCTTCTGTCTCCACTATCAAGGTTTTGCTGCTCTTGTGCCAGCACCTTCTCCCCTGTCTGTTAGAACTGAAAATGTGTCTCTTCTGCCAAAAGACCATTACCATTTGGGCTGTGGATCCCATCCCCTCTCATCTTGGCCCTTAGTTAATCCTTTCTCTTTCTTCCCCATCATTAATCTCTCCTTTTCTACTACATCATCCCTATCAGTGTAACATGCCCTTGTATCTCTCCCATCTTAAAATTCTCCCTTGGTCCAATACTTCCCTCCAGCTTGCACTCTCTCCTTGTCCCCTTTTCAGCCATATTTATTTGCCCGTTGGATGGTTTGACCTCAGGATCAGAGGGTAGAGTTAATCCTAATTTTCATGTCGTGTAAGTCTATACTTATCGGTTTGAGCAAGACACTTCCCTGCTCCTGGACCACAAAGCTACCTTGTTATTTTTCTTTTTATGATCAAAAATGCTACTGATTTTTACAAGGTGATCTTTTATCTGAGTCTTGCTGTCATATAAGTTTTAATATTTGTTGATTTTGTTAGTTTTTCTCTGTAGGAAATCAAATTATCTGCAGAGTGGCAGTTTCATTTCTTCCCTTCCACTGTATATCTGTTACTTCTTTTTCTTTCTTAAAATTGTTGGCAAGGGCCTCCAGTTATATCTTAAACAGTGGTTGACAGTTGGCCTCTTGTCTTATTCTTGATCGCAAAGAAGATGCAGCTGAAGTTTCTCAATTAAGTATAATGTTACCATTTTATACAAATATACTATATCATATATTGGTATATATAACATTAAGGTTTGGTATGTCTGTCAAGTTGAGGAAATTCTCTTCCTATTACTTGAAGAGTTTTCAACAAACAAATGGTGAGTTTTAACAAGTGTGTTTTTTTGCACCATTGAGATAATCAAGTAATTGTCTCCTTTCATAATATAGAAAATTATATTGAGAGAGTTTTCTAACTTTGAACTATTCTTGCATTCCTCATATTTTATGATTATCATGTACTTTTTTCCTAATACACTATTGGATTTGTTTAACAAATATTTTATTTAGACTTACACATCTATATTCAAAGTGGAATAGCCCTATATTTTTTTCTGAACTTTCTTATCCAGTTTTGAAAACAAGAACACACAATCCTCATGGTAGAAGAATTTTCATTCTTTTTCTATATTCCGGAACTCATCTAAGATAGAAATTATCTGCCATCTGGGAATTTGGTAAAATTCATATAGAAAACCATCACCTATGCCTACAGATTTTTAGACAGAGAGATCTTTGATTACATTTCATTTTATTTCGTGTTTATTGGTCTATTCAAATTTCAGTTTTTCCTTCTATCAATTTTTGTGTTTCTTGTTTTTCTAGAAATGTTTTCATTTCATATAGGCTTTCAAGCTTATTATCATAAAGTTTCCATAATGCACTTTTAAAAAAATTTTTTTATTTCAATAGATTTTTGGGAAACAGGTAGTGTTTGGTTACATGAATAAGTTATTTAGTGGTGATTTCTGAGATTTGGTGCACCCGTCAACCAAGCAGTGTACACTGTACCCAATGTGTAGTCTTTTATCCCTCACCCCCCTCCCACTCTCTCCCCGAGTCCTCAAAGTCCATTGTATCATTCTTATGCCTTTGCATCCTCATAGCTTAGCTCCCACTTATGAGTGAGAACATATGATGTTTGGTTTTCTATTCTTGAGTTACTTTACTTAGAATAATGGTCTCCGATTCCATCCAGGTTGCTGCAAATGTCATTATTTTGTTCTTTTTATGGCTGCGTAGTGTTCTATGGTATATATATACCATAATGTTTTTATCCACTTGTTGATTGATGGTCACTTGGGCTGGTTCCATATTTTTGCAATTGTAAATTGTGCTGCTATAAACATGGGTGCGCAAGTATCTTTTCTGTATAATGACTTCTTTTCCTCTGGGTAGATACCCACTAGTGGGATTGCTGGATCAAATGGTAGTTCTACTTTTAGTTCTTTAAGGAATCTCTGCACTGTTTTCCATAGTGGCTGTACTAGTTTACATTCCCATCAGCAGTGTAGAAATGTTCCCTGTTCACCACAGCCATGCCAACATATATATTTTTTTATTTTTTGATTATGGCAATTCTTACAGGAGTAAGGTGGTATCACATTGTGGTTTTGATTAGCATTTCTCTAATCATTAGCAATATTGAGCATTTTTTCATACTTTTGTTGGCCATTTGTATATCTTCTTTTGAGAATCGTCTATCCTCAGCCCACGTTTTGATGGGATTGTTTGTTTTTTCCTTGCTTATTTGTTTGGGTTCCTTGTATATTATGGATATTAGTCCCCTGTTGGATGAATAGATTGCAAAGATTTTCTCCCATTCTGTGGGTTGTCTGTTTACTTTGCTGATTATTTCTTTTGCTGTGCCAAAGCTTTCTAGTTTAATTTAGTCACATCTATTTACCTTTGTTTTTGTTGCATTTGCTTTTGGGTTCTTGGTCATGAAGTCTTTGCTTAAGCCAATGTCTAGAACGGGTTTTCCAATGTTACCTTCTAGAATTTTTGTGGTTTCTGGTCTTAGATTTAAGTCTTTGATCTATCTTGAGTTGATTTTTGTATAAGGTGACAGATAATGATCCAGTTTCAATCTTCTACATGTGGCTTGCCAATGATCTCAGCATCATTTGTTAAATATGGCGTCTTTTCCCCACTTTATATTTTTGTTTCTTTTGTTAAAGATCAGTTGGCTGTAAGTATTTGGCTTTATTTCTGAGTTCTCTATTCTGTTCCATTGGTCTATGTGCCTATTTTTATACCAGTACCATGCTGTTTTGGTGACTATGCCCCTACAGTATAGTTTGAAGTTGGGTAGTGGGATGCCTCCAGATTTGTTCTTTTTGCCTAGTGTTGCTTTGGTGATGCAGACTTTTTTTTGGTTCCATATAAATTTTAGGATGGTTTTTTCTAGTTCTGTGAAGAATGATGGTGGTATTTTGATGGGAATTGCATTGAATTTATAGATTGCTTTTGCAGTATGGGCATTTTCACAATATTGATTCTACCCATCCGTGAGCATGGGATGTGTTTCCATTTGTTTGTGTCATCTATGATTTCTTTCAGCAGTGTTTTGTAGTTTTCCTAGTAGAGGTCTTTCACTTCCTTGATTAGGTATTTTCCTAAGTTTTTTTTTTTTTTTTTTTTTTTGCAGCTATTGTAAAAGTGACTGAGTTCTTGATTTGTTTCTCTGCTTGGTCACTTTTGGTGTATAGCAGAGCTACTGATTTGTGTACATTAATCTTGTATCTTGAAACTTTGCTAAATTCATTTATCAGTTCTAGGAGCTTTTTGGAGGAGTCTTTAGGACTTTCTAGGTATATGATCATATCATCAGCAAACAGCAACAGTTTGACTTCCCCTTTACTGATTTGGAAGACATTTATTTATTTATCTTGTCTCATTGCTTTGGCTAGGACTTCCAGTACTATATTGAATAGAAGTGGTAAGAATTTGCATCCTTGTTTTGTTCCAGTACTCAGGGGGAGTGCTTTCCCAGTTCAGTATTATGTTGGCTGTGCATTTGTCATAGGTGGCTTTTATTACTTTAAGCTATGTCCTTTCTATGCTGATTTTACTGAGGGTTTTAATCATAAAGGGATGCTGGATTTTGTCAAATGCCTTTCTGCATCTATTGAGATGATCGTATGATTTTTGTATCACATTTATTGATTTGCACATGTTAAACCATCCCTGAATCGCTGGTATGAAACCCACTTGACCATGGTGGATTATCTTTTTGATATGCTGTTTCATTCGGTTAGCTAGTATCTTGTCTTAACAAGACAAGATTTTTGCATCTATGTTCATCAGGGATATTGGTCTGTAGTTTTCTTTTTTGGTTGTGTCCTTTCCTGGTTTTGATATTAGGGTGATACTGGCTTCATTGAATAATTTAAGGAGGATTCCCTATTTCTTGATCCTGTGAAATAGTGTCAACAGGATTGGTAGCAATTCTTTGAATGTCTGATAGAATTCAACCATGAATCTATCTGGTCCCGGACTTTTTTTGGTTGGCAATTTTTTCATTACCATTTTAATTCATCTCACTGCTTGTTATTGGTCTGTTCAGAGTTTCTATTTCTTCTTGGTTTAATCTCGGAGGGTTGAATATTTCTAAGAATTTATCCATCTCCTCTAGGTTTTCTAGTTTATGCACATAAACTAGAAGTGTTCATAAGAGCCTTGAATGATCTTTTGTATTTCTGTAGTATTGGTTGTAATATCTCCCAATAGTTTTGTTTCTAATTGAGGTTATTTTGATCTTCTCTCTTCTTTTCTTGGTTAATCTCAATAATGGTCTATCAATTTTATCTTTTCAAAGAAACAGCTTTTGATTTCATTTATCTTTTGTGTTATTTTTTGGTTTCAATTTCATTTATTTCTGCTCTGTTATTTGTTATTTCTTTTCTTCTGCTGGGCTTGGGTTTGGTTTGTTCTTGTTTCTCTATTTCCTTGCGGTGTGACCTTAGATTGTCTATTTGTGTTCTTTCAGACTTATTGATGTAGACATTTAAAGCTATGAACTTTCTTCTTAGCACTACCTTTGCTGTATCCCAGAGGTTTTGATAGGTTGTGTCACAATTGTTCACTTCAAATAATTTTTTAATTTCCATCTTGATTTCATAGTTTACAATGATCATTTAGGAGCAGGTTATTTAATTTCTAGGTATTTGCATGGTTTTGAAGGTTTCTTTTAAAGTTGATTTCCAGTTTTATTCCACTCTTGTTTGAGAGAGCACTTGATATAATTTCGGTTTTCTTAAATGTATTGAGACTTGTTTTGTGGCCTATCATATGATCTACCTTGGAGAAAGTTCCATGTGCTCATTAGTAGAATGTATATTCTGTGGTTGTTGTGTAGAATGTTCTGTAAATATCTGTTAAGGCCATTTGTTCTGGGATATAGTTTAAATCCATTGTTTCTTTGTTGACTTTCTGTCTTGATGACCTGTCTAGTGCTATCAGTGGAATATTGAAGTCTTCCACTGTAATTGTGTTGCTGGTCTATCTCATTTCTTACGTCTAGTAGTAATTGTTTCATAAATTTGGGAGCTCCAGTGTTAGGTGCATATATATTTAGCATTGTGATATTTTCCTGTTGGACAAGGCCTTTTATCATTATATAATGTCCCTCTTTGTCTTTTTTTTTTTTTTCTTTCTTTCTTTCTTTTTTATTATTATTATACTTTAAGTTTTAGGGTACATGTGCACAATGTGCAGGTTTGTTACATATGTATACATGTGCCGTGTTAGTGTGCTGCACCCATTAACTCATCATTTAGCATTAAGTATGTCTCCTAATGCTATCCCTACCCCCTCCCCCCACCCCACAACAGTCCCCGGAGTGTGATGTTCCTCTTCCTGTGTCCAAGTGTTCTCATTGTTCAATTCCCACCTATGAGTGAGAACATGTGGTGTTTGGTTTTTTGTCCTTGCGATACTTTGCTGAGAATGATGGTTTCCAGTTTCATCCATGTCCCTACAAAGGACATGAACTCATCCTTTTTTATGGCTGCATAGTATTCCATGGTGTATATGTGCCACATTTTCTTAATCCAGTCTATTGTTCTTGGACATTTGGGTTGGTTCCAAGTCTTTGCTATTGTGAATAGTGCCGCAATAAACATACGTGTGCATGTGTCTTTATAGCAGCATGATTTATAATCCTTTGGGTATACACCCAGTAATGGGATGCCTGGGTCAAATGGTATTCCTAGTTCTAGATCACTGAGGAATTGCCACACTGACTTCCACAATGGTTGAACTAGTTTACAGTCCCACCAACAGTGTAAAAGTGTTCCTATTTCTCCACATCCTCTCCAGCACCTGTTGTTTCCTGACTTTTTAATGATGGCCATTCTAACTGGTGTAAGATGGTATCTCATTGTGGTTTTGATTTGCATTTCTCTGATGGCCAGTGATGATGAGCATTTTTTCATGTGTTTTTTGGCTGCATAAATGTCTTCTTTTGAGAAGTGTCTGTTCATATCCTTCCACCCACTTTTTGATGGGGTTGTTTGTTTTTTTCTTGTAAATTTGTTTGAGTTCATTGTAGATTCTTCATATTAGCCCTTTGTCAGATGAGTAGGTTGCGAAAATTTTCTCCCATTTTGTAGGTTGCCTGTTCACTCTGATGGTAGTTTCTTTTGCTGTGCAGAAGCTCTTTAGTTTAATTAGATCCCATTTGTCAATTTTGGCTTTTGTTGCCATTGCTTTTGGTGTTTTAGACATGAAGTCCCTGCCCATGCCTATGTCCTGAATGGTATTGCCTAGGTTTTCTTCTAGGGTTTTTATGGTTTTAGGTCTAACATTTAAGTCTTTAATCCATCTTGAATTAAATTTTGTCTAAGGTGAAAGGAAGGGATCCAGTTTCAGCTTTCTACATATGGCTAGCCAGTTTTCCCAGCACCATTTATTAAATAGGGAATCCTTTCCCCATTTCTTGTTTTTGTCAGGTTTGTCAAAGATCAGATGGTTGTAGATACATGGTATTATTTCTGAGGGCTCTGTTCTGTTCCATTGATCTATATTTCTGTTTTGGTACCAGTACCATGCTGTTTTGGTTACTGTAGCCTTGTAGTATAGTTTGAAGTCAGGTGGCGTGATGCCTCTGGCTTTGTTCTTATGGCTTAGGATTGACTTGGCCATGTGGGCTCTTTTTTGGTTCCATATGAACTTTAAAGTAGTTTTTTCCAATTATGTGAAGAAAGTCATTGGTAGCTTGATGGGGATGGCATTGAATCTATAAATTACCTTGGGCAGTATGGCCATTTTCACGATATTGATTCTTCGTACCCATGAGCATGGAATGTTCTTCCATTTGTTTGTATCCTCTTTTATTTCATTGAGCAGTGGTTTGTAGTTCTCCTTGAAGAGGTCCTTCATATCCCTTGTAAGTTGGATTCCTAGGTATTTTATTCTCTTTGAAGCAATTGTGAATGGGAGTTCACTCATGATTTGGCTCTCTGTTTGTCTGTTATTGGTGTATAAGAATGCTTGTGATTATTGTATGTTGATTTTGTATCCTGAGACTTTGCTGAAGTTGCTTATCAGCTTAAGGAGATTTTGGGCTGAGACAATGGGGTGTTCTAGATATACAATCATGTCATCTGCAAACAGGGACAATTTGACTTCCTCTTTTCCTAATTGAATACCCTTTATTTCCTTCTCCTGCCTGATTGCCCTGGCCAGAACTTCCAACACTATGTTGAATAGGAGTGGTGAGAGAGGGCATCCCTGTCTTGTGCGAGTTCTCAAAGGGAATGCTTCCAGTTTTTGCCCATTCAGTATGATACTGGCTGTGGGTTTGTCATAGATAGCTCTTATTATTTTGAGATACGTCCCATCAATACGTAATTTATTGAGAGTTTTTAGCATGAAGGGTTGTTGAATTTTGTCAAAGGTCTTTTCTGCATCTATTGAGATAATCATGTGGTTTTTGCCTTTGGTTCTGTTTATATGCTGGATTATATTTATTGATTTGCATATATTGAACCAGCCTTGCATCCCAGGGATGAAGCCCACTTGATCATGGTGGATAAGCTTTTTGATGTGCTGCTGGATTCAGTTTGCCAGAATTTTATTGAGGATTTTTGCATCAATGTTCATCAAGGATATTGGTCTAAAATTCTCTTTTTTGGTTGTGTCTCTGCCAGGCTTTGGTATCAGAATGATGCTGGCCTCATAAAATGAGTTAGGGAGGATTCCCTCTTTTTCTATTGATTGGAATAGTTTCAGAAGAAATGGTACCAGCTCCTCCTTGTACCTTTGGTAGAATTCGGCTGTGAATCCATCTGGTCCTGGACTCTTTTTGGTTGATAAGCTATTGATCATTGCCACAATTTCAGAGCCTGTTATTTGTCTATTCAGAGATTCAAATTCTTCCTGGTTTAGTCTTGGGAGGGTATATGTGTTGAGGAATTTATCCATTTCTTCTAGATTTTCTAGTTTATTTGCGTAGAGGTGTTTGTATTATTCTCTGATGGTAGCTTGTATTTCTGTGGGATCGGTGGTGATATCCCGTTTTTCATTTTTTATTGCGTCTATTTGATTCTTCTCTCTTTTCTTCTTTATTAGTCTTGTTAGCAGTCTATCGATTTTGTTGATCTTTTCAAAAAACCAGTTGCTGGATTCATTAATTTTTTGAAGGGTTTTTTGTGTCTCAATTTCCTTCAGTTCTGCTCTGATTTTAGTTATTTCTTGCCTTCTGCTAGCTTTTGAATGTGATTGCTCTTGCTTTTCTATTTCTTTTAATTGTGACGTTAGGGTGTCAATTTTGGATCTTTCCTGCTTTCTCTTGTGGGCATTTAGTGCTATAAATTTCCCTCTACACACTGCTTTGAATGTGTCCCAGAGATTCTGGTATGTTGTGTCTTTGTTCTCGTTGGTTTCAAAGAACATCTTTATTTCTGCCTTCATTTCGTTATGCACCCAGTAGTCATTCAGGAGCAGGTTGCTCAGTTTCCAGGTAGTTCAGCAGTTTTGAGTGAGTTTCTTAGTCCTGAGTTCTAGTTTGATTGCACTGTGGTCTGAGAGACAGTTTGTTATAATTTCTGTTCTTTTACATTTGCTGAGGAGTGCTTTACTTCCAACTATGTGGTCAATTTTGGAACAGGTGTGATGTGGTGCTGAAAAAAATGTATATTCTGTTGATTTGGGGTGGAGAGTTCTGTAGATGTCTATTAGGTCCACTTGGTGCAGAGCTGAGTTCAATTTCTGGATATCCTTTTTAACTTTCTGTCTCGTTGATCTGTCTAATGTTGACAGTGAGGTGTTAAAATCTCCCATTATTATTGTGTTGGAGTCTAAGTCTCTTTGTAGGTCACTCAGGACTTGCTTTGTGAATCTGGGTGCTCCTGTATTGGGTGCATATATATTTAGGATAGTTAGCTCTTCTTGTTGAATTGATCCCTTTACCATTATGTAATGGCCTTCTTTGTCTCTTTTGATCTTTGTTGGTTTAAAGTCTGTTTTATCAGAGACTAGGATTGCAACCCCTGCCTTCTTTTGTTTTCCGTTTGCGTGGTAGATCTTCCTCCATCCCTTTATTTTGAGCCTATGTGTGTCTCTGCATGTGAGATGGGTTTCCTGAATACAGCACACTGATGGGTCTTGACTCTTTATCCAATTTGCCAGTCTGTGTCTTTTAATTGGAGCATTTAGCCCATTTACATTTAAAGTTAATATTGTTATGTGTGTATTTGGTCTTGTCATTATGATGTTAGCTGGTTATTTTGCTCGTTAGTTGATGCAGTTTCTTCCTAGCCTTGATGGTCTTTACATTTTGGCATGTTTTTGCAGTGGCTGGTACCGGTTGTTCCTTTCCATGTTTAGTGCTTCCTTCAGGAGCTCTTTTAGGGCAGGCCTGGTGGTGACAAAATCTCTCAGCATTTGCTTGTCTGTAAAGTATTTTACTTCTCCTTCACTTGTGAAGCTTAGTTTGGCTGGATATGAAATTCTGGGTGGAAAATTCTTTTCTTTAAGAATGTTGAATATTGGCCCCCACTCTCTTCTGGCTTGTAGAGTTTCTGCTGAGAGATCCACTGTTAGTTTGATGGGCTTGCCTTTGTGGGTAACCCAACCTTTCTCTCTGGCTGCCCTTAACGTTTTTTCCTTCATTTCAACTTTGGTGAATCTGACAATTATGCGTCTTGGAGCTGCTCTTCTCAAGGAGTATCTTTGTGGCATTCTCTGTATTTCCTGAGTCTGAATGTTGGCCTGCCTTGCTAGATTGGGGAAGTGCTCCTGGTTAATAGCCTGCAGAATGTTTTCCAACTTGGTTCCATTCTCCCTGTCACTTTCAGGTACACCAATCAGACGTAGATTTGGTCTTTTCACATAGTCCCATATTTCTTGGGGCTTTGTTCATTTCTTTTTATTCCTTTTTCTCTAAACTTCCCGTCTCGTTTCATTTCATTCATTTCATCTTCCATCACTGATACCCTTTCTTCCAGTTGATTGAATCGGCTCCTGAGGCTTCTGCATTCTTCACGTAGTTCTCGAGCCTTGGCTTTCAGCTCCATCAGCTCCTTTAAGGACTTCTCTGCTTTGGTTATTCTAGTTATCCATTCGTCTAATTTTTTTTCACAGTTTTTAACTTCTTTGCCATTGGTTTGAATTTCCTCCTGTAGCTTGGAGTACTTTGATTGTCTGAAGCCTTCTTTTTCAGCTCATCAAAGTCCTTCTCCATCCAGCTTTGTTCCATTGCTGGTGAGGAGCTGCGTTCCTTTGGAGGAGGAGACGTGCTCTGCTTTTTAGAGTTTCCAGTTTTTCTGCTCTGTTTTTTCCCAATCTTTGTGGTTTTATCTACTTTTGGTCTCTGATGATGGTGACGTACAGAAGGGTTTTTGGTGTGGATGTCCTTTCTGTTTATTAGTTTTCCTTCGAACAGACAGGACCCTCAGCTGCAGGTCTTTTGGAGTTTGCTAGAGGTCCACTCCAGACTCTGTTTGCCTGGGTATCAGCAGCGGTGACTGCAGAACAGCGGTGGCTGTAGAACAGCGGATCTTGGTGAACCACAAATGCTGCTGCCTAATCGTTCCTCTGGAAGTTTTGTCTCAGAGGGGTACCCGGCCATGTGAGGTGTCTGTCTACCCCTACTGGGGGGTGCCTCCCAGTTATGCTGCTCAGGGGTCAAGGACCCACTTGAGGGGGCAGTCTGCCCATTCTCAGATCTCCAGCTGCATGCTGGGAAAACCACTACTCTTCAAAGCTGTCAGACAGGGACATTTAAGTCTGCAGAGGTTACTGCTGTCTTTTTGTCTGTGCCCTGCCCCCAGAGGTGGGGCCTACAGAGGCAGGCAGGCCTTCTTGAGCTGTGGTGGGCTCCACCCACTTCGAGCTTCCCAGCTGCTTTGTTTACCTCAAGCCTGGGCAATGGCAGGCGCCCCTCACCCAGTCTCACTGCCGCCTCACAGTTTGAACTCAGACTGCTGTGCTAGCAATCAGCAAGACTCCATGGGTAGGACCCTCTGAGCCAGGTGCGGGATATAATCTCCTGGTGTGCTGTTTTTTTAAGCCCGTTGTAAAAGCACTCTATTAGGGTGGGAGTGACCCAATTTTCCAGGTGCTGTCTGTCACCCCTTTCTTTGACTAGGAAAGTGAACTCCCTGACCCCTTGTGCTTCCCGAGTAAGGCAATGCCTCGCCCTGCTTCGGCTCATGCATGGTGCGCTGCACCCACTGTCCTGCACCCACTGTCTGGCACTCCCTAGTGAGATGAACCCGGTACCTCAGATGGAAATGCAGAAATCACCTGTCTTCTGTGTCGCTCACGCTGGGAGCTGTAGACCGGAGCTGTTCCTATTCTGCCATCTTGGCTCCACCCTCTTTGTCTTTTTTAACTGCTGTTGCTTTAAAGTTTGTTTAGTCTGTATATAAGAATAGCTACTTCTGCTCACTTTTGATGTCCATTTGCATGGAATGTCTTTTTCCACCCCTTTACCTTAAGTTTATGTGAGTCCATACGTGTTAGGCGAGTCTCTTGAAGGCAGCAGATAGTTGGTCAGTGAAATTCTTCTCCATTCTGCAATTCCATATATTTTAAGTGGAGCATTTAGGCCATTTACATTCAACATTAGTATTGAGATGTAAGGTACCATTCCATTCATCGTGCTATGTATGACCTGTATACATTGATTTTTTTACATTGTATTTTTGTTTTATAAGTTCTGTGAGATTTATGCTTTAAAGAGATTCTGTTTTGATGTATTTTCAGGATTTGTTTCAAAATTTAGAGCTCCTTTTAGCAGTTCTTGTAGTACTGACTTGGTAGTGGTGAATTCTGTCAGCACATGTTTGTCTGAAGAAAACTATATCTTTCCTTCATTTACGAAGCTTAGTTTTACTGGATACAAAATTCTTGGGTGATAACTATTTTGTTTAAGGAGGCTAAATATAGGGCCCCAATCCCTTTCAACTTGTAGGGCTTCTGCTGAGATATCTACTGTTAATCTGACAGGTTTTCCTTTATAGGTTACCTGATGCTTTTGCCTCACAGCTCTTAAGAGTCTTTCCTCCATCTTGACTGTAGATAACCTGATGACTATGTGCCTAGGTGATGATCTTTTTGAAATAAATTTTCCAGGTATTTTTGAGGTTCTTGTATTTGGATGTCTAGATTTCTAGCAAGGCTGGGGCATTTTTCCTGAATTATTCCCTCAAATGTGTTTTCCAAGCTTTTAGATTTATTCCTTGAGAACATCAATTATTTTTAGGCTTGGTCATTTAACATAATCTCAAACTTCCTGGAGGCTTTATTTTTTAAAATTCTTTTTTTCTCTGCATTGGATTGAGTTAATTCAAAAGCCTTGTCTTTGAGCTCTGAAGTTCTTTCTTCTACTTGTTCAATTCTATTGCTGAGACTTTCCAGTGTATTTTGCATTCCTCTAAGTGTGTCCTTCCTTTCCAGAAGTTGTGATTGTTTTTTATTTACACTGCCTATTTCACTGAAGATTTTTTCCTACATATCTTGTATCATTTTTTAAATTTCATTAAGTTAGACTTCACCTTTCTCTGGTGCCTCCTCGATTAACTTAATAATCAACCTTCTGAATTCTTTTCCCAGCAATTCAGATAATTCTTCTTGGTTTGGATCCATTGCTTGTTAGCTAGTGTAATCTTTTGCGGGTGTTAAAGATCATTGTTTTGTCATATTACCAGGGTTGTTTTTTCTGGTTCCTTCTCATTTGGGCAGACTATGTCAGAGGAAAGTCTGGGGCTCAAGGACTGCTGTTCAGATTCTTTTGTCTCACCAGGTGCCCCTTTGATGTGGTGCTCTCTTCCTTCCCCTAGGGAAGTGGCTTCCTGAGAGCCAAACTGCAGTGATTGTTATTTCTCTTCTGGATGTAGCCACCCAGAGGAGCTACTGGGCTCCAGGTTGGTGCTAGGGGTGTCTTCAAAGAGTCCTGTGATGTGAACTGTCTTCAGGTCTCTCAGTTGTGGATACCAGCACCTGCTCTGGTGGAAGTGGCAGTGGAGTGAAGTGGACTCTGTGAGGGTCCTTGGTTGTAGTTTCATTTATTGAGTTAGTTTTGTGTTGGTTGGCCTCCAGCCAGGAAGTGGCACTTTAAAGAGTGCATCACACGTATGTTTATTGTGGCACTACTCACAATAACAAAGACTTGGAACCAATCCAAATGTCCGTCAATGATAGACTGGATTAAGAAAATGTGGCACATATACACCATGGAATACTATGCAGCCATAAAAAAGGATGAGTTCATGTCTTTTTAGGGACATGGAGGAAGCTGGAAACCATCATTCTCAGCAAACTATCACAAGGACAAAAAACCAAACACCACATGTTCTCACTCATAGGTGGGAATTGAACAATGAGAACACTGGAACACAAGAAGGGGAACATCACACACTGGGGCCTGTAGTGGGGTGGGAGGGTGGGAGGGACAGCCTTAGGAGATATACCTAATGTAAATGATGAGTTAATGGGTGCAGCACACCAATATAGCACATGTATACATATGTGACAAAACTGCACATTGTGCACATGTACCCTAGAACTTAAAGTATAATAATAATATTTAAAAAAGACTGCATCAGTTGTGGTAGTATAGGGAGAATCAGTGGGTGGGGCCATAGAGCTCCCAAGAGATTATCTCCTTTGTCTTTGGCTAACAGAGCAAATAGAGAAAGACCATCAGGTGGGGTGTGTTAGTCTGTTTTCATGCTGCTAAGAAAGACATACCTGACTCTGGGCAATTTACAGAGGAAAGAGGTTTAGTGGAGAACTCACAGTTCATTGTGGCTGGGGAAGCCTCACAATCATGGCAGAAGGCATGGAGGAGCAAGTCACATCTTACATGTATGGCAGCAGGCAAAGAGAGAGCTTGTTCAGGGAAACTCTCCCTTATAAAACCATCAGATATCATGAGACTTATTCACTAATATGAGAACAGCACAGGAAAGACCTGGCCCCATGATTCAATTACCTTTCACTAGGTCCCTCCCACAACACATGGGAATTCAAGATGAGATTTGGGTGGGGACACAGCCAAACCATATAATTCTACCCCTGGCCCCTCCCAAATCTCATGTCCTCACATTTCAAAACCAATCATGCCTTCCCAACAGTCCCCCAAAGTCTTAACTCATTTCAGCATTAACTCAAAAGTCCACAGTTCAAAGTCATTTCTGAGACAATGCAAGTCTCTTCTGCCTATGAGCCTGTAAAATCAAAAGCAAGTTAGTTACTTCCTAGATACAATGGGGGTACAGGCACTGGGTAAATGCAGACATTTTAATGGGAGAAATTGGACAAAACTAAGGGGCTAAGGTCCCATGCAAGTTCAAAATCCAGCAGGGTGGTCAAATCTTAAAGCTCCAAAATGATCTCCTTTGACTCCATGTCTCACATCCAGGTCACACTGATGCAAAAGGTGAGTTCCCATGGTTTGGGCAGCTCCACCCCTGTGGCTTTGCAGTGTACAGCCTCCCTTCTAGCTGCTTTCATGGCCTGGTGTTGAGGGTCTGTGGCTTTTCCAGGTGCATGGTGCAAGCTGTCAGTGGATCTACCATTCTGGGGTCTGGAGGACAGTGGCCCTCTTCTCACAGCTCTATTAGGTGGTGCCCCACTAGGGACTCTGTGTGGTGGCTCCAACCCCACATTTCCCTTCCACACTGCCCTAGCAGAGGTTCTCCATGAGGGCCCTGCCCCTGCAGCAAACTTCTGTCTGGGCATCCAGGTGTTTCCATATACCCTCTGAAATCTAGATAGAGGTTTCCAAACTCCAATTCTTGACTTCTGTGCCCTGGCAAGCTCAAAACCACATGGAAGCTGCCAAGCCTTGAGGCTTGCACCCTCTGAAGCCATGGCCTGAGCTCTACTTTGGTCCCTTTCAGCCAGGGCTGGATCAGCTGTAATGCAGGGCACCAAGTCCCTACACTGCACACAGCATGAGAACCCTGGGCCTGGCCCACAAAACCACTTTTTCCTCCTAGGTCTCTGGGCCTGTGATAGGAGGGGCTGCTGTGAAGATCTGTGATATGCCCAGAGGCATTTTCCCCATTGTCTTGAGGATTAACGCTCATCTCTTCATTACTTATGCAAATTTCTACAGCCGGCTTGAATTTTTTCTCAGAAAATGGGATTTTCTCTTGTATCGCATTGTCAGGCTGCAAATTTTCCAAACTCTTTGCTCTCTTTCTCTTTTAAAATGGAATGCCTTTAACAGCACCAAAGTCACCTCTTGAATGCTTTGCTGCTTAGAAATTTCTTCCACCAGATACCCTAAGTCATCTCTCTCAAGTTCAAAGTTCCACAAATCTCTAGGGCAGGGGCAAAATGCCACCAGTCTCTTTGCTAAAACATAGCAAGAGTCACCTTTACTTCTGTTCCCAAGCAGTTCCTCATCTCCATCTGAGACCACCTCAACCTGTATTTCATTGTCCATATCGCTATCAGCATTTTGGTCGAAGCCATTCAACAAGTCTATAGGAAGTTCCAAAATTTCCCACATTTTCCTGTCTTCTTCTGAGCCCTCCAAACTGTTCCAACCTCTGCCTGTTACCCAGTTTCAAAGTTGCCTCCACATTTTCAGGTATCTTTTCAGCAGCACCCCACTCTACTGGTACCAATTTACTGTATTAGTCCATTTTCATGCTGCTGATAAAGACATACCTGACACTGGACAATTTACAAAGGAAAGAGGTTTAGTGGAGAACTCACAGTTCCACATGGCTGGGGACACATGGCTGGGGAAGCCTCACAATCATGGTGGAAGGCAAGGAGGAGCAAGTCACATCTTACATGGATGGCAGCAGGCAAAGAGAGAGCTTGTGCAGGGAACCTCCCCCTTATAAAACCGTCAGATCTCATGAGACTTATTCACTATCACGAGAACAGCCCCATGATTCAATTACCTTTCACTGGGTCCCTCCACAGCACGTGGGAATTCAAGATGAGATTTGCGTGGGGACACAGCCAAACCATATCATGGGTTCAGGGTTAGGTGTGTCTGAGCTCAGACTCTCCTTGGGTGAGGCTTACCGAGGCTGCTCTGGGGAATGGGGTGTGGTTCTCAGGCCAATGGAGTTATGTTCCCAGGTGGATTATGGGAGCCTCTGCTGCATCATGCAGGTCACCAGGGAAGTGAGGGGAAGCCAGCAGTTACAGCACTCACCCAGCTCCCATGCAGCCCAAAAGGCTGGTCTCACTTCCACTGTCTCCGCCCCAAAAACAACACCGAGTTTATTTCCAGGCATTAAGTGAGTATGGCTGCAAACTTGCCCCAGGCTACCCACCTCCCAGCTGAGAAAGCAAGCAGGGCTGTCAGGTTTTTTGGCTCCCTACTTGCCACAACTTCTGTACTGTGCCTGAACTCCCAATTTGCCCCCTCCCCCAGGTTCTGGCCAGGAAACTTCATGCTTAGTCAAAATTGTTACAAAGCTCAGCTAGAAGTTTCCTTCTCCCTGTGGTCTTTTCCCTGTTCCTCTGGCAGCCCTCCTGAAGGACCCTTGTGAGACAAAGTCAGAAATGGCTGCCATGGGGACCAAGATTTCCCACAGGGCTCTTCCTACTGCTTCTTTTGCCCCAGTATTTTGCTCAGCTCTCTAAATTTGTCTCAGCTCCAGGTAAGGTCAAATCATTCTGTGATCTGGACATTCAGCTTCCCCAGTGAGGGTGTGTTTGGAGGTGTATGATCCCCCTTTCACACTTTGGGCATTCACAGTTTTTTGGCTGTCTCCAGAGGCCTGTAGCAGCAATCCACTCTCTTCAAAGGGTCTGTGGACTCTCTCTGCTTCCCTGGTATATTCCTGCAGTAGTTCTTGGAGCAAAAGTTTATGATGTGAGTCTCCACACACTACTCTGTTCATCCAAGTGGGAGCTACAGGTTAGTGCTGCCTCCTCTCTGCCATTTTTCATCCATTCTATGTCTTCATAATGCACTTTGAATTTTCTGTTATATCTTTATTTACTTTTCTGTATTGTATTTGTGTATTGTCTTTATTTCTTGAACTGTCTTGACAGTGACCTATCTTATTAATCTTTTGAAAGAACCAGGTTTTAGTTTTATTAATCTTCTTCTTGGTTATTATAATTGTAACTCTCTATTTCACTGACTTCTGTCTTGGTTTTTATTATTTCCTATTGTCTTATTTCTGAGTTTTTCTCTATTGCTTCTTTTCTAAATTTTTGAGTTGGTGGCTTAGCTCATTTGTTTTTGATCTGTCTTGTATCCTGATAAATGTATTTTAAACTACACATTTTCCTCTAAATTCCACAGTGTTTTCATTGTCATTTGGTTCTAATTATTTTGTCATTTCTTTCATGAGTTAGTTTTTTAACCCAAGTGATGCTGTTTAGTTTCAGACATGTAGGTTTTTAAAAATAAAATCCTTTTGTTACTTATTTCTAATTTTCTTTCATACGTTAGAGAACACAGTCTGAATGATACTGATTCATTTTATTTATTGAGGCTTCCTTAACTACTTAGTACATGGACAGTTTTTCATGTTTTATGTGTAATCAAAAACAATATGTATACTAAAAATAATATGCATATACACTTATTTATTATATTTTCAGATCTTCTATATCTCTATATTTTATAATTTTTATCTGTTCATTCTACCAATTTCTCAGAGGGATATGTTAAAATCTCCACCTATAATTGTTGGCTTATCTATCTCTCTCTGCAGTTTGAGTCATTATTGTTTTTTGCATTTTAAGTGTATGTTTTTCAGTGTTTCTCTCTCTCTCTCTCTCTCTCTCTCTCTCACACACACACACACACACACACACACACACACCCTTCCACATGGGCCTCACACTTGATGCCTGTCCTCTGGCCTGCCCTTTCCAGGGCTATCCACATAGGGGCTCCCTCCCTTCCTTCAGGCTGCCCAAACTCCTTACCATGGCCTCTGAGGCTTGCACAATCTGGCTTCTGCTTCGGTCTCCAACCTCGTTTCCTGACACTCGCTTCCTCACTTACTCCACTCCAGCCGCACTGGCCTTTCAGCAGCTCCTAGGGAGTCTAAGGTCCTTACCACCTCAGGCCCCTGCACTTGAACTTCCCTATGGTTGGCCAGCTCTTTTCTAGGCTTGTTGCATAGTTGGCCCCTGTCGTCTTCCAGAATTCAGTTTAAATGTCACCTTTTTGGAGAGGTGTCCAGAATCAACAATTCTCTATCATATCACCTAATTTTTCTCCCTTATATTTCTTACACACTGCCATGATTTATTTAATTTTTTATTTGAAATTATCTATTTCTGCCCCAGAATGTAATCTCCTTAAAGACAGGGATTTTTGTCTTTTTCGGCCACTGCTGTATCTTTACTACTGGGAACAAGGCTTAGCACATAGTGAATGCTCAACAAAAATTGCTAAATGAATGGATGACTGAATCAATGAATGAAATGGAAAGAATCACTAAAATTTTTCATGCTAGAAGGAGTGCTAGGTTCTTTTTGTACATTTTCTCTTTTAGACCCTCATATTAACCCCAGGAGAGTTTGCAAAGCTTCCACAAGCACATAGGCAGCAGGAGGCAGAACCTCTTAGAGCACGAACATGCCTCTGGGTAGCAGCCAGCTGCCTCTTAGCCCCTCCATGTCTGCAGAATAAGAGTGGGGCCTCCTGGGTGCATTGATGCCATGTCATCAGGAGGAGGAAAGTGCTAAAACACATGGCCTGGGAAGCAGCGTAATTTGCCAAGTCTTGACATGGTAATATTCTAACTTTCCTTATCTTCATAGCAGGAAAAGCAGGTGTATTGGAAGCTGTGGAGAGGAGCTCAGTTGGTACCTGACATCCCTTTTGCCTTCACAGGCTGGAGGCCTCTCAGTGGAGATCAGAGGTTGGAGTATGAGAGCTCAGAAGATCCAGGTTTGAGTTCTGGGTCCCTTTGGTTCTCAAGAGGGTCCCCACTCACTTATAACCTCCAGTAAGTCCCTTTGTCTTTCCAAGCCTGTGTTCTTAACTATAAAACATGGATAATTACACCTGCCAACCTAACTCCCAGGGTTGTTGTAGGTCCCAAAGGACAGAATGTGTGTGAAAGAAACAAAATGCTGCTAGACTGTAGCAGACTCTCAATGTGTATTTGTTTCAGGCATTCAGTTTAAGAGGTGTTACACAGATTTTAGATACCATTTGGTGAAAAATAAGCCTGATTATAGAGCTTTGGGGACTTTTATGGATTTGAGGCCATCTGCTTCCTTCCCACTGGCCTTCAATTTGCTTCTGCTCAACTGTGCTGAGTCAGGTCCTCTTCGAATGATTATCACGTTTGAGGGATATTTTATTTAATGAAGTGTGAGCTGAACTGGGATTTAGCTGTTAATGTTTCCAATTTCTTTCCAATTACTGTAAGAATTTTATAAGCAGTTTTATACTTATAATAATATTCCCTCTCTACATCAGGAAGAGCAGCCCAATATCTGATTTCAAGCCTTGTTTTCATCTAGGTCTTAGGGAAAGAGAGAGGTTGAGAGAGAGGGAGACTGATTGAGTCTTTGTGGAACTCCTGTGAGAAATTCCATTCATATCAGGTTGATTCCAAGCAAATTCTCAGACTCTACAGAAGAAAAGGGTGACACACTATAGTCATTTGTGCTGCTTCTTTAAGGGAATGCATTTAGATGTTAGTTTTCTTTGGAGTTTGGGAGTGTGATAAGGTTATTGTTAATACAGGTAGTCCCTGATATGTAATTTATAAACAGCCCCTAGATAAGAGTGAATGTCATAGCATCTAGCAACAGCCTGATTCCTCCAGAAGCTCCTGAACTCCTGTTCCAATTCCAATGGTGATTCACCTATCCACTCAACAAACAGTTATTGAGAATACCAGCTCCAGCCCAGAGGCAGTATTGGGGGCTATGTCTGAGAATGTGGGCTCTGGAACTATGTGGTTGGGGTTCAAATTCTGGCCGAGCAGCTGTGAGACCCTGGACAAGTGGCTCTTCAAAAACTGACTAGAGGCAATTCATTTTTATCTTAGTTCCACAAATAGTTGTGCTTCTCTCCAATTACTTGGGCTTTATACCTTAGAGACACTGGGAATCTTGAAAATTGTGATTTTCCTTTTCCTGTTGATTACAAAAAAGCTCATAACTAACTATCCATGTGGCTTATCACTGGTAAATAGGACTTCATATCAAGCATTTTGTTACCACTTTTGCTTGTGGCTATATTTTACTTTCCTTCTCTTATTTTCTCCTTGCCTTGCTTGAATATTCTCACAAATCTCTTAGTTCTCATTTTTGGCCTCCATTTGACTCATTTTCCCTGCTCTGTTGCTGCGAATCTTTCCACGTCTAGCAGGACAGCAGGTGGTTAGGACAACACACTCAGCTCTACCATTTCTGTGTTAACCTTGGCTGGTTGCTCCGTCTCCTCATCTCTGAAGAGCTGTTGTGAGGACCAGATGAGACATATGTAAAGTGCTTAGATTAGTGCCTGGTATATAGCAAGTGTTCACCAATTCTGTTACTATAACAATGCCATGACAGAACGATGGCATCTATGCTCTAGAGCATTCTTCTTGAAAACGTAGGGTTGTACTGGGGCACACAGCTGGGAAGACAACAGGAGCTGGAATCCAGCTTGCACTCCACTCTTCAAAACTGGGATAGAGCTGTGCCCACCCAGGGAAAGGCGTGCCTTTTAAAAGTAGCTCCTGACCCCACTCCTCTTTCCTTCTTCCTTATGAATTGAACAGTTATAAAAGACAAGAACTGACAACATTGAGCAAGATTTTCCATTTGGAAAAAATTTAATCTGGTGTTGAAAGAAGTTTAATCAAAAGAAGTCCAATCTGGTGTCAACTTGTATCCCAATGGACAGCTCCTTGGAGATACATATCTTCTAAAAGTCTTGACCTCACTAACCTTTGACTATAAAATAAGGCCCCATTTCCTTTTATAACCAAATTGTAATAACTCTGAGCCCCCACCTACTAAATTGAAGCTCAGGCATTTGCGCAGGTTGTCGTCCACAAATGTTCCTAAAAATTGCATGCGTACAGGCACACTGCAATACCCCCCACCCCACACCCCATCTGTGCCACTTATCCCAGCCTCAGTCTTTCTTTTTGCTCTCCTGCTGCCACCTGCTGGAAGAGAAGGGACTCAGATTCGCAGAGTGGGCTGACCTTAGGACCACCACGCTCTGAACTACCTGTCTCCATCTCAGCTACTTCCAACCTGCAGGTATGGCTGAGCATGTGCCAAGGTCTTGGGCGATCTCCAGAGATAAGGACTGACTGAGCCGGGACCACCCAGCCTGCTGTCCCCACAGCTGCCTGTATGTTTATTTGTCCACCCGATCTTGGTGCTCCTCAAGGAAGGAGAGAAGCCAGCCTGCAAGGAGGATGCCTAACAGAAAACCCACTCGGGCCCTATGTGTGCAAGTCATAATGGCACAACTCTTTTTGTTCACACATGTAGCCTTTTTCTGTTCGCCCAACAGGATTCCCTAATTGGGCCATGGTCCACGTGGTCCCCCATATCAGCTGCACACTGTGCCTAGGAGAGGCACTCTCCTTCATGAGCTCTGCTCCTTCCCACCTCCTTCTTTGTGCAGTGTTTCCTCTTGGGGTCCCTCACTGCCTTTTCTATTGTCAGGACTTCACCAAGGCCACCTAGTTCACACAAGCCTTAATTATTGCGGAAGTCTAGAAAAAGAGGTTGTAACCCTGACACCTTTTTTCCAGGGCCCTTGCAAATTCCTGGATACAATTAATACTGGAGGCTCCACATGGCAGTTGTCAAGACCCCAAAGCCAAAGATGTGTTGCAGAAGGGCTGGTGTCTAACCCTTCCCCTCCAGCAACACAGCAGCAGGCCACTGCCTGCCCAAGGCCCTGGACATCACTTAACCCACCCACACTCATGTGTTCTGTGTGTACAAGTGTTCTCTTCAAGGCTTTGCAAGATTCGCCAGTTTGATCACCCTCCAATCCCACACTGAGCTCTTTCATCTGCCCATTAAGTAGAGACCTAATTAGTTATAGACCTCAGAGCAAGTTACTTCTGGAGCCCACCTGGTGATGCCTGGGAGTCTATGACCCATGCAGCAGGGGACAGGAACAAAAGACTAGACCCAGAAATCTCCACAGGAAATGAAGGACATGGGCCTGTTCTATGCGGGAAGTAAAAAAATAGATTCAGAAATGGGCTCCTAAGTTAGGGTTACCAGATTTAGCAAACAAAAATGCAGGAAGCCCAGTTAAATTTGAATTTCAGATACATAGCAAATACTTTTGTGTATAAGTATGTCCTGTGCAATATTCAGGCATCCTGTGTTTTCTCTGGCACCTCTATCCCAAGGCCCTTCGAGCTACTGTCATGCCCACTTAGCACTCACTGAAGCCACAGAACCACATAACTGCCCACAGCCTGCTCAAAACTTTATTTCACAGCCTGGGTGCCTGAGAGGTAGTCACGGGTCGTACACTGCCTTTGTGTTGGCCGCATGGATGTGAACCACACAGCCGGGAGGTAAACCAGAATAAACAGCCCTCAGCTGGAAGAAAAGAGGATCTTTTCCAGGAAGAGATTTAGAAGAGAGGATGCAGGCTCCTGCTTTTATGAGGAGGGTCCCACCCAGTGTGCTGGCCTCTTGACTTTAACAGCTCCCATATGTTTTTCTTGGAGGAATACTTTGGGGAGACCTGCTTTGTGGCATGCATGCTCTCCAAAGGAATGGGAAGCTTTTCTCCTGCAGACAAGCATTTCATGGAGTAGTTCCATTCCTCTAAACTCTAAATGTGTTTGTTCCCCCAGTGAAAGGAAAAGGAGGTGCAAGCTGGAGAAGAGGCGGCCAGACCAGGAGTCCAGGAGGCTGCTGTCCAAATGGGCCTTGGCCACTACTGCCTGGCAGACGGATTGCTCACAGTGGAGAGGGGCCCAAGGCGGTGACCTGGATCAGCCTCCTAAGAACAGTCTCCCTGCATCCTCATCAGGACCCTGTGGGGATTTCCAGCATTTTCAAACCTAAATGATGCAGAAAGGAATGATCATAAAAATACCTTATCCTTGAAAGCTGACAAAGCATTTTTATAAACATTATCTTATTAGGCCCTCGCAACAACCCCGTGAGGCAGGAGGGCCAATAACGGCAGGGAGGAGTGTGATAAAATGGACCTGGAGTTTGTTTTAATCAGGCATGGTAAGAAATGGAAATGATTGTCAGGGAGGAAAAAGTTTATACTCACAGGCCTCTAGAACAGGAGGTACGGCGTGCCACGCAGGCCACCCCAGGAAGCGCTGGGTCGGTCAGGAGGCAGAAGTGGGGAGGGGAGAGGAGAGTATGCATGGCTCAGGGCCTTTACTGGGGTTCCTGTGGGAAGGAATGGGCAAGGTACTGCAACTATGCTGAGTAAGTTCAGCTTTGGGTAGTTTGGATAATTTCAGTAGGTTCTGGGCTATAGGCGTGATCCCTAGTTGTCCAGGACTTGGCCCTGGGGTGGTTTAGGGCAGGGGAGATATTGCATTGGTGTGTGAGCGTTTGATAAAGGAGAGGGTTGGGGGTGCAGGCTCTGGATTGGCTGGTTTGCATATCAAAAGCATGCTCCACGGGGAGCCATTTGCTTACTCTGGGGATTAGCTAGCCCTAGAAATCTCTCTAGGATCGAAGCCCCAATTTCCAGAGCATACAGAATATAGAAACTAAGCAAATGTTGTCAATATAGGGAGGCTAGAGACACAACTTCCTCAGAATTACAAGGCTGGTGTGGGACAGAGCTGGGACTTAAACCCGGGTGTCCTGGCCCCAGCCCAGGGATCATTCCAAGACACTCAGATGCCCTGTTTCTCCTTCCAGGTGACTTGGGTGACCAGAACAAACCCTCTGAGCAGGGTGACCAACTTTTCCTGTTTATCCAGGGACCAAAGGTTTTCCAGGACATGAACCCTTCAGTGCTAAAGCCAGGACAGTCCCAGGCAAACTGTGATGGTTGGCCACCCTGCTTGTGAGCCAGAAGGGACTCTCTTCCTGCTTTCACTCCATCCTTCTGACAGAGATCACTTAAGCAAGGCCTTAGCCTGGGACAAACGGGAATTGGAAAGAAGGCAGAAGAGTAAGAGAAGGGATTTGAGGACCATGCAGTCTCACTTCTTAGTCTTTGACGAAGCTGATCCTTCTGCCTGGAGCCTCCTACTCTCTCCAGTTTCCTCTTCCACCTCCCACCCCCCATTCACTTAATTCTTAAATATGCTTCAGATCTCCTGCCAGGAACTAGAATACAAACTCCTCCAGCAGCATCTCAGACCTCCTCAAAACTGTTAGGTGCTCCATGGACTCCCAGTGTATAATTACTTCATCACAAAATTTTGTGTTATGCTTGTTTCCTTACCTATCTCTTCCCCTAGAAAGCAATAACATGAGGGCAGGGGTGCATCTTCATGTATTTATTAGTTCAACAAATATTGATTGATTACTTACTGTGTCAGGTACTAGGCTAGATACATTGTATCCTGGAGATCCAATTATGAGGAAAACAGATGCAGTCCCTGCCCTCATGGAGCTTACAGTCTGTTGCTGGCTGAGGCAGATGTTAATCAAATAATCACACAAGTACAAGTAAAACTACAAATATGTTAGTAATCATTTATTTTGATTACCAGCTAATAAGTACAACACAGGAGAAGTACCCAATGCTAGGTGAGCTTATAACAGGGGGACCAGCAAGGCAGGGGTATTAGAGAAACTTCCCTCAGGAAGTGATGATGGAGTGGACATTGGAGTGAGGCCAAGAAGGGGTGAATTAGGAAGAGGGTCAGAGCCTGGAGAGTGCTGTTGGCAAAAGGAGGCCTCTGTTCCCTTATTTCAGGAGTGAAGACAGCACTTTACAGCAATGGTTCTTAATGGGGGTGATTTCACCTCAGGTGACATCTGACAACAGTGACATTCAGTCATATTTGGAGATTTTTTTTTTTGTCACAATTTAGGGGACGGGTTCCCATTGGTATCTAGTAGGTAGAAGCTAGAGATGCTACTAAACATCCTACAACCTACAGGACAATCCCTCACCACAAAGAATTATCTGGCCCAAAATGTCACTGGTGCCCCTGTTGGCAGAGCAGAGAGCGAAGGGAGTGGGGAGAGTGTGGTGTGAGCAGAGGCTGGAAACCCTGAAGGTCTTGTTGTCAGGGTGACATGATGAGATCGATGTTTTGGAAAGACCAGTTTAGCTATAGTGTGGAGAATGGAACAGACAAGGGTGGAAACGGAATGACTAAATAGTGGACAAGTGTAATAGTCCAGTTGGCAGATGATGGTGGCTTGGACCAGGACTTTAATGATGAAGAGAGCACTGAATGGATTCCTCAACCATTTAGAAGGTAATATAACAAGACTTGGGATCAGGGTTGGAGCAGAAGGAGGAATCAAATAGGACTCCTGATTTTCTGGCTTAAGTACCTGGATAGTTGGTAATAATAGCTAGTATGTGTCACTCTACCCTATGAGGAAACTAAGGCACAGTGAGTAGGGGGCATGGCCAGTCCTCACCATAGACAGCAAGTCTGGCGCCCATGCTCTCTGCCAGTCTAAGTGGCCTCTCTGTGCAATGGTGCTATTCACTCAGTTGGGGGAACTCTGGGTGGGACCCAGTCAGGGGCCGTGGCACATGAGCCCACATTGAGTGTATTTGAGTTTGAGGTCAAGGAAGAGAGCTAGAGGCCCAGGCTGAAACCCAGAGGAGAAGTGCTCCTCAGAGGTGTATATCCTCACAGGCTGAAAACGTGCCCACCACATAGCCGGGACTCTGAGAGTAGTTGTTGAATGGGCTGGTGGATTAATTAACTGGTTAACATCCCCATCAAGCTACCAATGACTTTCTTCACAGAATTGGAAAAAACTACTTTAAAGCTCATATGGAACCAAAAAAGAGCCCGCATTGCCAAGTCAATCCTAAGCCAAAAGAACAAAGCTGGAGGCATCACACCACCTGACTTCAAACTATACTACAGGGCTACAGTAACCAAAACAGCATGGTACTGGTACAAAAACAGAGACATAGACCAATGGAACAGCACAGAGCCCTCAGAAATAATACCACATATCTACAACTATCTGATCTTTGACAAACCTGACAAAAACAAGAAATGGGGAAAGGATTCCCTATTTAACAAATGCTACTGGGAAAACTGGCTAGCCATATGTAGAAAGCTGAAACTGGATCCCTTCCTTACACTTTATACAAAAATTAATTCAAGATGGATTAAAGACTTAAATGTTAGACCTAAAACCATAAAAACCCTAGATGAAAACCTAGGCAATACCATTCAGGACATAGGCATGGGCAAGGACTTCATGTCTAAAACACCAAAAGCAATGGCAACAAAAGCCAAAATTGACAAATGGAATCTAATCAAACTAAAGAGCTTCTGCACAGCAAAAGAAACTACCATCAGAGTGAACAGGCAGGCTACAGAATGGGAGAAAATTTTTGCAATCTACTCATCTGACAAAGGGCTAATATCCAGAATCTGCAAAGAACTCAAACAAATTTACAAGAAAAAAACAAACAACACCATCAAAAAGTGGGTGAAGGATATGAAGAGACACTTCTCAAAAGAAGACATTTATGCAGCCAAAAAACACATGAAAAAATGCTCATCATCACTGGCCATCAGAGAAATGCAAATCAAAACCACAATGAGATACCATCTCACACCAGTTAGAATGGTGATCATTAAAAAGTCAGGAAACAACAGGTGCTGGAGAGGATATGGAGAAACAGGAATACTTTTACTCTGTTGGTGGAACTGTAAACTAGTTCAACCATTGTGGAGGACAGTGTGGTGATTCCTCAGTGATCTAGAACTAGAAATACCATTTGACCCAGCCATCCCATTACTGGGTGTATACCCAAAGGATTATAAATCATGCTGCTATAAAGACACATGCACACATATGTTTATTGTGACACTACTCACAATAGCAAAGACTTGGAACCAACCCAAATGTCCAGCAATGATAGACTGGATTGAGAAAATGTGGCACATATACACCACGGAATACTATGCAGCCATAAAAAATGATGAGTTCATGTCCTTTGTAGGGACATGGATGAAGCTGGAAACCATCATTCTCAGCAAACTATTGCAAGGACAGAAAACCAAACACTGCATGTTCTCACTCATAGGTGGGAAATGAATAATGAGAACACTTGGATACAGAAAGGGAAACATCATGCGCCAGGGCCTGTTGTGGGGTGGGGGAAGGGGGGAGGGATAGCATTAGGAGATATACCTAATGTTAAATGACGAGTTAATAGGTGCAGCACACCAATGGCACATGTATACATATGTAACAAACCTGCACTTTGTGCACATGTACCATAGAACTTAAAATATAATAAAATATATATTTTTTTAAAAAAAAGAAATTTGACCAAAAATTAATAAACATCACAACTTAGAAAAAAAAAAGTAATTAGTTGTACTGAGACAACTGCAAGATAGACCTTGTCTGCAGGGACTTCATAGTCCCAGGAAAACCACAAGAACTTGCAGGTATTGGAACTCTGCTCAGCCCAGCCTTAAACTCAGTCATCCTTTTGTCTCCTACCTTACCCCAGGTCTTGGGAGGCAAAGTCCAATGTCTGTGAGGAAACTCTTTGAGCTTCCCAAACTGGGAGACCAGAATTCAGTTGTCAGGACATCTTTAGCCAATCAGTGACAAACACAAAATTAAAAAAAAAAAAGAAAAAGTCAAAAACAAAAACCTGAGGCGTGCACGCATGTGTGTGCATGTGCACAGGCCATCCCCTCCCTCCATATGTTCTACCCACCTAGGCCTCTGGGAGGTCGCTTGTTATACTGGAGAGTTCTATATCCTCCTACTGCTTCAATGCTGCCTGAGAACAAAATGAGGAGGCCCGCCTGAGATACGGAAAAGCAGCTCTTCAAAGCTTCTGCCTAATTTTGTGTGGCCACCAGAAGGTCTAAAGCTAGGTGATGGGCTTCACTTTCCTACACAGGCAGGCCCAGGGCTTGGCTGTTTCCCTGATAATGAGAAAGCTTAGTTTGTTTGTGGGCTGGGGGTTAACTTAGGCAGGCTGTTTTCTTGTCTTATGGAATGGCACACTCATAATGCACAGCTACATAATGCACAGGGCTGAGTGCAAAAGGGAAATGCCTGTGCAAAAATCAAGAATTTCAAGACAGCAACAGCAAAGCATTAAACCATATGTGGGGCCCTTCTGAGCACAGGGCCCTGTATAACTGCTGTGGCATGTTGGTGAAGCCAGCCTTGTGGGGTGGAGTGGGGAACAGAGCAGGGAGCCTACCTCACATTTTCTGTCTGCTGCCTTCCGCCTGCGTGGAGCTGAACCAGATCCCGGGAGGAGCAGACCAACCTCAACAGCAGAGTCTGTTGAGTGCAGCCACAGCAGACCAGAAGAGCACCTTCTAAAGGACAACCTCTTTTCCCTGAGGTATATAAGAAGAAGTGACCCCTGAAGAGGAGAGACTGGTTCTTCTCCACTCCCCCAGCTTCCAACATCAACCCCCCCATAGCTAGGCACACCTCTCTACCTTTCGTCCTTGTGCCTCAGGCTACCTGTTTGGACTTCCTTACGTTGAAATGTTGCTTTTTCTGTCCATTTTTCCTTTTTACTTAATTAATTAAACAAATATTCGTTGACTGCCTGCTGTCTGCCTGGCACAGCTCTAGGCCCTAGTGATACAGTTGTGTGTACTGATGTAGCCATACTGATGAAAATACTGAGGTCACCTCTACCAGGTGGTAAATAGCTGCTACCCCACGTCATCCTCCACTCCCCTTTCCCCTGCCCCCTCCCCGCCCTCCACTGTGGCCATACTAGACTCTTTCCCAGGTCTCTAGGATCTCCCAAAGATCCGGCATCTAAAAGATCTGCTCTAGAGCTATGGGCAGTGTCAGCTCTGGTTGGTCAGGAAGCAAAAATAAGAGATCATTTTTGGTGTTCAGAGAAGATTTCTTGCAGAATGTGACATTGGAGCAGAGACCTGAGTGAAATGAGGGAGTGAGTAACATGTGAAGATCTGAATCAAGGGGATCTAGGAGGAAGGAACAGCAGATGCAAAAGAACCCCAAATAAAATCAAGTGCCAAGTTCAAGGACACAAAGAGGCCCTTGTGGCTAAAGTAAGGGGAGGAGATAAGGTCAACAGGAAGCCAGGGAGCACATCATGAAGGCCTTGTACCTCAGAGTCTGGAATTTGGGTTTCCTTATAAGTGTGATGGAAAACCAGTGGAGAGTTTCCAGCAGACAAGTGACAGGAACTGACTCACATTTTAACAGATCACTGTGGCTGCCATGAGTGGAAGGACAGGGCCAGTCAGGTCGCCCATGTGATAGCCCAACGAGAAGTTCCTGATCCCACTGGAGGTCCGGCTGGAACTTCAGAGAGAGGGATGGTGTACAAGGAAACTTGGCTCTTGCCTCCAGGTCTCCTAGGCGGAGTCTTGTACTGAGGAGACAGAGATTGCATGAATGCAAAGCTCCACAGAGAGAGGAAGCTGTGTGGTGAGAAGGCATGGGTTTGTAAGCTTGCAATGTCAGATGTGCCTACCTTCCAGTCCATGCCTCAATAGGGCTAACTTAGCTGGATTTCTTTGGAAACATGGCTTATCTTCTCTGCATTTCTGTTTCCCCTACGGTGAAAAGAGAGTTAAAACTAATTATAACACCTACACAGCATTCATTATGTGCCACCCACTTTTCTGAGTGTTTTATATGCAGTAATTCACTCACTCCTCCCACAACCCCATGAAGAGATACAATTATCACTCTATTTTATAGAAAGGGAAGCTGAGGCCCAAGATATTAAGTGATTTTTCTCAAAACCTTACAGTTTGTGTATGGAGGAGCTGAAATTTGAATCCAGGTATTTAGCCCAGGATTCCCGCTTTTCATCATTGTACTCTAACACCTACTTTACAGAATCACAGTGAGGATTAGTTAAGACAAGGCATATAATTTATCTGGCACAATCCTCAACATTCTAAGACCGAAGACACTTACCAGACTCTTACAGAAACAGTCAAATATGAAAAGAATAATTAAAAGCAAAACAAAACATGAGAGCCCTGGAATCAGAGTGCTTCAAAGACGGTGTGCACACAAAGATGCTTGATGCAGTATAGTCTGCTATACAGATAGCAGCAACCGGAAACAACGTAACTGTCCATCCTGTGAGAATGGATCAATTAACTCTAGTTTATTTATCCAATGAAGTACAACACAGTAGTGAAGATGAATAAACATAGCGAAGTCTCAGAAACTAAGTTGGAAAAAAGGGAGAAACCAAGTTGCAGATGAATATATACAGCATGACAACACTTACAAAAAGCTGAGAACATAAAAATAGTCTATGCATTATTTATGAATGTACATCTATCTATATTAATATACAATACATCTATATTATATATAGAGAGAGACAATGGGAGAGAAGAAAGTATGGATAGGAAAGAAACACTGTCAGAGTGGAGAGCTCTGGCAATGAGCAGAGGGCATTGGGAGGGAAGATGGAAGTTCCATGATAATTGTAATTTTATTCCATTGAAAAACAGATCTGAAGCAAATATGACAAAACGTTCTCACCTGTTAAAGCTCAGTGAAGGTAAAGAGTTTCTGTTTCATGATAACAGCTAATATTTGTTGGGAGCTTACTGTATGCCAGAACTACTGTGGAAGCTTTACAGGTATGAATGCACTCAATCCTTTAAAGCAATCCTATGAGGTTATTCTAATATAATTTAGACTCATATAGGCAAGGGAATCAAAGCACAGAAAGCTTAAATAACTTACTCAATATTATACTGTTCACAGGTGGTGTGGCACTGGATGGGACTTACATGCCAGCAGTTTGACTACAAAACTGTGCTATGCTGCCTTCTGGAAAGCATAAAAACTATGCTTCTACATGCTGACTGTGTGCCAGCACTGCTCAGTCTCCCAGATGAGTGTTGTTGCCCCTATTTGACAGAGGAGGAAGCTAAGGTGCACGAAGGGACAATAACCTGTCCAACTGTCACTCAGTGGTAGGAGGGAGTGTTGGGATTTGAACCTAGGCAGTTCAGTTCTAGAGTCTGTGCTCTTAACAGTCACACAAAACCACCACTTGAGGTACCATCTCTTATATTATTTTCACTATTTTGATGCATGCTTGAAATACCTTATAATTTGAATATTTTAATTAAAACAAAATTAATTAAAAATAGAAGGAGGTTTATCAAGAGTCAAACACCATGGAGAATGAAGATACTGACAATACTGATGGGTGTGATCTGGAAGGAGTCAGGGTGGCTTTTTCCATTTACCATCAGGGCTCAGCTGCCCTTTGCCTCTGTTCCCTTTATTCCCTGGTTCTAGCCTCCCTTGCTCTTCCTCCACACTGGGTTGTAATCATCTGTTTCTGTCTGTCTCCTCCACAGACTATGAGATCTTTGAAGATAAGTCTATTTTGAATTTATCTTTGTGCCCCCAAGAGCAGTGCTTACTAAACAGTTGATATAAAATAACTATTGCTGGGTGAATAATGAGATCCCAAAAAGATGCCAACTGCTTCCCACTCTTGCCACCCAATGCACCCCAACCCACACAAGAGCTCACAGCTCTGCTGGTCCTCACTAAGGAAAGATGGGGCCCCAGCTCTGGTCTCACCATAGCTTTCATACAGGGGCCAAGATGTAAGACAGTGGAGGAAGAATGAGAGGGGACAAAAATCAACCAAAATTGGCCCACTGGAAGTGGGTGCTGTGCTGAGCCAGGTGCCCATCTGATAAAAATCAAGGTTTCAGGAGATTGGATAGTGAGGTACAGAGAGATGGGGGATCTTGGGTTTGATTGAGAATGATTGACTGTAAGACAAGCTGCCTTATGAGGATGTTGCAACACCACTGAGTGAGTTTTCTGAACCTGAACAAGGCAACAGCAGCACCACAGAATCTGTCAAAACACAAGAAATGAAGTGGACAAACCTAGCTTACATTACCTCCACAAGAACACTGCCCCCACATCAGAAATGGACACCTAGCTCTCTTTTTATGGGTGGATTTTTTTAAAATGCATGGATACAAAATGTTTTCTTTCAGTTTCCTAATTTAAATCTAATCTAAATCCCAATTTAAACCTTTTAGTAATAAAAATTAAAAAAGATATACCCATTTGGCTGTGGCAGCAAAGTGCAATGTGAAAACATTTCCCAGAATAAGAAACTGAGATTTCTCAGGAATGCAGAGGATTTGAGTCTTTGAGCCTAAAATTCTTCATATGCTAGCTTGTATTTGAACATGATTGGTTAAACACTTGCCTTTAACTCTGATTTGACTTTACTGTGAGAGTTTAGCACTTCCCAAAGAGTTATCCGTGTCCAGTGAAAAAAGAAGATTGAAGATATAAGAGAGAAAGGCAAAGAAAGAGGAAGCCAGACGTAACAATTATTAACTTCTCATATTACCCCTATTTTCAGAAGCCTTCTGAGTGGATATGCAGGAAACTTATAGATATCATGAATATAGAGATATCCCAGTCACTAATTTCTGAGATTTCTAAGACTCTCCAAGGTATTTTCAAACTTTGAATAAATTTGCAAATTAAAAAGTTATCTGACAGTTAAAATTTTATATATCAACCAGAGGCACACACTAGGGCCTTGATAACATTGTTGTGGTCTTCTAGCTGATAGGCCAAAGAAAGAGGCTGACAAATCCAGTTTCTTAGAAAGAAACATTTAGTAAGGATGTAATGAACAGAAGCCATGTCTGTGTCTTGTTTGGCCACAAGACAAGATGGTGGATCCCCCTACCATTACCCACCAGACCCAGGGATTATATACCACAGGGGAGGGGCACACTTGCCTCAGAGGGAATGAGTAGGGACTTGCCCTAAGGGCAGGCTTTAAGGTGTTTTCTCTTTTAGAAAAGAAACTCTTTTAAGTGTTTCTCTTTTAGAAAAAGAAAGAAAGAAAAGATGTGTAGATGTTCTTACACAAAGAACAATAGATAAACTGGAGCTCTAAAAGGCATTCCTGGAACTGGGGTTAATCAGAAGTCAACCTGGCAGGTTAGCATCCAAGATGGAGCTGCTTTAGTCTCCACAGAGGATCATTAATCCTAATTCTCTGCCAACGCTTTTATCTTCAGAGAAAGAGAATGTGCTGTAACCATATCTTTTATATATCTAATTATAAACTATTCCTTAGAAAAGAGAGGGCTTTTTAGCTTATTGTAAAACTTCCCATTCCGTGTGTTAATTAAGAAAACAGCTAGCCAGAATATCTTTAAGTAATTTTTCTCTCCTTCAAGCTTCTAGACAAAAACAAACCTCTGTGTTATCTTGGGTTCCTCTTGCTCCCTTACCTCCCACACCCAGGAGGCTGCCAAGTGCTGTCAGTCCTGCCCTTGCAACATCTCTTCTGTCGTCCCCACCCCTCTCTCCTGCTGCTGCTTCGGAGTTAGCTTCCTTGCTGGCCTTCTGGTTTCCTGTCTGTCCTCCTCCACTCTGTTGTCCCCATTACTGGTAGATTCATCTTTGTCCAGCGCCTGGGACACAGTCATGGCTTAGAAATGCTCATCAACTCTGAAGCTCTGATTTTTCCAACATCTTATTCAGAATTCTGCAGGCATCCCTCAACCCCATACATGAAGTCTGAACTCTCTAGCCTGCCACTCCAGGCCCTCCCTCATCTGACATCAGCCTACCTGTCCTTGTCACCTACCTGCTCTCATCAGGGAGCTTACATTCTGGACATGCTAAGAAGGACCTGCTTCTAGTGCTCTCCTGCTCCTCATCCTTTGCTCATGGTGTTTTCTCTACTTGCAATGCCTTGTCCCCCAAATACTACCTATTCTGCAAGACTCAAATCCAGTGCCACCTCCTTCTTGAAGCTGTTCCCAATCCCACACAGCCAGGTACATCCTCTCCTTCCTCTGCACTCACTTAGCACTCTCTGTCTCTCATGTGGAACTATTTAAGTACATGTCATTTTGCGTAGTTTGAGAGCAGCATTTGTGTGCATTTGTGTCTTCAGTGCAATGCCACACGTAAAGTGTACAACAGGGTTCCTGGTACACAGTAGGTATTCAATAAAGGTGGGAGCCTCCCCCTTCTGGTAGACGTTTTGAAAGATGAACCACTAAAATCTCATGGCAGCAACAGCAGAACTCCTTTTCTTGAGAAACCCAGGGGGTTCACATTGTGTCTGTCTGCTTATTTTAAGGAAGGTGACATGATGTAGCAGAACACAGCAGACCTGAGTCTGAGTCTGGGCTCTGCCATATAATTCCTTAGAGATTTCAGAACATTTGCCTAACTTCTTTACATTTTTCATCATTAGGGTAGCTTTCTTATTACTATATTAGAACTGTAGAAATTAGGCTTATGAAGCAAGGAGATCCCCTAAAGAGAAAGACTCAGATAAGACCTTTGTTCTTTCACATAATGACAAGGTGATGGACAGACAGATGAGGACAGACAGGAGACTCTATTCTCCCAAGCCATCCATGGCCCCAGCTTCTTTTTGTTCATTGCTCTGCCATTGCCCAGATAAACTAAAGCTTACTCATCAGCTCCACAACCATATCTCTTTCTAGATCCCAGGAAGGCAAGCAAAGAGAAAATAGCTCCTTTTATAAGGACTTCACCCCTAAAGTTGCACAGTCACTTTTGTTCAAATCCTATTGACTAGAATGATATGACCACACTTAGCTACAAGGGAGGCTGAGAAAGGCTTAGCAATCCCAGGCCTCTGATTCTTCAGTCATCCTATTCAGCAATAACTGGGAAGCCACATATACTACCAAAACTCAGAGTAGGAAGGTTCTGTTACCAAAATAAAGCTAAGAATGAATATGGGGGAACAAATACCAGTCTTTGCCATGCCTACCTCACAAAGTTGTTGCAAAGATTAAATGCTAAGATTGGAAAAGCACCCAACATTATGTGCAGCAAAGTAAATACTCATTCCTTCTAATGGAGATCAGCCTTCTCCACTTGCCTAGCAGCTTTCCACATAGCAAGCTCTCACTATGTTTTTAATGAATGAATGCTTACATAAATGAGCTCATTTTAAAGGCTCACCATTGCCAAATAGATAAAACCATTTGTAATTTGCTTATAATTGTTGTTGTATGAAAGCTTGCTGCCAAAGTAGTTTACTGTTTAAGTGGATAGGAATCTCTCTTTCTACATCATCAATTTGCTAAACAAATGGAATTATGCTGAATACTCCTAAGCCTCAAAAATTCCCAAATGAGCCGGACTAACATTATTAGATATCTACTGGCTTAGTATGTGATTGCTAAGCTACATTTTATGTGGATCTCTGCCATTTCTCCAAAGAGCAGATAGCACATTAAGTGATCCATGCCAGCCCCTCACATTCTTTGGTTTGAGCATTTATGCTTAGACTGTCTCCAGGGACACCAGGATGGAGAAGTGGATGGGCAGGCCAGTGGGGGTTCTGCTCTCCTGGAAGCCCCAGGAGAAACTGAGAGCATTAGGGGAGCCCTGCAGCTGGAGGTCTCTGCAGCCTGTGACTCCTGGGAATAAAGGACATGGGGGAAGGCTGTTCCAGATTGAGAGTGGGTGGCTCAGCTGTCAGGGATACCTGGGATTTTTCTCCCCCATGTTAAGCACTTAGCAGCCTCAAAATCCATTTCTGTTTAGTTTAGGCCTGTTGCTAGGGCTCTAGTGCTGTAGCCTGTTGCCTTAGTCAGTGGAGTCTCAGACTACTTTGCCGGAAAGTTCTTCAGCAGTGACTCAGCAAAGGACTTACAATGTCCAGAAATTGTCATTTAAAGCAATTCCCAGAGCTCTGGGAAACAGAGCAAACTGACGTAAACAGAAAAGCAACTTTTGGATGGCTAGAGAGAAGCAGCTACTGCTTCACTAGATGCAGGGTCCAGAGAAAGCCCTGGAAATGACCAGCAAAGGGTGCAAACCCGCCTTCACCCCCTTCCCAAACAAACTCTGTGAGAACCCAGGGCAGCCCCGCTGGAGGGAGGAATCAGGGTGGTTGTGACCGCCACCAATCAGCCAATCAGCACCAACGCTCTAACAACCCAGATTCCCCAGTTCTGGTCTGGCAGCTTCCCCTGTCTCTCTTCCTCCCTCAGCATCATCTCACTGGAAACAACTTCCCACTCCCTCCTCTTCGATTCCGTCAGAGTTGCTGTGTTAACCTCTTCTCTACCTTCTCGAAACCTCAGGATTTATATACTAAGATATTTCCTGAAATTGGATTGTGCTAACCAAATCTCTCATAATCTGCTCTTGGCTAGCTAATTGGACTCCTAGTTTAGTATCAAGATTTCTGGCAAGAAAATGCATTTTTAATTATGTATGTGTATGTGTGTAATCATATGGGTGTATATATAGATATATGTGTGTATATATAACTGTATGCGTGTGAATATAAATGTGTATATATGCACATATATATATATATATATATATATAATATAATAATATTTTGGGATGCCTCCTATGTCTCAGGCATTGTTCCATGTACAAGAATACAGCAGTGAGTAAAACAGGCTAAGAACCTTCCTCCATGAAGATTAGGGCAGACTCACAATAAATAAATATTACATAGTATGTGGGTATCTGTACACATACTATGTGCACACACACGCACACACGTACACACACAGTGGCTGGCACATAGCAAGTTTTCAATAATTAGATGTCCATTAAAAATAATGAGAGCAGCCAGGTGTGTTGGCTTATGCCTGTAATCCCAGCATTTTTGGAGGCAGAGATGGGAAGATCGCTTGAGCCCAGGAGTTTGAGTTGAGACTAGCCTTGGCAACGTAGTGAGACCCTGTCTCTATAAAAAAAAAAAAAAATTAATTAGCTGAGCATGATGGCTCATGCCTGTGATTCCAGCTACTAGGAAGGCTGAGGTGGGGGGATTGCTTGAGCCCAGGAGTTCAAGGCTGCAGTGAACTATGATCGTGCCACTGCACTCCGCTGGCCTAGGTGACAGAGCGGGACTCTGTCTCAAATAAAAATAAAATAATGTGAACTAATATATATTGAGTATTTATTATGTGCCAAGTGCTTTTTAAATTCTTAATAACCCTATAAAATAGAAGCTAGTATTATCTCCATTTACAGATGGAAAACTGAGGCCGAGAGAGATCATACAGCTAGGAGGTAGGAATGTGCGATCTGAGCCCAGACACTGTCTTTAGACCCTTCCTTCCTTATTCTTCCTCTTGAAAATGGGCTGTCTTTATAAAAAGGCAAGCTGTAAACTGCTCTATGTCTGCCGGTGCTATTCTAAGAAGAGCAAGTCTCTTAGAATAGAGGCTTTTCTTAGAAGAAAAAAAGTCTGGGGCAAAGAGAAACTTTAAGCTGGGTTAGCAACACAGCTCTGGAACTATTTTGACTATGTTGCCTGCAACATAATTTTTCTCTCCAGTTCTGCTTTTATCTGACAGCAGGAAAGAGGCAAAAAAAAAAAAAAAAAAAAAAAAAAGACAGCCTTTCCTCAGGTAAATCATAAACATATAGTTTTAAGTGTTTCTCGTTTAGAAAAAGAAAGAAAGAAAAGACAAGGCTAAGTGATCTCAATATATTTTTCCACATGGAGCACCTGAGAGAGAACATAATTCTTGTTGATTCTCAAAAGAGTGAAAGGAAAAGGTGGGGAAAGGAATCAGAAAAAATACCTTCAGGAGGGTTCTGATTACTGGTCAAGCCCTGCCTCAAGCCTTTGAGACCCACTGGGCTAAATAAAAGTTTCTTATAAAGGATTTCAGGAATCAAGACGTTAAAGAGCTCCAAAGGGCCTTAAATGAAAGGGTTAAGCCTAAAAATGATTCACTGTGAGTTATTTTTATAATCACTATATTTTAGTTGGTATTTGCTGAGTACCTACTCTGTACAAAGGAGCTTGCTAGATCTCTTATAGACATTATCTAATTTAGAGTTAGAAATGTGTTATCTGCATGAGCTTGAAAGAAAACCAGAAATTGGCTGGGCGTGGTGGCTCATGCCTGTAATCCCTACACTTTGGGAGGACGAGGCAGGCTGATCACTTGAGGCCAGGAGTTTGAGACTATCCTGGCCAACATGATGAAACCCTGTCTCTACTAAAAATACAAAAATTAGCTGGGCGTGGTGGCACAATAGTCCCAGCTACTTGGGAGCCTGAGGCAAGAAAATTGCTGGAACCCAGGAGGTGGAGGTTGCAGTGAGCCGATTGCATTGCACCACTGCACCACTCCAGCCTGGGCAACAGAGCAATACTCTGAGAAAGGAAAGGAAAGGAAAGGGAAAAGGGAAGGGAAAAGGAAGAAAGAAAAGAGAGACAGAAAAAGAAGAAAGAAAGAAAGAAAAGAAAGAAAGAAAGAGAGAAAGAGAAAGAAAGAAAGGAAAGAAAGAAAGAAAGAAAGAAAGAAAGAAAGAAAGAAAGAAAGAAAGGAAGAAAGAAAGGAAGGAAGGAAGAAAGGAAGGAAGAAAGAAAGGAAGGAAGGAAGGAAGAAAGAAAGGAAGAAAAACGAAAGGAAGGAAGGAAGAAAAAAGGAAGGAAGGAAGGGGACAGAAAGAGAGAAGGGAAGGAAGGAAGGAAGGGAAGGAAACCAGAAATTGGTTTTTATTAATGGTGTTTATTAATGGTGAATAAAAAACAGAACAAATTCTACCTGTGTAATGATTTAAATCTTGTTCTAAATGGAATATCAATTTTACACAGTCATTGCTATGTCAAGTTAACATTTTTTAAATTAAAAAGGTGTGAATAGAAAAACTTAATTCTCCCATTTATGTCTATGACAAACCCCTCTGTATGGCTTATCATATTGTCCTCAGCAAAGTACATTAATTACCTGTTTAGTGTATGAGGGGATAACAGCTTGGTACTGGAGATACAAAAACTGTAAGAATATGCTAATATGATAAAGAGAGTCTAAAACTCACCTGTGAAAATAAACATGTACAAATGGAGAATCAAGAGGCCAGGGAATAAAAACTGCCCTAAGTGATACTAAAATATATTGAGAATCTCAAAAAAAATAAATGTAAGACATGGATTCTCTCCCTGGGGATCCTGTAGTGTGGTTTGGGAGATGGAACTTCTATGTAGGAATGTACAGGGCACGGCAGATAACCATGCTCAGAGTCAAATGAGCAATGTGGGTGAGAAGAGTGGAAGTTCAGAGAGCAGAGGGCTCTTTCGGAGCTAAGGATGCCAGGAAAAGCCTCAGAGTCACACACATTGATAATTTTTTTGTTAATTATCACTTCTGGATTTTAGAATCAACTCCTTGTTTTCTTTTCTCCCTTACCAAATCACCAGTATCTTCCTATCCAAAAGCCATGTTGGTCTTGAACCTAGTCTAATAATCTCCTATTTTCAGATAATGAATGTTTTAATCAGTCAGTCGACGCTATCTAGTGCGTCCTAGTGTGTACAGACAGTGGTAAACATTGCAGGACAAAATGATTGAAGGAAGCAGAGGAAATAACCTTCATTTCCCAAACTGAAGTGGATACTTGTTGGGGAAGCTGCCTGTCTCACAAGAACTGCCCCTTCTCTTGGTACAACCTGTGATACACAGGCTGCACAACTACCTCCATCCCCCAGCAGACCCTTTCTGTACTGCATAATCCTGCCCTGGCCGTAGTCAGATGCCAGTTCTAAACTGGGCCAACTTCAGATTCTATCCTCAGAAACACTAAACCTGACTTTCACTGAGGCTGATTCACATTACTAGCAGGGTTCCAGACAGAAGGGTCACAAATTCCCACTACTAAGGCCTTTAGCATGGCCCTGGTTTCTGTCCTTCCCACAGGTTAGTTGCTTATTCAATAATTTGCCCTCTATAGGTGCCCTAGTATTCCTTTTTTTAGAGATAGCATCTTGCTCTGTCACACAGGGTGGAGTGCAATGGTGTAATCACAGCTCACTATAACCTCAAACTCCTGGGCTCAAGTGATACTGCTGCCTCAGCCTCCCAAGTAGCACGTAGCTGAAACTACAGGTGCACACCGCCATACTTGGATAATTTTTTAATTTTTATTCTTGTAGAGACAGGGTCTTGCTATGTTACCCAGTCTGGTCTCAAACACCTGGCCTCAAGTGATCCTCCTGCCTTGGCATCTCAAAGTGCTGGGATTACAGGTGTAAGCCACTGTGCCTAGCCTATATTTTTTTCAATAAATGTCCTCGCCTCATTATTTTTTGCCAAAACCAACTAGAGTCAGTATCTAATGTTTTCAAATAAGAGGAAAAATAAATAATTTATGAATTGTTTCTAGAGAGTATGCTGTGAATTCTAGACCTTCAAGAAAAATGTAATGGGTCATTTTATTGAGGTGGAAGTGAAGGAAGGCAGTAATCTACTCTATATTTGGAGATATGAAATTAGGAATGCTTGCTAAAAAGTAGCAAAACAGCAATAAATGAATTTCTTGTGGTCAACTAGAAACTGGGAAAAAGGTATTGGGGGACCCAGTAGCTGGCACCATAAGCAATTTGAAAGAAAGGAGACAAGCTGAGACCACAGGTTAGATGGTTGTTTTGAGTGTATCAGGATAACCTAATGTAAAAGAACAGCAAACTTAGTCCTGTAAGTCTCTCCTATAGGCGTAAAATCAAAGTCAAAGTCTTAATATGATCCCACTAGCTACTAGCCTGAAATAACAAAAAACCAAATTTAGAAATTGATGTTTTAAGGTATTGAATTATACCTCCACTTGCATGTATAAACTAGGTTTCATATGTAGATACAGCATGATCAGGAAAGAGTAAAATCCTAGAGATGGAAACTGAGATACCATGGGAGGAGTCAGAGGAACTGGGGAAAGCCTTCTGGCCTCTCTGAAATGTTCCCACATTGCACCACCATTCCCACCAACCAGAAGAAACTAACAATCCAGCCCACTGGGCTCCCTCTGTTCAGCAATGCCCACTGTACGGCCAGCATTTGAACTCTTCCTGGACTAGATGGGGTTATGCAGAATCAATGCAGAGAAGAAAGAAGTTATACACAGAGACTAGCTAAGGAATATCATTAAGACTGGGGATATTCTGTTGGCATAGATTTTGAGGATAGGGTGTGTTATTAGCGGTTTCATTTACTAAGTAATCCATAGCCTGATGAATATCAGATGGGATCTCAATATAACTAAAAAAGGAATGAAGACTACCCAGCTATCTAGATTTAGAAAAAAATGGCTCTGTGGTGTAACCTTGGATTCAGTAGTTGGTGTGACTTTGCACTGTAGTTCATTGCATTTGTGGTTATCAGGTCATGTTGAATAGGAGCATCTTGGGACATATGGGATGAAGTGTATAGTGTGTGTGTGTGTGTGTGTGTGTGTGTGTGTGTGTGTATGTGTTTAATGCTAAGCAGCTAAAAAGGAAAATGTAATAGTCACCACATGGAGCTGGTACCTGATGCCCTCTTCTCTGAGTACAGTCTCTGAAACTCAGAATGAGCCCATGAAGCCTTTTTCTGTATTATGTGGCATCCTCTGCTCCCACCACAATAGCTGGATGCAGTGGTGTACCAAAGGCTGGGCAAGGAAAGCAGTCTGCCTGGGGGAAGGCAATAAAGAAATCTGTAGAGAATTTATAAACAATAATAAAGCCAACTAGAAGTCAGTCTGCTTTTTATTATCACCATGTGCCGGCAATTCCAAACAATGTCAGTGATAAAGCACTCCTTCCCAAATAAAAGCTTTTGTGGGTCTAAGTTCTAAACCATTGCTTTGTTACTACTGAGTTTTAATAATATGCATGTAAGCTTCAAATTAGCACTTTTTTATTACTTATCCTTTATAGCTTGCATTCTACTTAGAAGTTAATTCAAACTCCCAGTTATACAGTCACGCCCCAATACACACGAACTCAGCCACACACATTTGTTTTGAATAAGTTCCTGACAGTTTGAAAATCATTCAAGCTGACTTCACGTGCCCAACCCCATGGTGCCACATACCCCTGCATCTAGACAGTAGATTCAAAATAACAATAATATTAGTGATTAGAGAAGTTAAGGAACAGAATTTGAGTTACTTTGATTCCATCATTCTGTGAATGCCAGGAGAAATGACAAAAGATGCTGGTCTTATGCTGCCAGCAAAAATCAAAAGAGCAATGTATAAATGTCTTGATCATTATCACCAAGAACTGGACACCTGATATAAAGCAATGGGTAGAATAATGTTAGTATTTGCTAATATTCAGACATGAATGCTGATATTTTTATTGAAACATAACTGTACATATTTATTGGGTACATGTGATATTTTGATACATGCATACAATATGTAATGATCAAATTAGGGTATTTAAGATATTCATTACCTCAAAAATGTATCATTTCTTTATGTTGGGACTATTTCGCATCTTCTCTTCTAGCTATTTTAAAATATACAATAAATTAGTATTAACTATAGTCACCCTACAGAACTATTGAACACTAGAACTTATTCCTTCTATCTAACTACATGTTCACACTCATTAACCAACCTTTCTTCATTCCCCCTGAACATCCCTTCCCAACTTCTGGTAACCATCATTCTACTCTCTACCTCCGTAAGATCAACTTTTTTAGCTTCCACAGATGAGTGAGAACACGAAATATTTGTCTTTCTGTGCCTGGCTTATTTCACTTAATATGTTGACCTCCAGTTCCATCCATGTGGCTGCAAATGACAGGATTTCATTCCTTTTTATGGCTGAATAGCATTTCATTGTATATATATACCACATTTTCTTTTACCCCTTCATTCATCAATAAACACTTACATTGATTCCATATCTTGGCTTTTGTGAATAGTGCTAGAATACACATGGTGCGCTGGTATCCTTTTGATATACTTTCTTTTGGATTTGCTTTCTTTTGGCTAAATACCCAGTAGTAGGAATGCTGGATTGTATGGTAGTACTATTTTTAGTTTTTTGAGTAAACTCCATACCATTTTCCATAGTGGCTATACTAATTTACATTTCTACTCACAGTGTATAAGAGTTCCCTTTTCTCTGCATCCTCATCCATATTTGTTATTTTTTGTCTTTTTTTATAATAGCCATTCTAACTGAGGTGAGGTGGTGTCTCATTGTGGTTTTGATTTGGGTTTCCCTGATGATTAGTGATGTTGAACCTTTTTTCAAATACCTGTTGGCCATTTGTATGTCTTCTTTTGAGAAATGTCTATTTGGGTCTTTTGCCCATTTTTAATGGGATTATTTGGTGCGGGGAGAGGTTGCTGTTAAGTTGTTTGTAACTCTAATTTTTGTACAACAAAAATTTTGGAAGTTTTAACTAATAATAATAAAACATATGACTGCACTTGTGTTTTTGTTTAACTGTGAACAAAGACTTATAGAGAAGTGCAAAAAATAAATCCTCTTTTGCAACCCAGAACTCATTGTTTAGTAAGGGTTTTGATACATATAAAAGAGATATTACAATTTTTTAAACGATGAATTTTCTAATTTTTTTAGAAATTTTTCAACTGTGTCAGCATTTGAAAGCTACTAGACTCATTCCCTGAGACATGAAAACATGGATGGCATTGTAATTTCTAGAACTTCTTGTAAAATGAGATTTTTGTGAGTCTCTGCTAAACTTATCCTTCTGTTTAAAACTTTTTCTATTTACTTATATGTTACTTCAGATGAATTTTTTTAATTAAAATTAATAAGAAGTATGAGCAAAGATAGCGTGACATACCTTATTATATTGACTATTGAGGATAAATATGCAAAGATTAATTTTGATAAAATTATTTACAAGTTTGCAAAAGTTACAGCCTGAAAATGAAAATTGTGATATATTATCATTCATTACTGTGACAGACCAGTACACAAGTCTAAATTTATTTTTTCTCCAAAAAATTAATGTAATAAAAGTATTATTTCATTACTTTTCCCTTTATTATACTGTAATAATTATTTTGTATCATATTGTTTATTTATATTTTATTAGCATCACTGTATATACACAGTTTAATAAATTGTTTTTTCACTGTTTGCATTTCTTTCTTGGCATCATCATCAGCTATATTGATGCATACATTAACTGTATTTCATGATTATCAATGAAAATAACTTTGTTGGGGAGGTGTTACAAAATTATTCACTTCAGGTATCTAATATGCCAGACATCTCACTAGCTGGCTGATCCAGGGCACATAACTGACCAAACTGGGGCCCCTCGACTCCCTCCCCAGGAAGGTGAAGCATGGCTCTGAGCAGCAAGGGGCTGGACTCAGTGGAAGCTGAGTCGTGTGATCAGCAGCACCATAGAGTCCGTGAACTCCCACCATAGAGGCCCTACAGCGGCCCTGCTCTGACCTTCCCACAGCCCCCTTGGGTTGTGAGATACTCCAGAATCATTCCAATAAACCTCCCTTCTGCCCCTTTTGCCCTTAGACCCAGGATCAGTTTCTACTACTAGAAGAGCTATTTTTCCACAAGGAAGGACATACTGGTAGAGGAGGAAGGGTGGCATGGGAATGGAATAGCAGGGAAAGAACTCTGCCAGCCAAAGCGTCTGAAATGCGAGCACACACCAATGCTCTGCTGCTCACTCTGCAAGGACGACCCACAGGAACACCTGGCACAACAGAGTGGGGTGTGTGAGTGGGACACTGGGAGGGACAGGAGTAAAAAGACACCTGAAGGGGAGGCTCCCTGTGCACCTGGAGCCCCACACCTCCCTTCTCCCCCAGGAAGCCTCCTAGCCCAGGATCTTTTTCCAGCCATCTAAAGATGTGGGTTGTGCCCTGCTGAAGAAGTGACAGTGACATCAGCCCTTAGGTGGCTACTAACACTTGTAAAACATCTGATGTCCAGGTTAGATATAAGCTGTGGACATCCATAGAACTGTCTACCCCGCCTGCTCTCAGCCCCATAGCAAGGCAAGAGTGTCCTGATTCTTGCATGTCCCCACCCCCCCAGCTAACTGACCCAGGGATGGTCTCTGACTCATGCTGAACCAATGAACTTCCCCAGGAATTTTTAACCGGACCTTGAGGAAATCAAGGTCAGACTCCCTCTCATAGTGGAAGCTATGGCCAGTCATGTTTCCAGAAAGCTGGATTGCAGTGATGAAGGGACAGGCAGAGATAAACAGAACAAAATAATAGGTGGCATCTGAGTCTCTTGTTCTAGCCACATCCTTGAGGCTTGGTTGTTCTACATGTCAGGATTCTTAGACGAATAAATTCCTTGTTTTGCTTATTGAGGTGAGGTCTTGGTATTTGCAATCAAAGTTACACAGGTTGTGTGAACCTTAAACCTGCTGGGTTACTTTTTGAAAACAAGAACAAAATTGAGAGATCAGAAAACATGAGCAGCCATCACACCAATCCACCTGCCAGCTGTGACTTGTGATTGTCATACCTGGCAGTTGCATACTTGAGACTGTGCTGTGTCTGGTTTCACTGTGCTGCCTGCACTTGGTGGGGCCAACCAGCAGTGGGCAGAGAGCACCCCTAGGAGGGCTGGGGCGGCTGTACCCACCTGCAGCTCCCATGACAGTTTCATTCTCAGGATGGGGTCCAGCTGCCTGCCTTAGACAGTGGCCTATCTAAGGACTCCACATACCCCACTGTTGCCTCCTGCTGGATTTCTTCTCTCCATACTTTACCCCCCAGGGCTTACATCTCACAGGGAGGAAACCCTCTTCTCTATCCTGATTTAGTGGAAGGGAGAAAATCGTCTCCAGGGAGCTGTCTTGTGGGGTCCAGAGGAGACAAAGAAAGGAACTGATATTTCCCTACACCTGTGATGTGCCTGGCACTTTTATGTAGGCCATCCCATGTAATCCTGACCATAACCACGTGAGGCAGGTGTTGTTATCCTCATTTTACTTGACAGCTCAACCAGAGTGTTATTCTTCCTCGTGTCTGTAAATAGCACATGTCCTTGGCAGCCACCGTTCTCTCCCCACCCATTTTTCAGCCTTGTTTTCCACACAAGAAGCAACACGGTTAGAAAGCCAGCTACTGCTGACTCCTGAATGTTAGATGCCAGGGGAAGTCTCTATTTTCATACCAAACCTGGTTTCCTGGTGGGCACACAAATTGTTGCCTGCTAAAATAGCAACTCTGGCAAAAATGTCTCCAATCTGCTTAGATGTGCATCAAATTAGGAGCTGGCCTTGCAGTTAAACCAATTGACTGCTTCTAATGACCTGGAAACAAAACTCCCTTTAAAGCTACCAACTGTTGGCCTAGAATCATCAGCACCACTAGAAACATGGGGCCCTAAAACAAAGCCTCCTGATGTCTTTGATTTATTTCAACCCCATCCCTCTCCATCACTATTCTTTACTCTCTTCCAGCCCCTGCAGGCCAGGACAAGATTGCCTTCAAGCATACACACACACATACGCACTAACAGTTATAGATGGTATCAGCCGAGCACAGGCTGGGGGCCATGGTCTCTGCCTTCAAGAAGAGGAGATGCTCGACTCTCGACTGTCTCTCTTGCACTGCTCATGCTCTCTCTGTGTGCCCTCAGCCTTTAGCCAATCAAGACCAGAGTCACAAGATCAGTTTCCACAGCCACTTTCAACAAAAGTTGATAGCACTGTCATAAACTCAAATGCCTTTGGGGACCTCGCAGGTCACAACAAAATAGTTGACATTTTCTCCAACATGATGGGCTGTCTCGAAACTTTTGTGGCTGCTGTTCCATCTGGCTCAACACACTTCCTCCCTGGTTTCTCCAGGTGGCTCACTCTTCACCTCCCTCCAGTCTTTCCTGGAGGGTCATCTCCTCAGTGAGGCCCCCCGACCACCCTATTTTAACTGCACCCAAGCACTGTCCCCTTACTTTCCTGCTTCGTCTTTTTCCGTAGCGTTTATCACGATGCTTACTAAATAATCTGTCTCTCCCATGCCTCCACCAGGCTATAGGTGCCATAAGGGCAGAGATTTGTCTGTTTTGTTCCCTCATGTATCCCCTGTCCCTAATATGGCCTGGCTTACAGCAAGCATCCAAATAAATATTCATTGTATACCCTAAACACTTGGATGTATTAATCCTCCCAACGAACCTGTGAGACAGGTACCATGATGATGATAATGATAATGACAATGATGATGCCCATTTTATAGATGAAGCTGGAGTACAGAGAGGTCAAGGTGCACAGCTAGTAAGAGGGAGCTTCCTGAACTCAGACCCATGAGGTCTGGCCTCACACCACACCAGCAATCACTGCAGTGCTTCTCACACTCTCTGTACAATGTGGCAGAGGCTGGTAGCAACTGTGACAATTGGAAAATGCATACCCTGCCTTAAAACATTGTTTTTCTAAAAATCCTGTTCTAAACTAAAAAAAAAAAAAAAAAAAAAAAAAATCTGTTTGCCTTATTTGGCCCTCAGGCCACAAGTTAAATGGGGATTAACCTAAAGTAGGCACTGTAGATAAAAAGTAGGATTTTATTGGGTTGGGAAGGAATAGCGATTTAAAGAAAGATTACCCAACCAAAGTCAGGTGTTGAGGAATCCATAGGTATTTTTTGCTCGGTTATTTTCCCTTTGTGGCAAGAAGTTCCATGCTAAGGGAGGGTCCCTGGAGAGCCATTTGAACAGTAATCTTGTGGGACCCTGTAGATCTTTTAACAACAGAAGCAGTCAGAAAAACATAGAAAAACCTTCCTGGAGAGCTGATTGCAGGGGCCATCCAAATGACAGGCAGGCTGTGGATTGTCACAGGTTGATCTTCTGGGACAGCAGCAGCTTCAGAGAAGAAGGACCCAGCCACAGAACCATGGACATGTGCATTGTCCTGGCATCTTCCATGGCATTAAGGGATCTCATTGTATGTCCTTCTAGACCTCCCAGAAATGATCCATTTCTTTGGTGGTCGGGCAGTTTATGATTAAGACACCACAACATCCCAGCTTCCTTCAGCCTCCAGCCATCTCACACCAATTGTCAGTTCAGGAATTATAGTGCCAGCCAAAGCCTCCAGAAATGCCTTCAAACAAGGAGACTCTGAAGCCACAAATATTTGTTGAAAGCCACAGGCCACATTAATATCATGACCCAGACTGTAGGAAAGAGGAAAGAGGACCATTTCTCTTTTTGAGGCAGCTGCAGCCAAAGAATAACTGGCCCAGTCTCTCCATGCAACTGAAAATGGCTAGATATTATCCATTCCTTCATCAGCCACTCAGTAACCATGGGCTGAGCACCTCGCATGTGCCAGCACTGTGCTGTGGAGTGGCACAGGCAGGCATGAGGCAGGGATGTTCCCACACAGGGAGATAAGCACTGTGTCAAATGTGCGGCTGGAAGCTGTGAGAATGCAGAGGAGGCAGCTGCGCCCTCTCTGAGGTATGCTGTTTACTGGGGTGACAAAGAAGCAAATCAGAGCCAAGTTGCGTAGGGTTGTTTGAAGGAAGGGAGTCCCCGAGGGGCCTGCCAGGTGGACAGGTTGGAGCAGAGAGTTCCTCCTAAAACAGGAAGGACCATCAAGTCATCACAGTGTTCAGCCCTGGTATTGGCTGCCCCACATGCAGGAAGTGCCCTAGAGCCCAAAAGTGCCTCAGCAGTGTCCAGTTCTTCATCCACCCAGGCTGAGGTAGAAGGAGTCCTGTTTTTGGCAACCTCCAAGTTAACTTTCTTCTACCTGTGAAGTTTCATCATTCCTTGGAACAACAGACGAACTTGCCTTCTCCAAACTCTGCATCTCACTGAGCCTCTATATTTGCAAGTGGGTGCCACCAGCTTCTCTGTGCACAGTGGTTAAGATCTTGCTTGGGCCCTCAAGTCAGACATATTTGGGTTAAGATTCACTTCCTGGCTGTGTGGACCTCACAGAATTTACTGTCTCTTCTGGAGTCTTTGTTCCCTTGTCAGTAAAATGGAGTGCTGTCTAACTCAGGGGATTGCTGGAAGGATGAACTGAGGACAACCAAGCGGAGAACCACACACATTGTGTTAGCACGGAGTATTCAATTGGATGTTCTACCAAGAAATGGCATGGAGAAGTGCTTTGCAAGCTAGACTGACCAATTCAATTTATTTATTATGATTTTTGTTACTTGTAAGCTCCACAAGAGCAAGGATTTTTGTCTGTTTTGACCACAGTTATACCGCAGAGCCTAAACAGTGACTGGCATATAGCAGGCACTCAGTAATATGTGGAATAGATGAATGAATGCTAGCTAGCCCAAGAAGAGGTATACAACCTGAGAAGTCAGCAGGCAGAAAATGCACTCCCCCTTTATCTGGCCAGGACTGGAAGCAGCTGCTGCTCCACATGGAGCGGCCCCCAGCCCCCAAAAGCCTGCCAGCTTGTGGAGTGAGGGTGTAACCCTGGCAGCTTCTCTGGAGCTCAGTTCTCCCCACCCCCCCAAGACCTGACTCTTCCAGAACTCTCTGTAGCCTAGCTGCAGGCTGGATGGCACGTGCATGTCGCTGCTACATCTGAGCTGGTCCCAGGCACCACCTCCAGGTCAGGGCTATTTTAGATCTCAGGGTGTCAGAAACATAAAAGGACCAGTCTTGGAAGCTGTGGCTGAGACATGGGCAGAGAGTGCTGGATTCTCTCCCCACATCTAAGCTAGAGCCTGAAATAGTGGAAAGATCTCAGAATAGCTCCTGGCTTCACCACAACTCCAGGCTGGAGCATAACACACACCAGAGAGAGGCCAAATACGCAGCTTACACAGGCAGCTCGGGGCATGGGAAAGTCCTCTGGATGAAAAAAATGAAAGTCACGGTATAAAACCCAGGACTGTCCTTGTTCAGGGAAGAGTGGCAGCATCTTCCGAGGATCCAGTGATAGGGCCAATGAATGGTGACTGGTGTAGGCAAGGTCATGGAGCCAGCAGTGTGGCCATAGCTAGTTGCGGTTAGCCCTGGAGAGCCCTAGAATGGAAGCTTGTAAACATCCAGGGGGTTTCAAAAGCATTTGACTCAACAAGGACGTGACCTGCCATGGCCCTGAGGAGGGCACCAGGGCCTTATAATCATCAAAAGCCTCATGTGCCAGGCATTGGGTTGTGCATCTTAAAAACCTTATCTTATTTTGTTCTCACCGTAAGTCTGAGCAAAAGGCACTATTACTTTCACTTTAGTGGTAAGAGAGACCCAGAAGCATTAAGAAACATGGCTCAATGAGTAAGTGGTAGAACTTGGATTTGAATGCTGGTCTGTGTGATTCCAAACAGCATTTTAGCAGGGTCTTTATGAAAGGGTAGGATTTTGCTATCTTGAGAGGGGACATGTAGTGAAGAGCCTATGATTCCAGCCCTTAGGTATTTGAAAAGAGCCTCCTGAAGCTACTGTGAATGCTGGTGACGTTACCAGGGCCGAGGCCAACAGTTTAACATGGGCAGAGATGGGGGCTGGAGAATCCTGAGCTCTCCAGATGGCCTTGCAGTCCAAAGCCTGCTCCTGGGGCAGGCATCCCGTCTCCAGCTTCGGAGGGAGCCCAGGGGCAGCCCACCTCCTGTGGGCCCACTCCATTTGCTGCTCCTGCCTTGGGAGTCCCAATCACTGACTCTGAGAGGGGCTACATCCCCCCTCCCAGGGTCTGAGACTCCTCCTCAAGGACTGACACTGTGCCACTTTTCAACAATAGCCATGGTACCTGTAGAAGTGGCTGTGGGAGGCAAAGAAGGAGGAGCATGTGAGATAAAGAACTCAGACTTAACCAAGACCTAAGTTACCTCACCCACATTCTCATCCTGTTGCCCAAGACGCTCAGCCCAGCCATGTCAAGATTCCCTGTTGCTATCCTCTCTCCCCTTCCCGTCTTAGGCACTGACTGACACGCCTCTAGAACTATGCTGGGTAGGTAGATACTAGCAACTGTGTGGTTGAGGAGGAGGCCACCATGAGGGAGCAGTGTGGAGCAAAATCCCCACCTGCCATCTCACAAAGAGCTTTTCTTTTTCTCCTCCAAAGTCCCGGGACAAAACAGCCACCCGTAAACATATTCTAAGGGATCCATGAGCTTTTCATGGAGAATCTTTATATTCATTGTTCTCATTACTATGCTAAGTTAAAGTATAAACATTATCTGAATTCCAGATGACATCTTACAATTCAGGACTGCACTTCAAACCTGTCCTTGGCATTTGGCAATAAGTAGCAGCACTTTCATTGGCATGAACAACTGAGTAAAGCACAGGGGCAGATGCAATACAGAAATAATGAGTTTGTTCCATGTGAAGGCCACGTGATATTACTGTACCGCACTTTTGCAGTTACTAAAATGGAGCTGACTAGTACATAGTATGTGGCGAGCTGGATGCTGAAGAACTTGAACTATGGCCGTCATTTTATGAGAGGCAATCATCTTTCAGCGAAACCACCTCCTTCATTAAGTTAGATTAGAGACTCTTAACTTTATTGTTGTGATCGTTGGATGATATTTAATCTGTATATTTATTTTAGTCTTAGAGTTATATGGTTTAGGAATTTACACCTAGTTTTATATATGTACATATTTAATTATAAAAATAACGTAAGTCAACACTGATGGCTTGTGAGCACTTTTTTCTAGTAACTTACGTTACAGATGTGATCACCCTGAAGCCTGGGTAAGGCATCCTCAGCATTTAGAGAAGGGAATGAATGAGCAGGAAGGGCAGGGTGTGAAGAGCAAATATACATGTCCCCTTTGGAGAGGTGAAAGCAGAGGATGCCATGGGAAGGATTCTGGACTTAGAACCGAAGGAATGGGTCTAGTTTGGGTTTGGCCATTTTGTAGCTGCCATGTCACTTCTCTGGGCCATGGTTGCCTTTGCATGTCTGCTTCTGCTTCCACAGTTCAGCTGCAAACTGCTTAGCAATCTTCCTGTCACCCTTGCACCTCAGTTTATCTGCTTCCCTGAGATGGAGGGGTCAGGGGCCGGTGGGGGACAAGAGGGTGTTCTAATCAGGAAATAGCCTTGGCCCTCACAGTCCCACCCAAGGTGTCTGGCTGGTGCCAGCCCCCAGCACACTCCTCCATTTAAGCTATTGGTCACTCTCCAACCAGTCCATAATAGACACCAGGGGCAATTAAGCACCAACCCACGGCAGGCCCTTACTGGAAAGAGGCCAAGCTGGTCTATGCTTGCTTGGATTTTCATTCCTTATCAGCACGTGCAATCTACGTAGGTCAATCAGACCAGAGATTCCACAGTTCTGGAGTTATAAATAAGAGAACCTACTTCTTTTCAGTGGGGAGAATAAGACCAAAGCTACCGGACAGAGGAAATTTCTGAAATCCCTGAGGCTTCCTTTCTCCTGGACAAGGGGCCCTCTGCTGCTGGTAAGATAAGATGATCCCACCCCCACCTTCAGGTTCAGGTTCATTATCACCAATAATAATCATTTCTAACCAGTCTTTATAGTTTATAAAAGATGTTCAGTTCACATATACTATCTTATTTGATAATCAGAATAAATAACTGTTTGGGAATGAATCTGAGACTCAGGGGTTAATAACGTATTTGAGAACACACAGTTGTAAATTGGACCCAGAGACCAGAATCCAGGCATTGGGACTCAGAGTTATTCTTTCCACCACGCAGTTCTGTTTTTACTTGCACAGTGTACAGGGAAATTTTGCAGCTGTAGCCTGCCTCACAAACATTTACAATCCTGGTTGTTCAAGTAGTAAGTCTTACCTTCCCAAGTTAACTGAAAGGTACCAGGACAGGCGATATAGTGTGCACCCTGGTGTCACCTATAGCACTTACACATACTCATCAGTTTGGTTTTGACTTGAGAGAATAAAGGTAAAGTAATTTGGCCATAAGGATTCCCTGTTCCTTAGAAACATCCCCCTCTTGTCACTGATGTAATTCTTCAGAGGACCAGCATTTTCATTCTACAACCGGTATTCAATCCTCTTCTAATACTTTTCCCCATGAGAGGGGAGGGTTGGAGGTGGGAATGTTAACCCTAAAATGGGACTAGAGAAGGAAGAAGAAAGCAGGTTAGTGCTCAGATATTAAACTTTCCTCTGCACTTCCCATGAATGTATACAATACATATGACCCAAGGAAACAGACTAGATTAGTGATTCTTGAAACTTTTGTTTTAAAGAAAAGAAAACTCTTTTTAAAGTGAAAACTCACTTGGAAATTCAATACATAACCAGAAAAAGCACAGGTGCTCTGGTTAGGGACGTGGGGTCCCCCCAACAGTGCCCCAAACCACCTCCCCTTGCCGGGGCGCCTTACATACCACCTCCTTGGAAGTGCAGGGACTCTGCTAGGCCCAGTTTGAGAATCACCTGATCAGATCATTTGCCAGCTGGGCTCCAGGGCAACAGAGATGAATAATGCCAGCTCCCTGCCAGCAATGAGCTTTCAGATCATTTCAATGCAGTGTGATAAGAACTGTGACAGAGGAGGGGCTGGGTGCTACAGAGCAAAGAAGAGAGTCACCCCAGGCTGGGGTTACAAGGCCTGGGATAGGGGAGCCGTCTCAAGAAGAAGTGGTGCCAGGGTAACTTGCAGAATACTTTTGTAAAACAAAAATGACAAAGATTAAGTTGAGAAATCTATGGACGCTTAAAGATAAAAATCACACTCTATGAGGTCACTGCCAAAATAGTTGTCATCCCTGGAGGATAACCAGGACACTAGAGGGTCAAGAAGCTGTGTCACATGAGAGACACTGGAGTGCTGGCCTGCATCTGACTTCCCTGCCAACTTGCCATCCATGCATGCTGCTCCCCAGGGAGTCACATCACCTCTGGGCTTATCAGAGACTGAGCAACCCCTCAAGATGGCCCTTGGGGAATGCAGCAAGTGTGGTAATTGTCAGTGTGTGGAAGGGGCAGCAAAAGATCCCTGAGCTACCCAGTGGCCAAAGCCCATCTCCTGTTCTGATCCTTGCCTCCCCACCCCTCCTATTTATGATTCAGCTTCCCCTCAGACTGCAGATTCTTCCCTCTCTCTCACCCTCACTTCTGTCTGTCTCTCTATCTTTCTTCTTTTGCGGTCCTTCCTCCTCCTCTTTCTTCCTTCACATCCTTCCTTTTTCTCTCTGTCTCCTGTGTCTCTGTGTCTCTCTATCTCTTTCTCTCCCTCTCTGCCTCTAGAATCTCCTCCAAAATCCAGAATATTTAATGACATGGAGAAGATTCACAGTATATTGTTAAGCAAAAAATATTTCTGTCTTTTTTTTTTTTTTTTTTTTTTGAGGCAGAGTCTCGCTCTGTCGCCCAGGATGGAGTGCAGTGGCGCAATCTCGGCTCACTGGAAGCTCCGCCTCCCAGGTTCATGTCATTCTCCTGCCTCAGCCTCCTGAGTAGCTGGGACTATGGGCGCCAGCCACCATGCCTGGCTAATTTTTTGTATTTTTAGTAGAGACGGGGTTTCACCGCATTAGCCAGGATGGTCTCGATCTCCTGACCTCGTGATCTGCCTGCCTCAGCTTCCCAAAGTGCTGGGATTACAGGCGTGAGCCACGGCGCCCGGCCAGCGAAAAATATTTCTAAGGCAGCTTACAAAACAGTATGTCCTGTACAATTCCATCTTTCTTTTTTTTTTTTCTTTTTTCTTTTTTGAGACAGAGTCCCACTCTGTTGCTCAGGCTGAAGTGCAATGGCATGATCTCGGCTCACGGCAACCTCCACCTCCTGGGTTCAAGCGATTCTCCTGCCTCAGCCTCCTGAGTAGCTGGGACTACAGGTGCCCGGGACCACGCCCGGCTAATTTTTGTATTTTTAGTAGAGATGTGGTTTCACCATGTTAGCCAGGCTGGTCTCGAACTCCTGACCTCAGGTGATCCACCCACCTTGGCCTCCCCAAGTGCTGGGATTACAGGCGTGAGCCACCGCTCCTGGCCACAATTCCACATTTCTAAGAGGAGACTGATGGGGAGAGCACCTCTCTTCTGATTGAGTTCAGGAAACACTGAGAAGGAAAGCCAAGGAGCAGCTGATGGGAGCTAGAGGATCAGCATTTTTATGGACAAATCTCAGTCAGAGGGTCCCGCCTAGGTAAGACTTAGGAATGAAGAGAAAGAGGGGAGTCGCATGGCCTGTAGGGGTTAGGGGGAAACTCACTCCCAAGGAGACAGGTAGAAAGCAGCTAAGCAAACCAGATTTGTTCTGCCCAGATTCAGCAAGCAAGTTCAGTCACTCCCTTCCCTGGGGAAGCCCCAAGTAATGAGATGGAGACAGGCCAGAGTTGTTGCACTAATTGATCTCCCCACTTGGGGAGGAAACACCAAAACAGCTCTCATACTTCTTTTGTTACCCTGCACTACTGAAGGCTCTACTACCATTCGATTGCAGCCAAGGCCTGATGCTGGGGCCAGCAAGCCAGGAGCAAAGTGCCTACAGACGGAGTCCTTATCTCTGAAGTGAGGAGATTGGGCCGTTAAGTTCCCTTCCACCTCCGGCATCTGGTTTTAGAGTTCCAATGCAAAGTGCCTACCGAGGGTCCACTGGCATTTAAAGAGATCCATGGGTGGGCTCAGAAGGGGAAGGATGTTTGCAAATGGGGGTGTATGCAGATGTGTGTGCATCTTTCTGGGGAGATGATCCACAGTTTTAATAGGATTCTGGAGTGGGGCCCAAATCCCCCAGATCACTAATAAACACTCTTCCCTAAGTTGAAGGAACTGGATGCTTTGGCCTGAGACCTATCCTCATCCATTTGTAAGGGCAGTCATGTGAAAGAAGGCATACACTGTATTCTGCATAGCTTCCCAGCAAGAAATTGGAACCAACGGCTAAAATTTCAGGGAGGCCAATTTTAGCTCAATATAAGGACCAACTATTTTGAGTGATGTGAAAATAAAATAGATGGTTGCCCAGAACACTGAGTTCTTTGTCACTGAAGTATTCAATCAGTGGCTATCCTTGGTGTTGGAGTGTGAGACAGACTGATAGCCTTTTGAGTCAGGTCCAGCTGTGTACCGGACTGACTGAAGGAAGGCTGAGGGTTTCAGTGCCCTCTCAGATGAGAACAAAAGTGAGGAAAGAGAACAAGTGAAGCTGTGTCTCTCCTGTGGTTTGAATTATAGGCAGAAACCCGAGGTGTGGGGAGCTGCTTGAACTGATTGCTCTGGCCTTGTCATTCCCTCCAGTGGAAGGGGACATCTTCCACAGGTTTGCAGACCCTCAGAGCTCAAGTCTTCAATAATTTGGCAGGGGTCTGGACATTTCTGACTGTCTTCCACTGTCCTAAGCTGGGCTAGATGTGTACCCTGGTACCTGGAACCCACAAAATCTGCCTTTGCTTTTGCTCTTGTAGGCAACTTTTCTCAACTGTATTCTGTATAATATTATGTGACATGCTTATGGATTTTCTCCCAAAATTATTTTTGCAATATATGTCAGAAAAACATTATGTGGGTACTTATGTTAAATATTTTTAAGAATGGTTATACCACACAGAAAATGCCATCCTCCTAGAAGACCTGATGGAATTTCTAGAGACAACCTGAGCACTGGTGGAGCATTTACCACCTCAGGTTATGTTGACAGTCAGCTTATGGTCAATGATTACTGATATAACTTATGTATCTTGCCTTCAAATATGAATGCCTATTTTCTATTTAGTCAATATTCATTGTATGGTGTACTTTGTTTTATTCCACAGATGTTTGTTTCCTATGGATCGGTGGCTTAAAGAAGGAAAATTTTACTTAAAAAGGAGAGCCATATGGTTCTCAACCTATCTGAATCAAATAAGCAAATAGACATAATACTTCAAAGGAAAGGTGAACAGTCATGGCCTTTGATTTCTAAAAAGAAAAAAAGAAAGAAAGAAAAAAATGGAGGAGAGCTGCTGTTGGCAAAACAATGGTTTTGGAACAGCCTAATCAGAATTATCACAAAACTATCGCAAACTTGTTTCACAGAGGCAAACATTGCCTCTTATCCTGGTTTTCCTTATTTGTGAAGTTGCCACACCCTCGTTGGCCACCTGGAGGTAGCCAGCAAATCTCCAACAGGTGGAATGGGTCCTCCTGGGCTGGGGAGGCCTGCAGGCAGAGCAGAGTACACCCCGGCAACACTCGAGGAGCAGCCAGAGTGGTCTTTCCACCAGCAAACCTTCCCAGAGGGTCTCCTATGCAAGTCGGTAGCTGGGCTGTTTCCTTTTGACTCCAAGTGGGCTGAGCCCCTCATAGTGGAGGGAACCCAAACCTAGGAACCTGGCATCCGCCCAGATAAGCTTTGTAGGGTAAAAAAGTGGGACTCCCGTGGTGGGTGCCACTGTCACTCAACAGCCCCGCATTTTCTAGAGTGTGAAGCAGCAAGTCCACCTCCAGACTAGACAGAGCATTGGTGCTGTGCCAGAAGGAAGGGAGACAAGCCCTTCTGAAAAGTGTTTTGGGAGTGTAGAAGGCTAGTGGGGTGATGTGGGCCTGTGGAGGGAGCTCGAGAGACAGCTGAAAGAAGTGAGAAATTGTCAGCTTCCTTTTCTTGTCTTGGCAGGATCTTATTGTCTGAAGCACACAAGACTCCCATCCTCTGGGAGGACTGCGGTTGCTGAAGGAGAAACTCAACCCTGGTCCTGGCACTGACCAGCATGCAGCCCAGATTGCCTGGTTAGCAGGGCTTCAGCTGCTTTCATTCTCTTAACAACTTGGGGGTAAGGTGGATGGGGAAGGTGCCATCATCATCCTAGTTATGCTGCTGAGTCTTAGGGCTGTTGGAAACTTGCTCAAAGTCACATAGCTCGTAAAAGGCAGCGTCAGAGTCTGAAGTTGGATCTTCTCACTTCAAAGTCCAGACTCTTTCCAATATTCATGCTGCCTTGCTCACACACCCTAAAGAAGCCTGCTGGGCACCCTCCATTCATCAAGGAGGTCACTTTTTACGAATTGCTTTGTAAACCCTGGCATCTTTTTGTGATCTGTGTGACTGTTGATATATCTGTATGCCAGATGAGCTCATGGAAGCTCAGAGAGGTTCAAGGACAGGGACAGAGTCACAGAGCAAAGTCAGGGCTCAATTCAAATGTGTTCACCTGTTCTCAAGAATCCTGAAGAACACTGTTGTCAGAGGGTAAAGGGTTTCACCAGCCTCTGCCTCCGTTTTGACTTATGTGACCCATCTCTATGTTTTGTGGGTCTAATTTCTGGAAGGTTGAAAGGAAAGCAAAGTCAGTTTGATACATAGGAGGCTGAAAAGGGACCCACAGTGGTAACAATGATCCCAACAGCTCACAAACCTAGGGAGGTTTCTCCTGGATGGTCTAAAGACCATGGCTGTCTGTGGAGGGAAGAGATGGGAATGACTGTCCAGCCCAAGATAGGGCCAAAAAAGAAAATCTTAAAATATTTTCATTTTCTTAAAGGTTAACACAAGCCCATCAGACCGACCAGTTTTATAAAGAAAGTGGTCAAGCAGATAGTTTCACAATTTTTTTTTTTTAGCAGGACAAAAGAGACTTAATAAAGCAACAGTGATTCACTAAAAGAACCCCAAAAGGAGGTGAGTCATAACATTATATCCATAGCTGTGGGGTAACATACAAAGTAATCCCTTGAGCACTGGGTTTAGCATCGGAAGATAAGGACTGTGTGATCTTGTGTGAGTCACTTAACCTCTCTGAGCCTCAGGGTCCTCCTCCATAGACACTGTCCCCTCTTCAGAGAGTGATGGTGATGAGCACATGGACACACTCTGTGCTCCAGAGGAAAAGGTGAGTGCCATTGCAAACCATCCTAAACACTTTGTTCATGCCATCATTATAGCACTTCGTGCATTGCAGTGTAATTGTCTGTTTATTTCACTGAGTGTCTCCTCCCAATGAGGGACCCTACCATCTGCCACATTGTGGTGTTCAATGAATGTTTTTGGAATGAATGAATAAACGAATGAATAATCAAATGAATTAACAAATCTGAAAAGCATGATGCAGACTTCAGCATTTTTTTTTAACACAGATATACATGTGGGTCACAATGCAAGGAACTTTTTCCAAGCTTCTGGTCATACCCAGAAACATAAAAGCATGGAATATTCAAGACGCAATCAGAGGTGGCACAGAGTATGGAACACGCTTTCCTGCTGCTTTGGCACAAGCTTCACCCTAGTGAGGCTCAGTTGCCCTTCAAACATTGCCCCAGTGCTCCGTTCGCCGGCTATCTCAGACATACTGATGCACACTGGAGTGCCAGCAGTTGCCATTCCCGAGCTGGCTGAGGCCTGCGGTCCTGCCTCTCTATCCTGTCTCACAGATGGGAAAACCAGGGCCCTGGCAGGTGCAATGGCTTGGCCCAGCGATGGCTCAGGGTGCCCGACAACACACGCAGAACTCTCTCCATCCCAGCCCTGCTTCTCAGAGGGTACAAGGCAGTGAGCTAGGGGTACGAGAAGCCCTCAAGAGCCCGAAAATCAGGAATTATACAGATGATGCAGTAGAATGCAGGATTCACATTAATTCAGTAAACATTTACTGAGCGTCCATCATGTGACAGGCACTGGATTTTTAAGTTAAAATATGGGGGTTCACAACAATTTGCTGTTTGGGCCAGGCCACTCCAGAATAGGCCCCCATACCCAGGTTTTGTAACCATTCTGCTCTAGGGGAGGGATCTGAGCGGGGCTGCCCACCAGCCTGCTGACCACCTTGCCCATGTTCTCTCTATTCTGAGGGCTTCCTGCTCTGGTCTCCAGACCTCATTCTTGAAGAGTCACTCCTATCCTTCTCAGGTCTCTGCTGTTCTGCCTCCCGCCTCTGTGGCTGCAGCATCCAGGACCTTCTGCTTACTCAGGCCAAGGAGACAGTGCAGAGAGAGAAGGGAGATCTCTGTGACCCTGCACCAGGGCCAGCCTCTGCACTTCCCTTCTGCCTGGCAGCTGCCCAAGACTTTGACCCAAAGGCTCCCCCTCCACCCCATTGTTCTGTAGCCCTTGGAAGCCCATGGCACAGAGCTGAGCGGCAGGGGGCACCCCTGTGCGTCATTGTGCTCCAAGCAAAGACAATTTCCTAGGGAAGGCTGGAAGACAGACAGAGCCAAGCAAGCCCTTCTGTCCAGACAGAGCAGAAAATAGAAACTGCCAGGAGAGGAACCAGACACAGAGGCAGGGTGGAGCAAGAGGAATTGTCTGGAGACTCCTCTTCTTGGCTAATTGCTTTGAGTCTACACGTGGTTCAAGGCTGGACATATGGCCAAGCTGGGAGGGGCCTCAGTGACCATCCGGTCCACGCCTTCATGTCACAGATTGGGAGGCCATGGACCAGATAGGGGAGGGGATCTGCCCAAAGCTGCACAGCAAGTTACACAGGGCAGGACTAGAACCCACTGGGCCCAGGCTCTGGTGTGTATTTGGGCTGGCTGTCCTGGTGTCTGAGAGCACAGTCTTCCCCTCCCTATATTCTCCTCACTGCTCACCCTGCTCTCTGCCACTGCTGGAAAAGCAGCATTTCAGAAGGCATTTTAGAAATCTAGACCCAGTTGGTCCTGATCCACTCATGTGTCAGAACCCAGAGTTCAACCACTGTTGGGAGGTTTCAGCACGCAATTCTGTGAATCCTAACCCTGGGCCCAGGGCGTTCGGCCTGAGGTGTGACCTGTCTCTGACTGTTCCAGGAGATTTCTCCTGGTCAGGGGGACCTGAGATATAACCAGAGCACACTGAGGCATGAGGTGCCGTGGCAGCATCGTGCAGCGCCGTGTGGGCAAAGCATTGAGGAAGGCTCTCAGGCCAGCAGAGCTTTCTGAAAGGGACTTTGCCTTGGACTCTGATTTAAAGCCTCTCCTCCTGGACCAGTATTATAACAACCATCCATTCCTGTTCTTCGGGTTTGATGAGAATGGAAGAAAAAGAATGAAGGGAGAGAAGTGAAAGTCTCTGGGTTTTCATTGCCGCTGTGTCGTTTATGAGCTACGTGACCCTGGGCCAGTCCCTTCCCCCTCTGGCTTCTTTTTCCTCATTTGTTAAATGAAAGGGTGGTCCGAATGACTCTGCTGATCCTTCCCTTCCTGAGACTCTCTGACTCACGGGAACTCGAGAAAGTCCTGCCCCACACCCAAAGGCCCAAGACTTTCCCTTTGAGTGGCTTCCCTCTGTGGCATTGATCTCAGAATATTTAACCACAGGAGTCCTTGCCCCTTGAGTGTGGAGCTGAAGGATGAGCGCCACTTAACAGAGCAGGAAAACCATCCTATAAAGAGAAACAGGAGAGACTCCTTACTTTTTACCTACTCTCATCATTTCAAAAAGAGCACGCAGCTCCTGGTGGCACCAAGATACCGAAACTAAACCAGCGTTATCTGTGGGGCATAAGATTTATTTTTATTGTATATCAAGGGCTTCAGAAAAGAAACAACTTAGCTTTTTGATACTGAGGAAATTCTGTATCTAATTGTAGGTGCTATTTTCCCCTCATTCTTATCAGTGAAACTCTTTTTGGTACACAGAGTATAAGTTGCACTTTGATGCAGACATGTTCTTCCTATCCATGCTTCATTGCACTGAATGCATCTCACACTGCCCTTGGCCAGGAGCCCTTGTGCAGGGCACAGCCTGCATCACTGTCTATGGCAGCCCTGGTTCGTAGGGTGGCCTGTCTCATGCTTTCTTTAAACAAAAGTCTAACTTCCCTTTTCTTACATCTTGGCCCTGGTAGCTGAGACAGAAAACTTTAAGAGTTTAATTCCTAGCTAGGCGTGGTGGCTCACGCCTGTAATCCCAGCACTTTGGGAGGCCGAGGCAGACGGATCACCTGAGGTCAAGAGGTTGAGACCAGCCTGATCAATATGGTGAAACCCTGTCTCTACTAAAAATACAGAAATCAGCTGAGTGTGGTGGCGCATGCCTGTAGTCCCAACTACTCGGGAGGCTGAGACAGGAGAATTGCTTGAACCTGGGAGGTGGAGCTTGCAGTGAGCTGTGATCACACCACTGCACTCCAGCATGGGCGACAGAACAAGACTCCATCTTAAAAAAAAAAAAAAGAGTTTAATTCCTCAGTTTAAGTGGCTCATTTAAGATGCATGGTCATCCTCTGCCCACCCACCATCAGAGGCAGAAAAGAAATAGTCTTTGCAAAGAACACGACCACATCCACAGAAAAGCAGCTCTTTCTGTAATGCCTGGACTTACCTAGATCTGAAACCTCTTTTCCTTCTTTCCCTCTACCTCTATCCTGAGCACCATGTATCAGTCAGCTTCTGCTGCAAAGTTCCCAGGTGAAAAGTCATCTGTACCTCAATGACATACAATAATAAACTTTACCACTTCTGTGCTTCGGGTCAGTCAGGCAGCTTTGCTGATTTGGGCTGGACACATCACGTGTGAGGGGCTGCGGGCTGTTGGCTGATCTAGGCCACCCTTGGCAGAGGCAGCTGGGGAGATCGCGCACTGCTCCCTGGTCTCTCACCTCCAACAGGCTGGCTCGGGTGCATTTTCATATCTATGACAGAGGCTCAAGAGAGAGCCCTGGAAACGCTCAATGCCCCTTGAGGCCTAGGCTCAGAACTGGCACACTGACCCTTTGCTTCATTCTGCATGCCAAAGCAAGCCCTGCAGAGTAGGGAAATAAATACTGTGCTTTTATGGGAAGAACTCCAAAGTTACATGGCAAACGGCTTGCAGACAGGGAAGGGTAAAAAATTGAGGACATGAATGCTCTCAGCCTCCCGTGTCCCCATCCCCTCCTATGTGTTTTCCAGTCAGAAGACCTCTCCCCTGTATCTTCCACTGCTCCCTCTGTACTTGGTCAGACCCAAAACCAATGTATGTTTAATTCTTTCCTATCTTAAGAAAAAAGTATTACATAGCCCCCTTAAGCATTTATCATCCTGTATCTCCTTCCTTTCTTCTTTAGATAATTTATTCTAAGAATATAAAACATAGATGTATATAAGAAGAATATAAAATACAGAAGCATTGTTCCTAACAGTGTAACTGGAAGTAATGGAAACATCAGAAGCGGGGGACAAACTTAGCCAACTGCTACTTGAGGTGGGTGAATGTTCATTATGTAGACCTTATAAATGATTTATGCAATAATGTTTAAAAAGCTGCATGAGATAAAGTTAATTCAAGAAATAAGATATGGACCACACATATAAGCCCATTATAACTCTGTTAGCAAAAAGCTCTACCATGTAAAACTGGTGGAATCTGAATAAGATCTGGGGATTGGACCAATGTCACTTCCCTGGCTTTGAGGCTGTATTATACACATGTAAGATGTCCCCATTGGGGAAAATTGAGTGAAGGGTACACAGGACATCTCTGTACTGTTCTTGCAGCTTTCTGTGAATTTATAATCATTTCAAAATAAAAAGTTTTTTTCAATCCCCAAAACTTACAGAGAAAGAAGTTTAAAAAAATAGTTACATTATGTGATAGAAATATGAGTGATTTTCTATTTTGTCTAAATTTTTCATTTTTTAAAAGTTATCATGCAAGGGAGAAACCTTTTTTTTCTTTTCTTTTTTTCTTTTTCTTTTTCTTTTTTTTTTTTTTTTTTTTTTTTTTGAGACAGGGTCTTGCTCTGTTGCCCAGACTGGAGTTCAGTGATGATCATGGCTCACTGCAGACTCAACCTGCCAGGACCCCAAATAGTTAAGCCTTCAGACACACACCACCATGCTCACATAGATGTTGGGGGTCTCTCTATGTTGCCCGGACTGGTCTCAAATGCTTGGCCTCAAGTGATCTTCCTACCTCAGCCTCCCAAAGTGCTGGGATTACAGGCATAAGCCACTGCATCTGGCCAACTTCCCACTGTATTTTTTAAGAAAGAAATCCTAGATTCCCTCAGCCAGCTCTGAGCTCACTGTCCCTGGGCACAGGGCCTCTCATGGCCTCCCACTGTGGCCATTTTTAAAACTTCCCTTGGCCATCTGCTTGCCAGAGAACGCACTTCTTGAGGACAGGAGCTATATCTTAGTCACCTTTGTGCATCTCCTCTTCTCCCCTCTTACAAAACTTACTCATATTGAACAAATGTGTATTGAACCAAAAAATCTGCTGGATACTGGTGATCAAAAACCAAATACATCAAGATACATGGAAGAGTTCAAGCCCATAGACAGATGCCTGTTTAATACAACACAATCAGCCAGGCCCAGCGGCTCACATCTGTGATCCCAGTACTTTAGAGGCCGAGGCAGGAGGATCACTTTAGCCCACAAGTGTGAGGTTGCAGTGAGCTATGATCACACCACTGCACTCCAGCCTGGGCCACAGAGGGAAGTTGTATCTCGAAAAAAACAAAAAATACAACACAGTCAAGCCACATAAAAGATGTGCAAGGGATAGTGGGAGTGCAAAGAAGGTACAGAGAAGGTGCCTTGGGTTGCAGGGAAGTCTTCATAGAGGAGATGACACGAGTTCACCAAGGGGTGAGTAGAAGTTGGGAGGAGGCCAAGTCAGAAGAGCATCTTCTAGACAAAAGGATGGCCTTGAACAAAAATGCAGAGAAATAGAAGAACACAGTGGGTGTTACAAACCCATCATCTTCATCCTGGGGATATTTTCCTGTTAAGAAAATATTTTCCAGCATAAACTCTGTTGAGCCAATTTATTTCCTTCATCAATTTTCTAATGCAAGGCAATTCAATAGTTTCCTATTTTTTTGACTTTCACTTTTATGTTATCAGAATTATTTTTGCCATCTATTCTTTTCTTCCTTTGGCATTGTATAGTACCAGTTTCACTGGTTGATCTGTTTGTTTTGTTCACACCAAATTGTACTGAATAAAGCTTTTTTCATGGTGATAGATGTACATAGGCCTTTAATTCTTCCAACTTTGACTTTCCTGGGTCAAATTTTATATCAATCAATATAGTCTAGAATCTTATTATTTTACACATCTTTTGGTTAAAAAACAATATTTTATCAAGTATACTTTTCGCCACTCTCACTTTTTTAAATTTCATTTTGATTATTCTACCAGCAAGATGCATTGTGAATTAGGTAGACTACTGAGCAGTTTTTGTTTCTTAGATTATCCGTGAGAAAATGCAGTGAATGTGTGAGACCCAGCAAGCCAGGCTGACAAATGGAGAGGAAATGCACAAGAGGTGACATGACTAAGAGAGACATGGAAAGGCGGCAGCGCTCCTGGCACGCTGTCTGCCAAGCACCAACACGGGGCTCCCACTGCCCTCAAGGGCCAAAGCATGATGGGGAGAAAGGCCTCGGGATCTAAATGATGAGATAAATGGGTAGGGTCAACGAAGCAGAGCCAAGGCATCCTGCCATGAGCATGGCATGTCAAGGAAAGGGGGAGAGGTTCACTATTGAGGAATTTGAAGTGCAGGGACGAAGTGGGTGAGGGGCCTTGTATGCTAAACTGAAGAGTTTGGTTGGGCTTTATACAGAGATAAACAAGAGTGGATAATACCTACACATGATTTAGAAAATCAAATTGTACAGAAGGACTTTTTCTTAAAAAAGCAGTTGAACCCAGCCCCATCCCTCACCCCAGCCAGTCCCAATTGCAAAGTAGACAGAATTACTTTTGACTATTTCTGACATTGGATTGTCTACAGATTACCTGTATATATTGAAAATGTGCCTATATGGTTGTTTCTTAATTATTCAGCTTTAGCTGGGTGTGGTGGCTCCTGCCTGTAATCCCAGCACTTTGGGGGACCAAGATGGGAGGATCACCTGAGCCCGGGAGTTCAAGACCAGCCTGGGCAACATAGTGAGATCGTGTCAAAAATTAGCTGGCATGGTGGCACACGCCTGTACCTGTAGTCCCAGCTACTCAGAAGGCTGAAGTGGGAGGACTTGCTTGAGCCAGGGAGGTTGAGTTTGCAGTGAGCTATGTTTGTGCCACTGCACTCCAGCCTGGGCGACAGAGTGAGACCTTGTCTCAAAAAATAAAAATATTCAGTTTTAGGTGTTATGTACAAACTTCTTGCTGTGAAATATGGGGATTTAGTTCTCAATGGATGACAGACTAACTAGTACTAGACTTGCCCTTCTGTCAAAAACAATCATAAAATCAAACAAGATACATGAGATGATGTTTTCAAGCACTGAATGGCAGGTAGTGCAGGGCCCCGTGATTTTTGAGAGAAGAGAAACATACAAGGTAAGTCACATGATCAGCCTGGCTTTCTGTCTAGGGAGGTTTTCTTTCCTTGAGCTCTTGAGGTAGAGCTCAAGCTGAACTGAGGTGGCAGAAGTGAAGTTCTGGGCTGCTGAAGCAGCTGGGATGTGTGGGGCAGGGAAAGAAGGAAGAGGGAACTGCACATGGTGTACGTGTTTTAGGGGATGGGGGGAGAAATCTGGATAAGTATTCTTGATCCAGGGTTAAAGTATATATGTACTGGGTGAGACCATTGCTTAGCAAAGATCACCAGTCGCAGAGCTGAGAGCGGACAGTAATTCTAGAGATGATGCAATATTGGAGACTCTAGAGTTCCAGGCAGAGTGGAGAAACCTCACTGAGCACTTCAGGCTTTCAGTGGTGATACAAGAAAGACCACACTTTAAAAGCAGGGAACACATTCTAGGGTTAAGAGGCGTGCCCTAAGACTAAGTTCAAAACAGAAATAGACCTGCCCTAACAAAGAATAAAACCAAGCCTAACAGGACCAAAAAGATGTGCTAGTAGTTTAACTGTCTGCTAGAACAAAGCTCACCACCATTTAAAGGAAGACAAGAAAATCCAGGCTCCCTACAAAGTATCATCCACCAAAGTCTAGCACACGATAAAAAATTACTGAACAGGCCGGGCGCGGTGGCCCACACCTGTCATCTCAGTACTTTGGGAGCCGAGGTGGGCAGATCACAAGGTCAAGAGATCGAGACCATCCTGGCCAACATGGTGAAACCCTGTGTCTACTAAAAATACAAAAATTAGCTGGGCATGGTAGTGCGTGCCTGTAGTCCCAGCTACTCGGGAGGCTGAGGTAGGAGAATCAATTGAACCTGGGAGGTGGAGGTTGCAGTGAGCCAAGATCGTGCCACTGAACTCCAGCCTAGTGACACTGCAAGACTCTGTCTCAAAAAAAAAAAAAAAAAATTACTAGACATGTGAAGAAATAGAAAAATGCCACCCATAGTTAAGATGAAAAGTGGTAAATCGTTTCCAATTAAGATTTTTTTTTAAGGGAAAAAGGCATTAGTTGTATCTTTTAGAAGGAACACTCGGGTATTGAAAGGCCCAAGGACCACTCCAGAAAGACTGACCTAGGAAGAGACATTGAGTTGTTAGAAGAATCTCCTCACAGCTCTATAGGAAGGTGATGAGGATATAGACTAAAGTTCTGCAGATCTGTAAGTTTTGTGGTTATATTAAAATCACAAAATATCATCCTCTATTTGTGTGTGAAAAAAAAATCACAAAATGTCAGGACAAAAAAAAAAATCCCTTAGGTAGCATTCTATCTACCTTCTCTTATTACATCTGAGAGAACTGGGACTCAGAAAGGGTGATTTTTCCTAAGATCCCACAGACATTTAAGGTGCACTGGGATTAGAATCAAAGCCTCATAACTTTCCGTACTCACATGGCCTTCCTGTGACTACCTTGTACTAAAAAATAGTCTCCAAGATGACTAATTATCTGCATGCTTTCAGGGGGAGGTCCCCAACCATAGCTTCTGAGAAAAACATCAAGGTGTCACTTCTTCTTTCTTCAACCACGTAGAATGGGAGGTTTCCTGTAAGCCACCAGATAGTGACAAAACAGTGCAAAAGTCGTCACAAACCAGACGCTTGATGACTACTCACATAAATAGTTGATATTTAAGGCTTCTGACACTGGATTTCTAGAAATGTGTGTGCTTTAAATTCATATTTAAATTTGTTTAGTTGTCGCCCAGAAGCAACATGATGAGGTCATGACTGCGGCTTTGATCCACGGTAGTGCCCAGATAATATAATCAGAGGAAAAAGAAAATACATTCCATGTTGTATTAGTCCTTTCTTGCATTGCTATAAAGGAATAGCCAAGACTGGGTAATTTATAAACAAAAGAGGTTTAATCGGCTCATGGTTCTGCAGGCTGTACAAGAATGGCACCAACATCTGCTAAGCTTCTGGTGAGAACCTCAGGAAGCTTATAATCATAGCAGAAAGTAAAGCAGGAGCAGGCATTTTGCATGGTAAGAAAGGGGACAAGAGAACAAGAGTGGGGAGGTCCCAGACTTTTAAATAACCAGATCTCTTGTGTACTAACTGGGGGAGAAATCACTTATTACCAAGGGGAAGGTGCTAAACCATTCATGAGGGATCCACCCATGATCCAGTCACCTCCCACTAGGCCCCACCTCCAACACTGGGAATAACATTTCAACATGAGACTCAGAGGGAACAAATATTCAAACCATATCATTCCACCTCCAGCCCCCCGCAAATCTCACATCCTTCTCACATTTCAAAACACAATCGTGCCTTTGCAATAGTCGCCCAAAGTTTTAACTTGTTCCAGTATTAACTCACAAGTCTCAAGTCCGAAGTCCAAAGTCTTACCTATGATGATGAGTTCCTTCCACCTACAAGCTGTGAGATCAAAAACAAATGATTTATACTCTCAATATACAGGAGTGGTACAGGTATTAGGTAAACGTTCTCATTCCCAAAGGAAGAGATTGGCCAAAAGAAAGGGGTAATAGGCTCCATGCAAGTCTGAAACCCAGCAGGGAAGGCATTAAATCTTTAAGCTCCAACACAATCCTTGATTCCATATCCTGCATCCTGGTGTGAGAGGTGGGCTCCCAAGGTGTACCCTGCCACTGTGTTTTGCAAGGTACAACCCATGGTGGCTGCTGTCACAGGTTGGAGTTGAGTACTTGCAGCTCTTCCAGGAAGAAGTTACAAGCTGCTGGTGAATCTACCATTCTTGTATCTGGAGGGCAGTGGGCCCCTTCCCACATCTCCATTAGGCAGTGCCCTGGTGGGGAGTCTTTGTGGGAGCTCTAACCCCACATTACTCCTCCACATTGCCCTAGTAGAGTTACTCTGTGGGGCCTCGGCCCGTGTGGTAGGCTTCTGCCTCAACATCTAGGCTTTCTCATACATCATCTGAAATCTAGGGGGAAGCTGCCAAGCCTCCTTCACTCTTGCATTCCAGGCGCCTGCAGATTTAACACCATGTGAAAGCCACCAAGGCTAGCAGTGGCTTGCACGCTTCAAAGTGGCCACCCAAGGAGTGTCTGGGGCACTTTGAGCCAAAGCTGGGGCCAGAGCAGCCAGGATGCAGGAAGCAGGGTCCTGAGGCTGCACAGGGCAATGGGGCCCTGGGTCTGGCCCAGAAACCATTCTTCCCCTCCTAGGCCTCTGAGCCTATGATGGGAGGGCTGCCTCAGAGATTTCTGAAATGCCTTCAGGGCATTTTCCCAATGTCTTGGAAATTAGCACTTTGCTTCCTTTTGGTCATGCTAATATTTCTAGCAAGTGGTTGTTCCACAGCCTGCTTGGATTCCTCTCCTGAAAAGGCTTTTTATTTCTCTGCCACATAGCTAAGCTGCAAATTTTCCAAACTTTTATGCTCTGGTTCCTTTTTAAATATAGGTTCCAACTTTAAGCATTTTGTTGCTCCCGCATCTGATCACAGGTTGTTAGAAGCAGCCAGGCTACTCTCAAATGCTTTGCTGCTTAGAAATTTCTTCTGCAAGACACCCTATATCATATCATCACTCTTAATACCAAATTTCCACAGATCCCTTGGGCATGAATACAATGCAGCCAAGTTCTTTGTCAGGGCATAACATGGGTGACCTTTAATTCAGTTCCCAACAATTCCTCATTTCCATCGGAGACATTCTCAGCCTGGCTTTCACTGTCCATTTTTCTATCAGCATTTTGGTCACCACAACTTAACAAGTCTCTAAAAAGTTCTACACTTTCCTTCATTTTCCCATCTTCTTCTGGGCCTTCCAAACTCTTCCAACCTCTGCCTGTTACCCAGTTCCAAAGTTGCTTCTGCATTTTCCAGTCTCTTAATAACAGCTCTACTCCTCTGTACCAATTTTCTGTATTAGGTTGTTCTTGCATTGCTATAAAGAAATACCTGAGACTGGGTAATTTATAAACAAAAGCTCATTGTTCTGCAGGCTGTAGAAGCATGTCACCAACACCTGCTTAGCTTCTGGTGAGGCCTCAAGAAGCTTACAATCATGGCAGAAGGTGAATCAGGAGCAGGCACATCACATGGCAAGAGCAGGAGCAAGAGAGTGAAGGGGAAGGTCCCAGATTTTTAAACAACTAGATCTGATGTGAATTAGCTAAGTGAGAAGTTACTCATCACCAAAGGGATGGTGTTAAACCATTCATGAGGGATCCACCCCCATGATCCAATCACCTCCCACCTGGGCCCACCTCACACTGGGAATCACATTTCAGCGTGAGATTTGGAGAGGACAAATGTCCAGACCATGCCACATGTTCTCAGTTTGTAATTGCAGAAAAAGTTGTTGGCAACATGCAGCAGCAAGTAAGGAATCTCAGTGGATGAATCTTGTGCTCTTCTTGATCCCAGGAACAAATATAGGCACCAACAGTGGTTCTGCAGGTCATTTCCCTTTCCAAAGGCTGTCACCTGCACCTCCCAACCCATTCCCTGGCTGTTCTTGTCCAGTCTTTTCAGAAAGTATTTTCCAGGTACCTGACGTTGCTGATAGTGAAATGAGCTCCCTGCTGCAGAAGTAACTCCCTTCCTAATCCCTAGAACTGGTCAGGACTGGGCTGTACATTCAGAAGCTTCAATCTAATAGGGTTTTGCAACCCTGCTCCTGGCTGATACTTGGTGCTGATTCTATGTGTGGGGTACTAAGAGGATTGGAGAAGGCCAGGTGTGGGGGTGGTCATGACCTTTATGGCTCCCTTCTACTCTACAGTATTGAAGTTATCCTACTGGTTACAGAGGGAAAGAGGCTAGTCCCTCCCATGTGGCAGGCAGGAAGCATTGATTTCATGTATGTCACTTCTTTTCATCCTAACCACAACCTCATGAGGCAGGCATCAGCATACCACTGTTTTTTGTTTTTTGGGGTTTGGGTTTTTTTTGTTTTGTTTTGTTTTTTTAGACAGAGTCTCGCTCTGTTACCAGGCTGGAGTGCAGTAGCACGATCTCAGCTCACTGCAACCTCCGCCTCCCGGGTTCAAGTGATTCCCCTGCCTCAGCCTCCCGAGTAGCCGGGACTACAGTCATGTGCCACCACGACCAGCTAATTTTTTTTTTTTTTTAGTAGGCACTAAGTTTCATCATGTTGGCCAGGATGGTCTTGATCTCTTGACCTTGTAATCTGCCTGCCTGAGCCTCCCAAAGTGCTGGAATTACAGGCATGAGCCACTGTGCCCAGCCATACCACTGTTTTACTAATTGGGAGACTGAGACTCCAGTGATTAAGTCTCTGCCCAAGGTCACACAGCTTATCATTCATGTCCAGTGAATGACATGAGTGACTTCAAAGGCCATGCTCATCCTGCCACACCACTCTGCCTCCAGAAGCAGGAAGAAGGACACATACCTGGGGAAGCTTTTGGATGGCCATGAATTTGTAACTGAATGTATGACAAATATCTAGAGTAATGAAAGGAAGATTGAGAAAACAAAAATACGTTAAGGAGATGTAGCAGCTAACACTTATGTCTCCAAGCCTCACGTTGTGGGACACACAATTCTTTACAAACTAACCATAACAGAAGATCAGAAACTAGAACAAAAGGCTAGCGTGTGGGCATGAGGACGTGTGTGTGTGTGTGTGTGTGTGTACGCTGCACACTCACACATGGACATCTGCATAAGCACATGTGATGGTGGCTCCTTATACACATGAGGGTATAAATGTGCATGAACAGATCCACATATACATGTTTCAACAGGTAAGATTTTAATTTATTTAATTTTTCAGTAAACGGAATACAAAATGAAACCAAAAATGCTCCTACTTGTATTTACAAGATAGTTGTAAAGTTATTATGTGACTTGAAATATTAACATCTGCGTTTTCCCAAAAACACTTCTTTAACCATTTTAAGTGCATGAAATGGCAAATTCTGAGCTTTTAGGAGCTGATCACAAGGACAGGCACATCATGACTTACCCAAATGAGTGGTAATGAAACTCTTGCTAGTCAGGTTCTTGGAACATTCTTATCTAACGATTGCATGTGCTGAGGATGAGAAACCAGACCTACCCAGTGGGCTTTGGAAGGGGCTGGCTGAGGGGAGGGGAGACAACCTGGTAGACTGAAGGCAGAGGACCTTCTGCATTCTTTATCTGCTTCTTCTGGAACTGCCAGAACTTAGCAGGACCCGGGGGCAACCAGCTTATTTTTGGGAAGCACTTCAAGTCCTCTGCCAGTGTGCACAGGCGAGAGAAGAGCTTACTGGCTCAGTGAAAGCTGCAAGCATCCCCAGAGGGAGCCCAGGAGGCCTGCAGAACAGTGGTAAAAAGGGCCACCTGTCAGGCCTGAGGCCAAGGTTCCCGTGCTCTGGCAGAGGACTTCCTCCCCAGCCCCTCAGCCACTGAGAAGCACAGACTTCTCTGACTCCTTTGAGCAGTGAGGTGCCTTCGCTGCTCTCTACCTCAGCAGAGAGAGGGGGCCTCAAGTCTGTCCCCAGCTCCAGCACACACTGTGTATCCCCAGCACCCAGCCTCCATGGTTCAGCCCACAGTGAACACTCAATAAACAGCTGCAGAATGAATGAAGGCATCTACCCCATCCTTCCTGCTCTGCCCAACAATAAGGTTTCCAAGGATAACTCGAAAGGGATATTCCCCTTTTCACCTGCTAAGCCATCTGAGGAAGTACAGAATCTACTGGACACTCAAGAGGAGAGGCACTCTAGGTAGATTAAATTTCATTCACAGGTATTTATGGAGTGCCCACAAGACTGCACACATAGGTCTAGGTAGCACGTGGGTCTACACAAGTGGGTCTAGGGAAATACAACTGAGTCATAGAGATGGTAAGTTGGTGGCATATCCCTGGCAGGGATCAATAATTGATCACAGCCTCTTTCCTGCAGGGCCAGAGGTGGCCTAAGAATTCTGTCTCAGCAAAGTCCTCCAGGAAGCTCCTGCATTGACCAGAATTGGCACTCAGGATGAAACCTATTTGCCAACCTGGTAGTTGGTACATGCACAGGATGGGCTCCTCCTGTACTAAGTTCAGCAAACTAGGCATAAGCAAAAACCTCCTGGAGCTCTGGAAACTACAACTGGGGGTAAAACAGACACCTGGAAGGGTGAAGGGCCCTTTCCTTCCTGCCTCGCTGACGTGGGCCACCTGGTGCACTGGTGTTGAGAGCAGGATGCTTTGCAGCTCAGGAAACCCAGAAACCCTAATTGTCCCCACAGAACCACAACACACACTGAGGCCCCAGCACAGGGTCTCCTTCATGCCACGATTAGCTTCCTCTGAGGCCAGCTTCAATCCTCTTCACATCAGGACCTTGAGACCCTTCTCCAAGTCCCTGTCATGCAAGACTGCAGGCTGGTGTACCTCCCCCTCCCTCTGCATCCCACACCCCCTCAAACACACACACAGCAGGCCCCTCCTTGGTGCCCATCCCTTCCCATCCTCACTCAACAAATGGCCTCCTTTCATTGACCTGGTTGGGTAGCCTTGTGCCCTTCCTGGAACCTGCTGGATGTGAAATTGTTTAGAAACTCCACACCAAGCTACTCTAGGGACTTATTTTCAGCCATTCCTCTCACCAATACAGCTCAGCTTCCCTCCATGAACATGAAGCCTCCAGCAGTTTTCAATCCCTAGGGTGTGTATTTCAGATTTCAAGGGCAATGTGAACAGCCAGCAGCCCAAGGGACATTTGCCAAGAGCATCTATCCATGGCATCTTGTATTAACCAGCAGAAAGCCAGAAGCACCGTGCAAGGAGGAGACAGGCCACGCACTGGCTTCATTTGTGCTGTGCTGCCACTAATGTCCCCCAAATGCTCTCTATTATCCTTGTAATCATCCCCAAACATGCACAAAGCCACATGGTCAATGCAGCCCACTGGCATACGCTTTCGTCCTGGCAGCCATGATGTCCTGTTGGGGAAATAGGTTACCACATAAAGCACCAAACACCATCCAGCAGCACCTGTGCCCTGAGCCCAATCAGCAGCACGGACACTCCTAAGATGACACAAGTTCTGGGAAATATATTGAAAAATAAAAATGGATTGATGTCTTTTTCATCTTTGTAGCCCAATGCCTGGCACATGGTATGAGCTCAAAAATGTGTATAAAATGAGTGAATAATTTTGTGAAAAAAATTTTTTAAAAATTAAAAAATAAAAATAATTAGTATTTGAATCAAACATCAGTTTAACTTTCTCATGTAGTTGGTATTTCTTATATTTTCTTTAACAAAGTAAAATTGAGTTTTTTTGGGCCAAAAGAACAAGGAACTAATTAGGTAAGATTTTTTCGTTTAAAAAAAAACAGTTAAGCTATTTTGTTTTAAATAAATATTACATTACGAACATTGAGTTTTAAGCGTTGCCTTAAAGATAACATTCTATCTATTAGACTCTGTGATCTGGGGTGTTTTTTTTTTTTTTTTCTAATGATCTGAGAGACTCGGCTCAGAGGTAAATCCAAAGAAACAAATGGAAATTTTGCATGGTTTTGTCTACTTCTGTGACAATTCACCGACTCACACAAAACATCAGCTATACCTTCCCCATCTCCCAGTATGGAGACTGAGCCATTTGGATCACAGAACAGGATCAACAGCCTGATCCATCTGCCAGTGGGAAAAGCGGATGTTCCTGTTGTCTAAAAGAATCAGACCCTCCCAAAAGGGTCAATACAGCAGTGCACATATTCTCTAAAAATGGCATGTAAAAGCCTGTCACCTGATGTTTCTTTCCCTGCATTGATTACACTGTACCTTGTCTCTGCCCTCACTTGGATTCCCAGTCAGGGGAATCAGCTTACCCATTGCTTCTTCTGGGAAGTCTTCCCCAGCCCCCAACTAAGTCGTGTCCTTCTTTACACTCTTTGCTATTAGTCATCACATTGGCAGCCCCAGCAGTAACTGAGCTATAAGCTCTGCAAAGACTTGCCTGTCTGTCTCACCAAGGCTCAACACGATGCCTGTCACATGGCGGGTGTTCCAAACTAGTCTATGAATGAATAAAGGAAGGAAGGAACATTCCCTGAGAACTAGGCAGTCTCTTCCAGATTTTTAGGCACTAGGGTCTCAATGGTCAGACACCTTTAGGCTCTTTTCAAACACATGCCTTCCCAAACAGACTTGTCTTCTGTCCCATAAAGAGCAGAATCAAATAAAAATCTGCTCGAATGGATTTTCAGCATTCGAAAATTTCAGCATTTCAAATCCCCAGCATTCTTCTAGAACATCGGAATGGGCAAACAACAGCTCATGAACTAAAGCTGTACTGAACCATGCTCACGCATTCACGAATTGTCTATGGCTGAACTAAACACACTGCAAGGGCAGAGCTGAGTGGTCGCAACAGAGATGGTCTGGACCCCAGAGCCTGCAAGATTTACTGTCTTCCGCTTTTCAAAAACTGTGCAGAGCCTGGCTGTAGAACTTCAAAGCAGTTGAGGGTCAGAAGAGAATTCAGGAACAAACAGAAGTGTAAACACAGTAGCACTTGGGTGTGAGGGGGCCCCCAGATGCAGACTGCCCAAAGAGGGTGAAGGTTCGAGCTGGGACAGCGGGGGTGAGACTGTCAGAAGAGGTAGTCTGTAGTTGGAGCCCCAGGAAGGAGCTTCCGAAACCGCCACATGTGGTGAGGAGTGTGTGGGTTTGACACAAGATAGACCCGGGCTGAATCTGCCTTCATGGTTTGCTGGCTGTGTGATCTTGGGCAGGTTTTGTTGTCACCCCGGGCTTTGGCTTCTTCAACTCTACAAGACGCCGCCTACATCACAAGGTTTCTGTGAGCTTTTGATGAAATCAGCAACAGAATCAAGTGCGTCTCTGAGAGCTGACGCAGCACAGTGCTTCAGAGCCTGGGCTCTCAAGGTTCCAGCTGAGGTCCAGCTTCAAATTCTGCCTCTAGCTCTTGGGGCCTCTGGGTCCTGAGAAGTGCCCAGCCCCTGTGTGCCCATTGCCTCATCTCGCACGTGAGGAGGGTAACCATTCCCAGCCAAGAGCTACTATAAGTATTAAATTCCAAAAGCAGGAAAAGTGCCCTGCACAGCACTTGGCACCCAGGGGGTTCCCTTTGCTCTTACTACTGAATTGTCCAGCATGCCCCAACCCATGGCAGGCGCTCAGTAACTCTGATTTCCTTCCATCCTTCCTTTTCTATGTGGTCAGAAGAGTGGTGTGACAGAGAGGCCCGGTGCTGGGAATCCACGTTTGCCCTGCTGCCAACTTGCTGTGTGGCTTTGCGCAGCTCACACAAATGTTGTAGATCACTAAAATGTTGCTTATAAAATGAAGGGGTTAGTCTAGATTCAGTGTTCCAAAACCCTGAAGGAACAAACTCTGATGTGATGAGAATCTCTCAGGAACCTGGTAAAACATCCAGCTTCTTGAGAAGATTTTTAGAGATTCCCTTAGAATTCTGGAGACCTGGAATGGGCTGAGGTTAGAATTTGTCTTTTAAATGGGTACTTTGGGCGATTCTTGACATTAAGGTGGTCAAGAGCTCAATGAGCTCGAAGGTCCTTTAGAGCTGTAAAGTCCTGAATGCTCTGGTCCCACAATCCACATCAAGTGTGTGTGTGTGTGCGTGTGTGTGTGCACGCGTGTGCGCGTGTGTGTATATGTTTTGAGAGGGAGAGAAGTTGTGTCTCCGGACTGATTTAACTGTCAACTGGGCACTCGATTTCAAAAAGATTTGAGGCTGTTAGCTTGACGTTGCATGATCATCTCACGTCCTGGCAGCCAATCTGCAGGGGTGAGCTGTTTGTCGCTTTCTCCTGACTCATGTTTGCTTATCTCCAGAAAACTCTGCACCTTCCAAACGGGCACTGCCCCAGGGCCTGCAGCTGGAGTGTCCCAGGCAGCCATTCTCGTAGGCAGCGCTTTCACAATTTTCTAGAAAATTCACCATTTTCCCAGCCCCACTCAGCATGGGTAGGGGCTCCACCAGGCCATGTGTGAGGGAGTCAGCAGCCAGAATGTGGAGCCCAGAGGCGGGAGGGGGCAGGGGCACACACCAGAGGCAAGAGGCTGAGCTGGTAGGGGTGGTAAGAGCACTTGTCTTTGGAATCAGAAGCCTACTCCCTGAGTCCCAGATCTGCCAATTACAAATTGCATGCCTTGGGCAAATTACTTTACATGTCCAAGTCTCAGTTTCATCATCTATAAATTATCTGTGCAGAAGGCACTTCTGAGAGTTCAATGAGATCATGGCCAGCCTGTATAGTAAATAGTGAAACTGACCCAGCTCACAAGTGGTTACCATCTCCATACAGCATTGTTTCCCAGTTCTCTTGAAAGCTACACCTGCGTACCACCAAGTTTCTAGACTAAACCCAGTTTTTTTCAGACACATAGACTGTGGAAATGCAAATACTGTAACATCCGGAGAGCACTGTAAGTTACCCTCCCTTCCTGCCTGTTTTCAGCCTTATCAGTAAAATCACTGAATCCCCTAGGCCTCAGTGCCCAGCCTCAGGGTTTGTTGAGAGAGGGAAGACCCAGAGGGCAAGGGTAAAGATTGACCCAGAGACTCAGAGGGTAACAGAGCTGTCCTGGGCTCAGGGAGCTGCAGGTGGGCTCTGCAGGGCATTGACCGTGTGCTTGTGCACCTCTGGGTGTGTGTGTGCTTTCCTTTGTATGTAATTAGTTGTAAATGCACATATTGGTATGTGTGTGTAGCAGGTGTCCACACTGTCTGGGTGTATGTGACCCTACAGAGTATTTTTTCTCCAGAAGTCTCCTCCCTAGCTCATCGAATTGAAGCCCACACACTAAAAACGGGAGGCTGTGGTTTTGATTCTGGCTGTCCCCTAGTCCCTGCCTATCAGGCTACACGTGGGGACTGCAGGCCCCGTGGGTGGCTGAGGAAATGAGTGGGTGAGTGGGCCTCGTTGTGGGTACTCCGCTGCCTCTGCCAAGCTCCCTAGCCTCCTCCCCCTCCCCCTTCAATTCAACAAGGCTCTCACTTGCATTATTCCGTGAAGCCTTATGAGAAACCTGTACAGACACTAGCATTAAAGAGCCAAAGATTGCCAGAGCCGAAAGAGATCTTAGAGATACATAGTCCTACTTCCTACTACAGAGGAGGAAACTCTAAAGCACAGAGAGGTGAAGTGACTTGCCCAAGGTCACACAGCCAGTTGCTGGTATTCTCCTTTATTCATGGACGAGCATTTGTTTGCATTCCTGCTATGCATCTGGAACTGTGCCAGGTGCTGGAGAAGATGCCAGGAAGCCTAACTCAGGTCAGGAGCCAGAGGAATTATTTAGGAAATGACATTTAAGCCATCACTTCCCAGAAGGGTGACTGACAACAACTAAGTCGGAAGAAAGGCCCACGCAGGGGAAACTCTGCAGGGAAGGGCTCCGAGGTTTGAAAGAGCTTCACATGTTCAAGGAGGACAGGAGCGAGGGTGTGAGGATGGGGAGATAAGTAGAGGCCAACTCGTGCAGGGAATGTGAATGTTATCCCACACACTGAGGGAACATGTAAGCTGGGGAGGGCAATAGTTTTAAAAGACCATTTTTCAAGAAGACACTGGCGGGAGCAGGAGCAGAAGTAGAGATGAGCTCTGTGCTGTTCCTCCTGTGCTGTCACAGGCAGGCACAACCTCACTACACCTCACAACAGCCCTAGGAGGGGTGCTGTGTGCCCTCTTCTTCCAAGAGGCCAGGGCCTGCCTAGATGCCGCTCAGCTGGCAACCTGTGGAGCCAGCACTCCAATTTCACACTTTTGCCTGCTAAGCCTTAGTCCCTTTTCTTTAAATTGTCTCCCATTTACTCTTCAGCCCCCTGGGATAGGGCTTTGTCTCCTCTGCTCCCTGCACCTGACTCTACAAAGTCACAGTGATGTGCGGCATCCATTCGCCTGTCTGTACAGGACTTGATGCTGCCAACCGCTCCTCCCCTGGCTCCTAGGACATTGCATTGTCCTGGTTCTCCACCCGCCTCTCTGTCCACTCCTCAGCCTTCTCCGGTTTTTCCACCTTTGCTAATTCTTCCTGGATAGATGCTCCTCAAGGAATCTGTCCTGGCTGACTCTTGCTTGCTTGGGTGCTTTACACCACAGAGGAGGCTCCAGTTACCATCTCCTCACTGTGATTCCCAGTTGTCCATCCCTAGCCGGCCTCCTGGTCTGGAGCTCTGAAACTATACTGGTAATTATCTGCATCCTCTTCTGGAAATCAGCATGACCAAAGACCCCAGACCTTCTATCCATGTTTTCTTCTCTTGGTTAATGACATCACCGTCTACCAAATTTCCCACTGCAGAAACGTATTCCCACGCCTCTCCCTACACATCATTTCTTCCACATCTAATCTGTCATATGTCATCCAATATTACTTTCTAAATCCTTTTTCAGTCTTTCTTTCCCATCCCTATGGCTACTACCCTAATTCATGTCCTATCAACCTCCTTGGCAAGGTATACAGGGCCCCAGGGGTGAAACTAGGATGAAGGGGCCTATGCCCATTCATCATGGCCTGTCATAACAGGAAGCCAACTCAGAGGCATCAGGCCTTCTTCCAGAGAAAGAATGTCATCTCTGTGCAGGGGTGGCTAAGAGAAGGCCAGCTCTCCCTAACCCAATGAGACCAGCATGTGGGTTTGCACAAATCTGTCCTGGGTAGGTCTCCCTGCCCCTCTCTCTCACCAATATGGCACTTCCCTCCCCAAAGGGACCCATCACTGCCAGCCATGCCCCATCACATATTCACACAACTCACGGTTGCTTAACCTGGTGGACAGATTCTAAGATGGCTCTCAATGCTCCCTGCCTCCTGGCATGTAGGTCCCTTTGTCTGTCTCTCTGTTGACTGTGGGCAGGACCTATGACTTGCTTTTAACCAAAAGAACACTGCAAAGGTGGTAGGATGTCATTTCCGTAATTATATTACATGAATTATAATTTCAATCTTACTGAAAGACTCTCTCTATTGCCTTCTTGGCTTGCATCCTTCAATGAAGCAAGTGCCACTTCAGAGGGCTCCATGTGCGAGGAACTGAGAGTGGTCTCCAGTTGACAGACAGTGTTGGCCCTCAGTCTAACAATCTGCAAAGAAGTGAATTCCACTAGCAACCACATCAGTGAGCTTGGAAGTGGATTCTTCCACAGTCGAGCCTCAGATGAGAGCCCAGCCTTGACCAACACCTTGACTGCAGCCTTGAAAGCGACCCTGAAGCAGAGAACCCAGCTAAGCTGTGCTCTGATTCCTGACTCTCAGAATATATGAGATAATAAATGCATGTTGCTTAAAAGTGCTGAGTTTGTGCTAATTTGTTACAGGACAACAGGAAATAAATACACTTGCTGTCACTTACGTGTGAACAAAAGGAGGTGAGCTCTTTCTGCTGTAAGCAGGGGCATATAACAAACAGATGTGCACCAACCTCAGCACAAACCTCAGGACCGCCTCATCTTACTGGCCTTACCTGTACATTTCCCACCATGCCAACTTCTCTCTCACTCCCTGTACCTATATTTTCTCTGCTTAGAATGAGTATCTGTCCCCTTTTCTTGGCCTGTGAAGTCCCTTTTATCCATCCTGGACTGCCTGAAATGACACTCCCTCCAAGAAGCCCTCTGAGATTGACCCTTCCTATGGGATCTCATAGCTCACTAAGTATCCCTCCACCCTGAACCAGCTACAGGATCTTGTGGCTCCCTGCCCTGAGGTCTCACTCACCACTCAATGCCCCACACCTCATTGTATTCATCATTTTATACCCAGGGCCTATTAAGTATACGATGCAATAACTATGCACTGAATGTGTGAATAGTTCAGCCTCACATACCTCCTCTACCAGGAACATCACAGCCTGCAAGGGAGCTGTGTGACCATCCTGAGGGGAAGGCAAGGCCTTGCTGTCACCATGGTGGCCTGCTTTAAGAGTCTTATCATATGATATTTATGTAAGAGAGGGAGCTACCTTGGAAGGAGAGCAGATCTGGGTGAATGAAAGGCCCTTTTGTTGTGCTCAGAGCCAGGATGGTTTTGGATATGCAAGATATGCAAGCTAACCTGCACTAGGACAAAAGAGGAACCGGAGCGAAGGGAAACCAGAGAGGGGGAGCAGAGAGCCAATGAGATGCGGGGCACTGGGAACGACAGAGGGGCCATGGCCCATGAAAAATCCCCAATGGAGGGCAGACCAAGGACCAGGGATGTCTAACGTGCAATTTAAGGTTGTTGGCATTGCTGTTAGGGCTGCCAGATTTAGGAAAAAATTCAGGGATGGGGGGTTGGAGGCAGGGAGAGACATACAATGAAAAAAATTATCCATTGTTTATCTGGAATTTGAATTTAACCGGGTATCCTGGGTGTTATCTGGCAACGCTGAATGCTATGACATAAATCTCTCCTCCTACAGACTTACAGTCACATCTATAATTAACACCATGTCTCGTACAATTTAGGGTGTTTTGTGGAATTATGTAAGAAGCTAAATTGGGGTTCTGGGCTCTGGGACCATGGGGGCACAGAACAGGAGTAGCACAGGGGATTCAGGGTAACCCATGAACTGAATTAGTTCTGTGGAATCAGGAGTTTAGAGTTGGAGGTGACCATAAAGGTGTCCACAACGGGAAAATCTTAGGAAAGGCTTGAAACTTTCCAAAGCCAGAGAGTAAGGACTTGGAGAAAGCTTACTGAGACAATCTTATTGAGGACTCAAACGGGGAGTGCCCAGCTGTCTCTTCCCATCCACCCCCTGCCCCTGCCAACCCACCCACTAGGAGAGTCTGGGATGGAGGAGTCACAGCACAGCAGCAAATCTCTTAACCTGTAGCTGGGGGAGGTCTGGAGGAGTGGTAGGGGAGAGGTGCCTAGATGGTCTAAGAGGGGTTAGAAAAGCCCCAACAGGCTCACAAATGCACAAGTTATGTGTGTACATCTTCCTGAAAAGAGTGGCTGAAATTTTCCACCAGGCTTATCAGAACCCCTGATGTGAAGAGTGTTGGTGGGGGCAGGTCAGCACTCTGCTCCCCTCTAAGATGTGAGATGGCTCTGGCAGAGGAGGGTGGGCAGCTCTGGCTGTGCCACTCCATCAGGGTACAACTGGGCCCGGCTGGCGGCTATTTGAGGAGAGACCGTCAGCTCACAGAGTGGCCCAGCACCATTAGCTTTGAGGCCTCACAGTTCCTCTGGGGCTGAATCTCTTAGGGAACCAGCCTGTGTGGCCCCATTGCCTCTGGGTAGTATGTCCAGTCATGGTGCTGAGCTCCCAGCAAAGTACTAAGTATACCACTAAGAGGCAGGGCACTCCCAGCCCCAGGGTGCTTCGAGCCTGAGTACACCTGGAGAAACAAGCTGCAGCCCAAGCTCTGCAGCCTGGGATGCCAGGCTCTGACCATAGGGCCCAGCCTCCAGTTCAAGTCTCATTTCTGGGCACCCCTTTACTCCAACTATTCCACACTAACCCATTCTAGCCACAACGGGCATCTCACTTTCCTCTACACATGCCAGCAACATCCATACCTCATGTACTCGGTGGTAGAATTAAGATGTGACTGCAAATGCTTTAGTACTCTTCCCCTCATGAGGTGGAGCCCGATTCCCTTTCCCTCCAGTGTGGGCTGACTTTAGGACTACCTTCTAACATGGAATAATGCGGAAATGACAGCAACTTCAGAGACCAAGGCATAAAAGGCATTGTGGCTTCCTGCTTATTTTCTCTCTCATCATGCACTCTATGGAAAGCTGGCTGACACATCACACAGATACCCAAGAAGCCTCCAGAGAGGCCCATGTGATGAGGAGCTGAGGCCTCTGGCCAACAGCCGTCAAGGAACAGAGGCTTTTGCCCATCGCCCCAGGAGAGTGCTTAGAAGCAGATTTTCCAGCTTCAGTCAAGCCTTCAGATGGCTGCAGGTCCAGACAACTTCTCAGTAGCAATCTCAGGGGACATCCTGGCCAGGTCTACCAGCTAAGCTGCTTCTAAATGCCTGGCCCACAGAAGTGTGAGGTAATAAACGTTTGTTGTTTTAAGCTGCTAAGTTTGGGGGTAATTTGTTACACAGCAATAGATTACAAATATACACATGCTCTTTCCTGGACTGACATAGCTTCTCTTCTCTACTTTCTTTTCTTTTTTTTTTTTTTTTATTATTATACTTTAAGTTCTAGGGCACATGTGCACAACGTGCAGGTTTGTTACATATGTACACATGTGCCATGTTGGTTTGCTGCACCCATTAACTCATCATTTACATTAGGTATATCTCCTAATGCTATCCCTCCCCTCTCCCCCCACCCCATGACGGGCTCCAGTGTGTGATGTTCCCCACCTTGTGTCCAAGTGTTCTCATTGTTCAACTCCCATCTATGAGTGAGAACATGCGGTGTTTGGTTTTCTATCCTTGCGATAGTTTGCTCAGAACGATGGTTTCCAGCTTCATCCATGTCCCCCTTCTCTACTTTCTTTTCCTTGGCCTTCAAAACACCATGCAAATGCCACCCCTTCTGCATCACCTTGCACGGTGCTGAAGGTCTAATTGGCCACTTTTCACCGTGGGCTAATTAGGCAGTGTGCGTAAACCCCCATTACAACCCCTACTGCTCTACCGTATGGAATAAGAAGCATTTACTTACTGCCTCTCTCTCTCTCTCTCTTTCTCTCTCTCATTGAAACTGGAGCTCCTTGAGGGATTAGGTCTTGTTCATCTTTATATCACTAATGCTTAGCACAATAGTAGCACTCAATTAATATTTGTTTAATTACTTAATTTAATCAATTAACACAGAGAAAGACTGCATAGCATAGTGCCCAACCTCCTATTGTTCACAAATATGTTCATTTCTCTGTTTGAGTTCAGTGAAAAGGGAGTCAGTAGTCATAGATAAGTGTCTACTTCTCTTTTCTCCCATCCCCAGTAGTGATTTGTGACCCTTGTGTTACATTTATCTTCTCTCTTCTCCAGTAAGAGAGGAATTTGGAGTTCTGATGAGGCAACCTAGGTTCAAAAAAGTTAAATGACTTTCCCAAAGACATGGAAATGATACACTCAAAATCAGTTGCAAGTAGATATTCAATAACACGGCTAAATCGTACAAACATCCTGCTAAATGAAAGAAGCAACTTCTACAAGAATGAAATTAGGATTTCATTTCTATATAGCTTAAAAACAGGCAGAACTAAACTATAGTGCTTAGAGATACATACACAGGTGATACACCTATTAGGAAAAGAAAAAAAAAAAGAGTACCACAAAGGTCAGGATAGCAGTACCCTCTGGGGAAGACAAGAATGATGCAGTGGGGGCTCTTGAGATTTCTCAAGTACTGGCAATGGTTCATTTGGCAAACTGGGTGGTAATACGAAAAAAAAAAAATGAAGCGTAAATCTTATCTCATTAATTCAAAAGTTACTTTTTAAAATGTTCATTCTGGCTAGGCATGGTGGCTTACACCTGTAATCCCAGCGCTTTAGGAGGCCGAGGCGGGTGGAACACGAGGTCAAGAGTTCAAAGCCAGCCTGGCCAACATGGTGAAACCCTGTCTCTACTAAAAATAGAAAAATTAGCCGGGTGTGGTGGCAGGCGCCTATAATCCCAGATACTCAGGAGGCTGAGGCAGGAGAATCGCTTGAACCCGGGAGGCGGAGGTTGCAGTGAGCCGAGATCATGCCACTGCACTCCAGTCTGAATGACACAGCGAGACTCCATCTCACAAAATACATAAAATAAAATAAAATGCTCATTCACTTGGATCTGCCAGTCCAGAATCAGTGGGAATTCAAGATGAGGCATGAATTGAACCTTGAAGCTGTAGAATGGGAGACGCCTCTGCCCAAAAGGCACAGTGGGACATGGGCTGTTACGGGGCACTGCTTCTTTTGGCAGCGCCTGGGTTTCTCTTTCTCTTATTTTACAGATGTTTCAAAGCATGGCCCTTGTTTCTGTAGCGGTGGGCCTCGGGCTTCCTGACGGAGCCACACGCAGCGGGGGCAGGACTCCGGGCGCCTGCATCAGCCACAGCACAGCTGCCCTGCTTCAACCTGCTCCCCTCATTCGGCTTCCACCAGCAATTTCATTTAGAGAATGGGTTTTGATGTGAAAAAGAAAAATGTCGAAAATTCCTAGGGCATCAATTCTCCCTTAAATATTAGATACAGGATTTGAAAATACTAAAATTACTTTTCTTTTTAAAAAAGTTTTCTATACCAGACTACACTAAGACAACTTCCTTCAGGCCTCCCTCTGGTCCTGAGTTCTGCTCCGCTGTCCTCCATTCCTTCCAGCTATGCTCTCCCACTTCTGTGCTGCGGAAAAGGCTGCCTTCCTGGGGCACGTGGACCCATTCTAACATCGCTGGCACACCCACTGGTCTTCTGTAGGAAGCTGCGGCTCCTAGGAGGTAAAGTCCTCCGGTCTGTACAGGGCGTGGTTCATATCTGGGCCAGAGGAGAAGGGGCCTGGGGGCCAGCTGAAGCCACTGCAGTCTGTACTCCACGGGGCTGAGCCATGTGCTGCCAGGTCTGATGTCCCTGTTCTAGACTAGTCTGCCACTGGGCCTCTGGGTGTCTCCAGCTCAAGACCTCTGGTCTCTCCCTCAGAGCTGCTGGCTTCCAGAGCTGCTGACATAGGAGTTCTTCAAGCTGCAGGCCACCTGATACCCGCCAGAGCAAGCTGGGTGCAGTGAGGACCAGTCATACGACTCTGCCCAGAGCCAAACTCAGTGAGCCAAGTCCCAGGGAGCCAGAACGGAAAGGGCCATGCCCAGTAAGGCTGCCCAGTGGGGTGGGAACATGGGTCCAAGCTTACTAGCCCAGCTTCTCACCTCTCAGGGAACCAGCATCCTCCAGAGAAACCTGCCCATTGTGCCCCTGAGACTAAATTCAAAGTCATGGACAAGATGGATTATGTAACCAAAGGCAACTGTTCCTCTTGGCCTCACTCCAGAGCTTCATTATTAAAAACAGCTAAGACCATTCACTGAGTTATTACTACATTCCGGACATTCTGCTAAGCACTTTATATACATATTTGAGCCAATCCAAGCCAGTCATACCTAAATTTTAAGTACTATTTTCTCTATTTTATCAGTGTGTTAGTTAACCCATGGCAAGGTTAGGTAACTGTCAGGGTCACCGTCAATACAGGTGAGCCCAAGTCTGAATGGCCCCATTCAATCTATGGAAGAATCAACTGCAATCATACTGCTTCATGCTCAGGGAAGCCCACTGTGGCTGCCATCTGTGCACCTTTAATGTCCCCCACCACCATGCCTCCCCCAACCACGTTGTTTCCAGTTCTCCACTCTTCCCTGTCCTCATCAATCTCCTGTGACTCTTATTTTCTAGGAGACACCTCCAGAGTTGCTTCTCTGCAGGCTTTCATGTAGAACAAGTGCTGCTCCGACAAAGTCCTCAATGGGCTCACAAGGAACCTAACTTCGAGGGGCCTCAGTTTCGTACTCAAACTTGTAGGCCCATCCACGTTCATGTCTGCATTCATGGCCACAGTCCAATATTTGATGATCCTAGTGATATCTCTAGGGGGCCAAGAATAGATAAAATTGTGCTGTGTGCTCTGTATGCCTTGGATAAATTCCTAATCTCCTTGTGTATGTTTCCTCATCTACAAAATGGTGAGAATACTTGTACCCACTTCACAGGGCTGTTGTAAGGATTAAATGAATTAACACACACAAAGCACTTTAAACAGTGCCAAACTCAATAAGCATTCATTATTAGTGGTAGTAGTATTGCCATTTTATTATTCTTACCAAGGCAGGAAAGTATGCAACACGTTTTGGAAAGAATTCTATCATGAAGGTAAAATTTTTGAAGTGCTTATGATCAAAGGGCTCATCTTTGGGTATGTGAGAAACAAGCTGGCCCAGAGACTTGTACCCCCTGAGCTGCAGGATAACAGCAGGATAGCACCAGAAGGCCACAGGAGATAAGAGATGAAGGTCCAGGGAGTCATCCAGTTACATGGTCTTTCTCAAGTTGCCAACATAAATCCCCTACTTAGGAATATTCCTTTTTCCAAATGGTTAGATGGAACTTTTTAATAAGAAAAACAGCATGATATCATAATCACTTTTCCAATGGTTTCATCTTCACCCACCATCCTACGCCCTTGCTCTACTTCCCAAAGACAGAGACTGGCCTCTGGCCTTCCAGGAAATCAGACCCAGCCTCCACTATGGATTCACTGACTGCTACCATTGCAGGTCCCAGTCTAGGGAGGGAGTGGCCAGAGAACACGAGCCTCCTGGTGGCTCCGTCACAGCTTACCCAAACCACAGACCAAAGGGTTGTGCTTGCTAGATTTTATTTTTATCATGACCACAGCTGCTGTGGAGTCTATCTGTTCTGAACACTACAGTAATAAAGATTTGTCTTTATTAATGAATTAGTTTAATTCAAAAGAAATCTTTAGACTTCCATCTCCAGCCAAGTTGAAATAAAGGAAACCATTTTTATTTCCTTGGCTGAAAAAATTAAAAACAAGACAAAATATTGAACAACATTGGACATCAGGCAATGAAAGGCAGCAATTCCGGAGAGATGGGAAGCAAAGGAGGTGAGCCCTGTGACTGCCTCCGTTTACTGGCTGGAGAGAGTTTCCAGGCCCCTGAGATAGGAAGGAAGAAGCCAAGAGGATGTCAGTTTCAGAGATGGAGCTAGGAATCTGGGGAGATCAAGGCCTCTAGAGGGTGCAGGGCAGAGTACCAGAGAGGAGAGAGCACCACTGAGAGGAAGCCCCAGAGGTCTGCAGGGGGTCTCCCTGGACTCTTCAGCTGAATCCTGATCCATGCATAAAGGTAAGGAACCTACTCAAGGTTGGGAAAAGAAGCACCCTAAAGGATTAGAGAGAACAGTCCACAGAGCCAGGAATTGGTCCTATTCCTACCAGCCAGAGTATAAAACTTTATCATTCATGGGGCATCAGATAGAGTACTCAAAAGGGTCTTCCCTCAATAGTGGGGGAAAATTAGTCCACAATGAAATGCAGTTCTGGTCCTATCTAACAAAGCTTAAGAGACCCAAAGGATCAAACTTAACTACATCCCTAACAAAGCTCAAGAATATTTATAGAAATACAAAAATATTGTGTACCCAATAAGGTAAAATTTACAATTTCTGTAATGAATAAAAAATTTTCAGGCATGTATAAAGGCAAGAAGATATAGCCCATAATAAGGAAAAAAACCAATCAACTTAGACTGAGAACTGACAGAGATTATAGAATTAGGAGACAAGGACATTAAAAATATTATTATACTATTAGAACAGCTAAAATCCAAAACACTGACAACACCAAATGCTAGTGAGGATGTAGAGCAACGTTCACTGCTGGTGAGAATGCAAAATGGTACAGCCACTTTGGAAGAGGGTTTGGTGGTTTCTTAACAAAACAAGAACAACAACAACAACAACAAAAGCCTGGACATACTCTTACCGGATGATCCTGCAATCTCACTCCTTGGTATTTACCCAAATAAGTTAAAAGTTTATGTCCACACAGAAACCTGCATATGGCACATGGGTGTTTACAGTATCTTTATTCATAATTGCCAAAACGTGGAAGCAACCAAGATGTCCTTCAGTAGGTGAATGCATAGAAGCACAGAGGAACCTAAAATGCATATTGCTAGCTGAAAAAAAAAAAAATCTGAAGAGGCTATACACTGCCTTCACCTTAATCCCAACAAAAGTGACAGGGAAAGAATACAAAAGGCAAACACTCATAATTACAATGAGAATGGAAGAAGAAATGGCAGACGGTGAGAGCGATCCACATGCTTTGGGGAAGTTGAGAAGCAGTTGGATGAGCGGTAACTGACTTGGCAGAGTTTAGAACCCTGAAATCAAAGCTAGAAAGTGGAAAAATGAAAAAGAAGCAAGCCAATGTGCACCTCAAGCCTCAGCAGGGCTTAGGAATCAGAAACATCAGATATCTTTGAAAGCCAGAATGTGGGGGCGGACAGAAAACCACAGGATTTGTAAAAAGTCTTCATAAAGAGCAGTTATACCCCAAGCCTGTACTATCCAGCAATGGTACCTGTTCACCCAAGTAGAAGAAAGGAGGCTTACTCTCTGCAGAAGGTAAATTAGAGAGGCTCTGGATTTGGAGATACCAACAGTAGCTCAGAAGATGGTTGAGACTTTTGATTCTGAAAGTGGGATTAAGTGAAATCCACATGCTTTACTGTGAGTCAGGCTTGTACATCCAGACATACATATGGCTGACATAAGATTCCTCTTGGGGAAACTGACCAGCCCAGGAGACAATACCTACAGATATCCACATCTGGGGGTCTCCTAACAAAACATGGCTGAATACAGAGAAGGTTGGAAGACCATGAGGTTCATGCATGAACTAGAGCTTCTAATTAATTTTTATGTGACTCATACCAAAATAAGTATGAGTAGCTAAGGATCACCTGCCTTCTGAAGAACACCTCTAAAGTCAAAGACAAGGAATAAGACACATTAACAGAGAAAAGGCACTGGGAGAAAAGAGAGTACAAGGGCAAAAGAAAATGCCAGCAAAACTTATAAATAATATTCTCAAAGTGATAGAAGATATTGCACCTGTGAAATGGAAAAGGGAAACTTAAAAGGGGTATATGTTCAAAAACAGGTTAAAGATTTGATAGCAAAACTTAGAAATTCAATGGAAACTTTACAATGTTTTTTTCACAAAAGTCACTCAGAAAGTTAAAGAAAAAGAGAAATGAGAGAGATGGAGAAAGAGAGAGAGATTCTGATTGAAAACCAGAGATAAACAGTAGCACTAGATTAGTCCAGAGGTCAAACATCTGAATAATCAAAATCCAGAAAGAGAAAACAGAGAAAAGGGAGAAAACATTTTTAAAGAAATGGTAAAGGGAAAATTTCCCATAACTGAAGGATATAACTTTCAGATTAAAATCACTCATGGAGTGCCCAGCACAGTGAACGTAAACATATACACATACAGACACATAGACACAGGCACTTACACACAGGCACACAGACAGACACACAGACACAGACACTTACACACACAGACACAGGCACACAGACACACAGACATAGGCACTTACACACATAGTAACACAGACACAGGCACTTAGACACATGCACACACAGAGACACAGACACAGGCACATACAAATCATACAGAGGCACACACAGACAAAGGCACTTTATCATAGAATCCAGAACACCAGAAGTAAAGAGAAGACTCTCAAAGGGCAGGGGCTAGGGGAACAGGTCACATACAAGGATAAAGCATCAGTGGCATCAGACTTCTCAACAGCAATACTAGAAGCTAAAAGACAATGAAGCTCCTTCCCTTGCCTCCCAGCCATGGCAGGTGCAGCTCCATGAGTGAGTCCAGTGGCCTCACCTGCAAGTGGAGCAACAGCAGCAGCCTCACTAAGGAGACCACCAGATCACCTCTTCCTGAGGCCTGACCATGTCAACCTACCGACAGACCTGTACACAGCCAGTGTGTCTTCCTTCCTCCATCATACGCTCACCTTGTCAAAGCTCCCAGAGAGGGTTTCAACAAAGGATTTGGTTTTAAGTTGGTGAAACGAGGTAAAAGCAAAGTCATGTGGTGGCGTGGAATTCTTAAAGTCTGGTTCATCTAATACAGACACTGGTAAAGTTACTGGGATCTTGGAGTCCAAATATAAATGGTGCAAGTATGATTTGACTTTCACAGAAAAATGGAACACTGATGACACTCTGGGGACAGAAATCACAATTGAAGACCAAATTTGTCAAGGTTTGAAAATGATATTAGATACTAGCTTCTCACCAAACATAGGAAAGAAAAGTGGCAAAATCAAGTCCTCTTACAAGAAGCAGCGTGTAAAGCTTGGCCGTGATGTTAACTTTGATTTTGCTGGACTTGCAATTCATGGCTCAGCTTGCTGGGTACCAGATGAGCTTTAACAGCACCAAGTCAAAGCAGACAAAGAATAACTTTGCAGTGGGCTACAGGACTGGGGACTTCCAGCTGCACACTAATGTCAATGATGGGGCAGAATTTGGAGGATCAGTTTATCAGAAAGTTTGTGAAGATCTTGATGCTTTAGTAAACCTTGCTTGGACATCAGGTACCAGCTGCACTCGTTTTGGCCTTGCAGCTAAATTTCAGTTGAAACCCATTGCTTCCATTTCTACAAAAGTCAACAACTGGTTGACTGGGGTCAGCTACACTCCACCCCTGAGGCCTGGTGTGAAGCTCACCCTGTCTGCTCTGGTAGATGGGAAGAGCATGGATGCTGGAGGCCACACACTTGGCCTTGCCCTGGAGTTGCAGGCTTAATCCAGATGAAAGAAACCTCTGGGAATGGATAGCAGAAGATTTGGCCTTGATGTATTTCCATTGTGACGAGCAGGCTTTTTCCCCCTGAGAAGGTGATCAAAATGAAGGATGATCTAAACAAGAGCTGTATTTTAAATCTTTAGACAGTTACTTGTTAGCTGCTTTCTAGCTGAATAAGCTCTCTCTCTCTCTGTAGTTACCAATGCTGCAGTCCTGCAGTTACCTGTACATTGTTTAGATGTATATAACTGTTAAATATGCTACTCACCAATCATGAAATAGACTTTTATGAAAACTGCACAGTTGTGTGCGTGTTTGTTTTTATGTTCCTTTAAACATTGAATATTGTCATTGCGTGAGATGAATCAGTGGACATTTTAAGATGAGGTTTAATTTTTTTGTTAAATTCAACCACCATTAGAATTACTTTTGGTATCCCAGAACATTACAAATCATGAATAAAACAAGCATATAATTAATGGTTCCAAAGACCTGCCAGCGAGGGTCAAATCGCCCTGGTATCTTGCTAATACTTTATTTTTCAGGTGAGCATTCTGCTGTTTGCCTAAATCTGTCCCTAGATTAGTTCCATGAACCTTTTAAGACTACAATAAGAGGGTACATGCTTTTAAAAAAATTTTATAATGAGGAAATGTCTCCACATTCCGAAGAAAAATGACTACTAGCCTAGAATTTTATGCTCAGCCAAATTCAAGAATTTTATACTCAGCCAAATTCAATCCAAGATGAGGGTAGAATAAAGCTATTTCAGACATACATGCAGGCTGACTGGGTGGGCCCTCCAGCCTGTCAATCTACCCTGATGTGAGACGGTGAGGTGGTAGATGACGTGTCCCTGGGGGCTGGTTTTTCAGGGGATGGCAGGCAAGAGAAACATCTGCATACAGCGACTGCTTGGGAGATAGGACCCCTGTGTGGGGGCAGGAACAATACCCCAAATACTGCTCCACTAAGGGAAGTTTGGAAGCCTAGGCGATACTGTTTGCTTCTCAAAATCACTAGGGGATGCTAGAGCCATCAGCTCCCTAATGACCAGGGTGCTAAATGTTCTACAATGCATGGGACAGTCCCTCAACAGAGAATTGCTCTGCCCGTAGTCCCAAAAGCACATCCTTGAGAAATCCTGAATTAGATACTTTCTTTGGCTTTCACTGTGAGGCTGCTTATACTTGAAGTGGGGCTGAGTGGGTGTAGAATGCTATGGGGGTGGGCTGGGTGTGGTGGCTCACGCCTGTAATCCCAGCATTTTGGGAGGCTGAGGTGGGCCAGTCGCCTAAGGTCAGGAGTTTGAGACCAGCCTGGCCAACATGGCGAAACCCTGTCTCTACTAAAAGTACAAAAATTAGCCGGGCGTGGTGGTGGGTTTCTGTAGTCCCAGCTACTCAGGAGGCTGAGGCAGGAGAATCGCTTGAACCCGGGAGGCAGAGGTTGCAGTGAGCCAAGATCACGCCACTGCACTCTAGCCTGAGCGACAAGAGCGAGACTCTGTCTCAAAAAAAAAAAAAAAAAAAGAATGCTATGGGGGTTAGTCGGGTGAGGTGGAGAAGACAGCTGAATTGGGGAGAAAGAAGGAGAGGGAAACTATTGAAACTATTCCAGGATATAAAATACAATGACTGACTAGAATAAACAGGTATGCCTGACACCCATGAGTCTACTGAAAAAATTCTACTATTGAATTCTTTGTGGCTATGCCCAGGTTTGTAAAAGGTTCTGTAATTGTTCTGTGCCGAAGTTCAGGTCTACACCCTGTCAGCATGCCTTGCCTGGACCACTGCTGCAGCTGCCTTTCAGGTCTCCCTGTTTCCAGTCTCACCTCTGCCCCTTCATCCATGACACAGTTGCCACAGTGATCTTTCAAAACACAAACACGAATCTTTCGAAATAGTACTTGGGGTATTGTTCATGTCCCCACACAGGGATCCTATCTCCCAAGCAGCTGCTGTATGCAGGTGTTTCTCTTGTCACTCCCCCACTAAAAGCTTTCAGTGGCCCCGCACTACCTCCCCATTCCCCAGGGAGTGTGCAGCCAAACTGGACTCATCCTGCAAGGTGCAGCTCCAAGGCCCCTGCTTTCTGAGGCTTCTTCCAGTCATCCCCTGCCAATGAGACCCTAACATTGTCCTCCTCTGTCACAGTACTCATCCACAGCATGACACGAGTGTGTTTTTGTCTTGTATTTCCCAGGAGCTCTTTATGGGCAGGGACTATTTCTCATCCTTCCCTGACCTCCAGGACCTGGCAAAGTGGTGTGCACAGGACGGGCTGAGCACTGCTGCTGTGCTCACTGAATAGAGTTGAGCCATTTCTCCCTCACAAGAAGGCTGAGTGCAGAGAAAGCCCAGGATCACTCCTGTCACCAGCATAATAAGCAAGGGTCCCACATCATGTCAGGCTTTCTCTGGGCAAGTGAGTCCTTCACAGCTTTTTTGAGTCACAAAGGCCACTGTGGAGCTGTAGGCAAGGATCCTACAGATAGGCTAATCCAATATCTGCATTTTGCAGATAAGGAAACTGGGTCCCAGCAAAGGCTGGTGCCTCACCTGAGGCTAGAAGGCTGCACACACCAGAATAGGACATGGTCTCCTGGTGTCCAGGCCAGTGCCCCACCAGCTCTCACCCTAGTGAAATGGGATTAATTGGAAACTGGTGACCATTTTTCCAGATAAAATGTGGGCTTCCTCACCCTATCCTCCCTTCTCACTGCCCTGGAAGCTATAGTGGAGGATGTGGGGCTTGGAGGGATGGGAGATAGACTTGGAAGGTGATTTGAGGCTTCTTTTATTTGATTTCATTTTTTGAGGTGGAGTCTCGCTCAGTCGCCCAGGCTGGAGTGCAGTGGCGTGATCTCAGCTCACTGCAATTTCTGCCTCCTGGGTTCAAGCAATTCTCCTGCTTCAGCCTCCCTAGTAGCTGGGACTACAGGTGCACTCTACCATGCCCAGCTCATTTTGTATTTTTAGTATAGACTCCACCATGCCCAGCTAATTTCTGTATTTCTAGTGTCACTATGTTGGCCAGGTTGGTCTTGAACTCCTGACCTCAGGTGATCCACCCACCTCGGCCTCCCACAGTGCTGGGATTACAGGTGTGAGCCACTGTGTCTGGCCCAAGACTTCCTTTTAACATTCGCTGTTGAGAGATCCTGAGCCTCATTCTACAGGCAATGAAGAGCTATTGAAGGTTTTTGAGAACAGGGTGACTTGATTGCAGCAGGGCTTTAGGCTGAAGGGAGAAGTGGGAAATGCAGGCCTCTAGGGACCTGGGCAGATCCACTGCCCCCGTAAGTGATTTGTCTTTGGCTTATGAATGCCTCAGCTAGTGGTGCACAGAGAAGGGGCAGAATGAGTCTCACCTGAACGGTGAGGTCTTTGCTGGAAAGTCTCTTGGCAGATGTAAAAACTGAAAGGGAAGATCCTGGATAAAGAACAACAGGGAATCTGTCCCTAGATTCTAGAATCTGAATTTAAGGAGGGTCAAGAGGTCAAGAACATGGTCTTGGAGTCATGGTGATAGTAACCGGGTCCCATCAGTGGAGGCTCGGACAGCAGCCAGCCCCTGGGAGCTTGAGCACAGAGCTGGGCAGCTGGGGGTGTGGACTGGGGCCCAGAAGACCTAGTTCCATAAGGGAGTATCATGAGGATACTCTATATTGTCCTATACTTTGTGTTTTCTCTAGATTTATTTTCCTTTACAAATTTAGTAATGTATCTTGTTAAACATCCAGCTTGTCTCCGCTGGCTCTAGGAACCAAGGGTGCCTATGGGGACTCCTGTTGGAGGCAGTCTGCAAAGGAAGAGCAGCTTCCTAGACAGTGGAAGGACAGGGCCATTGAAGTGAGGGCTCCAGAGGGAAGAGCAGCTTGGTCACCTTCGCCTCCTGATGGAAGTCTCCCTTCAACACTGGGGATTTTATTAGGGGAAGTGAGAAATCCCTCATCACTGCCTGCTGTGCGGATGTCAAATCTTAGACTCAGTTTTGTTCTACTAACCACAAACCCCCCTGATTTTATCACCATTCGAGCATAGTAATTTTTTTTTTAATCTGAAGTAAAAATGCGCTGTTCTAACAATAGGCAACTAAAAACACAAAACAAAACAATCTTTCCACCCCCAATCTAGTAGTCTAAAAAAAATGACAGGCAAATCGGTCCCTTTAATCGAGTCCACCTTTTAAAAATTGAATCCTAAGTGTGGACATCTAGCTTACTGGTCTGATGTTTTCCTCATGAAGATCTGTGACATGTGTTCAAGTGTCCTCCGTCCCCTGGGATGTCATCTTCTAGGCTGGTCACCCTCATTCCGGCTCTAAGGACTCTCCCACTGTCCCTGTTCCCATCATGCACCTCCTCCTTAACCCTTAGGACTGCGGCTTCCAAACTCCAGGGCACCTGAGAACTATCTGGACATGATTCCCTGGCCCTTCCTCAGCCCTTCCGCAGTCCCTCTAAATCAGAATCTGAGGGCGGGATCCTGGGAGTCTGCATTTTGAACTAGCACTCTAGGTGATTTTAATCAGGCACCAGAGGACCAAAATGAAGGTTGCTTCTTTACTGATGAATCGCTTTGTTTAAGCACCCGTACTCACATATCTAGACTACTGTTTATTAACTGTCGACATAGTGCTAGGGTCTTTACTAAGTTTACCTCCTCTAATCCTTATACTAACTGCAGCAGGTAAGCATCCCCATTTCTATAGCCACAGAAAGAGAGCTTGTCAAATGTCACAGGGTTAGGAAATGGCAGGGTAAAGTCCATCCAGCTCCCCAGCCCACTCAGTTCTCACTCTCAGTGCCTGTTCCCTCTGCAATGGAAAAGAGAGAAGCCCAAGAGGAAGCAAGCACTGGGCTCTTTTCGCAGCCTCATTCACTTCAGCCTCTCCCTCCCTAGGCAGTAGGGCTATCCTCTGCCTGTTCTTATTGAAACTTATTATTTTTCAGACAACTTCCTTCACGGCTTAAGCATTCTTTTAAAAATAAATTGTTTTTAATGACTTGGGATGGGGTCTCGCTATGTTGCCCAGGCTGGTCTTGAAATCCTAGGCCCAAGCAATCCTCCTGCTTTGGCCTCTCAAAGTGCTGGGATTATAGGCGTGAGCCACTGCTCCCGGCCAACTTGAGTATTCTTGACTTATTCTTGGCAGAGTGAAGCCTTTTTCATGATGGCCTTTCCTTCATCTTTTCCCTTGCAAACCTGAATGGCCCGCAGAGTTACACTGATATCGTCAGGGTTCTCCCTATCCCCCTTTGGACTCATCAAGGGTAAGTCTGAATGGATAGTTTTCCATTTGGAACGTCCTCTCATCAGGAGCATTTGGTATGTCTGGATTTCATTTCTCCAACTTCTGACAACCTGCATCCATGCTGCAGGCAAAGAGGCTGAGCTCCCGGGGCCAGGAGTCTGATTCCAGTGGGGCTGACTTTGCTGGCCATGCCTGGGGGTCCAGTGGGCTGCTGCATTTTCAAACAGTCCCTACCCACTGCCCCCACAGGAAAGTGGTAAAGGGCTCTGCAGTCCACCCTCAGGACACCAGAACAAAGGGGGTCCTAAGTTAGCCTTGGGGGTGCACCTGGGGACTGTGGGCAGGAAGGATATATTGACACAACAATATGGGGTGCAACTTTAAATTCCAAACAAATTGTCCCAAGCTCTTTCAGAGGAGTTCTAAGGAGTAGAACCAGCCTGCCTAGCAGGTGTTCTAATATTTGGGGGCTCTATGAAGAACTGAGGAAGGAAGTCTACACTTGCTGGGAACATCCGAAATTGTGACCCTGATGGGAAGAGGAGATTCTCCAGTGGTGAGGGGCATGGTGGAAGGTGGGCCAACAGGACCATCTGGGACCAGAGGGCAGTGAAGCCCACGTGGTTGGAACTTCAAGGCCCAGCTTCAGAGTTGCAGTGACAGCAACTCATGCTGTCAACGGGCAACCACAACCAACCCTGAGGAGGTGCAATGGAGGAACCACTAAGGAGGCAGGTAATACCCAGCTCACAGGACTGGCAGTCTGCAGTTCTACCTTACTGAGGAACATGGTGGGGGCGGGAGGAAGGCAGAAAAAAACAGGGGGAGGGTCTTGCCCTGAGGCACCCTGTCCTCTAGTTCATGGGTTGGAAACTCCAGCCAGTGGGCCAAATCTGTCCTGCTGCTGGTTTGTGAACAGCCAAAATAGGCTGGATTTTAAATGATTGGGGAAAATCAAAGGAATATTTCATGCTACGTAAAAATGACATGAAATTCGAATGTCAGTGTCCATAAATACAGTTCTATGGGAACAGCCTTGTGTGTCATTGATGGCTGCTTCTGTGATACAACATTGGTGGAATATTTGTGACAGAGACCCGCAAAGCCTATGATATTGACTATTTAGGCCTTTGCAGAAAAAGATTGCTGCCTCTGGATTCAGAACAACCCTCATCATGTCCCCAGTAAGTTATTTCTCTAATTGGTTTCCACCGTGGTGGGGTCAGAGACTCACCCGAGCTGATCCCCCGTGGCTGAGCAGGGTCTCTCTCCCTGCCCTCTTTCACCAGGCCTGGACCGCTGACCCTATTTGAAGTCACTAAATGCTCTTCGGGTGGAAGAGGCACTTGTCTCACAGGAAAACACAACCATGTTAGGGACTGTGAGTGTGTCCCAGGTCCAGGGCTTGCATGGTGGAGGAACCTCTGAAACAGCAGCTTTGGAGGGAGGGCACGCCCCTGCCATGCAAAGTCCTCTTTGTTGATCAACACCATTATTAGAAATGTGCACATCCCAGCAAAACCAGCAGGTCACACATTTACAAAAGTGCCTGCCACACTAGAGCAGGAGGGTTCTGGGCCTTTTCAATGTGCAGATTCTAATTCCTGGTACAGGGAAGTTGCTCAGTGAAAGGACAAAATGACTTCAGTGTATAGAGTTTGCCACAGTCCTCCGGAGCAGTACCTTTCATTCTCTGCTTACCCTCAGCAGAGGAGTGGGAGAAGTGGGTCTGAAGTTCTGGGGAACTTCGGTGAGTTGGCAATACCTCAAGAGTGAGGCTAATGGGTTGCTTAGTAGGAATTATGATGATATTGCAACCCACAGGCCAATGGGCATCAGGGCAGTCGGCCAGGACAGAGCACTGGCCAGTGCCCTAGGCTCCCAGCCCAGCAGCTGGACACGGTCCACACTGTCTTGGCGCCAGGTGTGAAACTGCCAGCCCAGGCAGCTGTGCAGGCTGTGGTGTGTTGCTCAACCTCTCTGAGCCTTAGTTTCTCTTCCGTTAAGTAGTGGGTGGAGTAGGGAGAGAGACTACTGCCCTTAGCTGGCAGGGCTGTCACGAGCATCGTGAAAGTGTGTATCATGCCCTTAACTGGCCTCTTTAGGTCTTAATAAATTGTAGCCAGTGTTTTTACTTCCTGATGTCCAGCAGAACCAAAGAATCTGTGGCACACATATGTTAATGCTTTAAATACCACTTAAGACATTTCTCTTAACTCCCAAAGCAGACTGTAAACTCCTCTAGAGCAGAGGATATCAAGTAATAGATACCGTCTACGGGCACCCGGTACTGGGCTTGGAGCTTTATTAAAAAAATACCTGGCTTTCCTAATTCTTAGGAGCCCCAAAGCCGGCATCATCATCACCTGCATTGTACCCACAAGGGCACTGGGCTTGGAGCGGTTTATGCAATCACAAGGGGAGCAGAGGAGCATGCTGAGCTGGAGTCTCCAGCTCCAAAGCTCCAGCTCTTCTGCCCCACTGCCTGTCTGTAAAGGGCTCCTCACTTTGAATCCCTTGAACCCTACTGGGCACCAAACTGCCACTCAAACAGCAAGCCAGAAACCTGGCCACAAGCCTCTGGTTTAATGTTTCCTAAAGGAGGGACTGTGCCCGATTCAGCAGCATCCAAAATTCAAAAGGCAAAGTCAAAGAAGAGTTCATTTCCTTTCAGTAATATCTAAAGTAGGATGGAAAATAAGCCTGCTGAAAAGCTGCCTCTTTTGCCAGAGCTAGAGAGAGAGAGGGAGCACCTCTCCTGCTGTTCCTGGTCAGATCAGGTGAAGGCCAAGGAAACTGATCTCTCACGGTAGGGGGAGGGGATGAAGGGCACAGGGACAACAAGGTACATGCAGTTGACTTAAGAGCAGGGAAAAAACCACAGAGGAATGTTTTGTGTGGGATCCTGAGATAGCAGGGGATATGAGGACCAGAGGCTGCCGCAGACCATTCACAGCCACCCAAGCGCTGCTTCTCCCAGGCTCCCGCTTACCTGAGCCAATGTAAAGATTCTTTTCAAAAAAGTCTTTGCTAGCTGTAGTGTTTATTTAAGGATAAGATGACCCAACTTCCACTATATTTAGTGCATGAAAAACCACAGGTGTTTGACTCCAGGAACTGCTTAGGGTTGTGCTATTAGTTTTCTGACTCCCCTCCCTTCTTGGTTTCATTGTTTCAGCATTGCAGGTGAGCTGGTTTCCTGACTTCTGCAAAAGCCCTCCTGCACTCCCCCGCCCTCCTCTCCAGCCTGCAGGTAGTTTAAATACCCCCATAGTACATGGCTGCCTGGATAAGGTGTGGGGGAAACTGTGATGCTGTTTCCATTTCAATTCTAATTTAAAATGCCATGCCAACCACAATAGGCACCCTATTTTAACTTCATCAGTTGGCTTAATTTTTAATTTTAACTAATCAATTTAATCAGTGGCTTTGTCCTCCTCCTCATTCCTCTTGAAAGGCTTCTGTTGGAAGGCAGGATATTTGCTCTCCCGTGCCTCTTCCATGTGCCACCCTGTAAAATGCAGGACAAAGACAAAATAGCATACTGTAAAAGAACTGACAGCTGGAGCCTGGGAGTCAGACACCCCAGAGCCAGGTGCTGGCTGCAGCAGCTGTATGACGTTTAGGTTTCCTCACCTGTAAACCTAATCATCCTATCTCAGACTTTTTGGAAGATTAAATGCTAATGCTTAGCATGGGACCTGGTGCTCCATGAGCATTCCCCAAACATGTTAACGAGCCTGCAATGGGTCCCCCCACACCTGATTCACAAAGGGAGGGTTGTCTGAGGAAAGCTGCTGGTTTGTCCAAGGAATTCCTTTCCTGGATAAGTGGAAACGGATCTATTACCAGGCAACTCAACACCTCTTAGGCCCTTGAGAGGGGGCTGACATAAAAACTAATATTTGCAGGGTGAGTTATAGTTTACAGAGTGTTTTCAGTGTTGTAATAGTGGGGGAACCAGGCTTTGCAGTCAAATCTTTGTGCATGGGCTCTGTCTCTTACAAGATACGTAACCCTGGGCAACTCAGAGGCGCACTGAGCCTCTGGCTCCTGTGTACAGTGGAAACACTGCTACCTAGCTCACGTTTCTGAGACCTGCAAGCTATGTATATGCAATGTGTACTTGGTCAACCTAAAGCCTTAGTCTAAAGTGAGGAGTTCTCATTCCATTTTCTCATGGGTTTAGTTCCCAACAGGCCTCTTGAGAAAAACCTCATTTACTATCCATATGGAAGGGATGGATTGAAATGGCTGAAAACAGCCTGGCCAAAGTTGCTGTGGTGCTGCCCGTCTCCATCTCTCTCTCTCTCGAACACTATAGCCTCGGATACCTTTTTTCCAGGGAAGCACCCGAAAGAAAGGCAGCGACTCCAGCTTCTCATGCCTTTCCCTTAGGGACATTTCCCATTTTCGGAAACTTCCTAAGTAAAAGGTGGCCCTGGGATGGCCTGCTGTGGTGAAAATGCCCTGAGCTGGGAGACCTGTGATCCAGTCATGGCCAGAACAGGTAGCCTGCGTTGCTCTGAGCTGGGTGAGGAATGGTATGAAACCAAGCCTCCCGACAGGCTCCAGCTCCCTAGATTCTGGGCGGCACTGACAGAAACCTGCTTGAGAGAGTGATGACAGTCAGAGTACTGAGGAGTGGCTCACCGCCAGGGCAGCACATGCTTCTAGGTAGCATTTATCCCCAGGGAAGGACACAGTCCCGTGTTGCAGAAGGCACAGGGCCAGGAGGCAGGAAACCAGCACCGTGGCCCCAGGTCCAATGCCGTCACTTCGGACAGGAAGTCGCTTGACTCAGCTTTTAGGCAGGGAGCAGGGGTAGACCACTCAGCCCAGTCTGGGCACCACCCCTGACTTGCCTCTGACTCCACCTGCCATAAGTGCATACGGAGCTGAAGGCCTCTGGAGAGGATGAGGCTCCAGGCCAAGGTAAGGTGGCAGAATGGCACCATCACACTGAGGCTCTGGCTGCTCAGAGGTCATATGGAAAACCCCCACAGGTCCTGCTGATGCTCTCAGCATCTTCCAGCTGATACTAACCCCAGATTACAACCAAGCGCATTACTATCCCGCCCAGGCGACTACTCGGACAGTGAAGGAGAAAAAGAATCCCCGCTCGTTTAGAAGTGTACTTCTGGAACCCTAGAGGTCCCGGGTGGCAACGACGGGAGCTTCATTCCAAGGCTGAGGAATGAACACTTGGGGATGGCATGAGAGGAATTCTACTAAAACACCAGAAGGATAGGTCTGCCAGGAGGACTGGGTGGGTGGGGAGTTTGAAATAATACTGCTGAGCGTGAAGACTGCAACCCTTAGTACTGACCTTGCTCAGGGGCCAAGAGCTTGTGTTCAATTGTGTTAGTGTCCGGGACATGACTACTCATTCCAGGAAGCTGGGCACCAGCACATCCCACACAAGTTGTCCTGCGTATAAATATTGGTCTGGACAAGGGGACTGAAATGGTTTCTGGCACCAAAATGAGGCATTACAACACATTCAGGTAAATATCCAGGATTCAGCCTCTAAGTGGCTAATGGCCCAAGGACAAGTCCTCCAGGGAAAACCCATCCAGTTCAACATTTGAAGCACCAAATCTATGCCAGTTATGTGAAAAGTGGGCAGAGAATGAAGCACGCAGGTGTTCACAATGTGGGTGAAGAGCTGATGCAACCCAGTAAGAACACGAATAGAAAAAGCAGGAAGGGGGAGGTGGCAGACATAGGGCCTGGTAAGCCAGAGGAGGTGAGGATTAGCTGAGATTTTAGAAGCCTGCTGTGGGGTCACGTGCACGGAAGAAGCTGTGTGCTCCAGAACTCCAAGTAGGCCAGCTTAGTATAGTAGGTCAAAGGATAGGAAGGTAGACTGGGGCTAGCTAGCTCCAGACATCTGCTCTTGCACAGACATGTTGAGTCTGACATCTGCTCTTGCACAGTAGGGTCTTACACAGGTTTTAATGTATGGGAGGGGCCCAGGCACATCTGTTTTAGAAAAAGCCCTTGACAGAGTCAAGAAAAATAGAGACAAGACTCATGAAATAGCCCAAGCAAGAGCTGAAGGCAACCAAGAGGGCAGAGTCAAGGAACATTTCAGAAGGTACACGCAGTAAAAATGGGGAGGAAGAAGATCGTGGGGATGGCTGATGGGCAAGCATAAGATCAGAAAATTGCTCTTCAATGATCCCAATTCTTGTAGTGAAAAGAGAAGAATGTCACCCCAGCCTTCATGAACAGTTCTAGATCCAGACAGTGTCTAACCGATGTGAGTAGATGACTAGAACAGAGGTAGTCCATCATAAAGCTAAAGAGGCCACTGACATGGATGTGGATGGGCAGAATGAAGGGAGGAGTGAAGAGGCAACATGGAGAGTGTGAGCTGGCAGTCAGGGCTTAAGAGGAGTGAGGGTTACTTATTGAGTAAACATGCCAAAGAAGTGATTGGAAGGACTCCACACCTACCAGACTCCAGAGCATGCACATCCTTGGCTGAAAGGTTTGAGGAGGAGCAGGGACAGGTGGAGGCAAGGGGATGAAGGATTTTACACAGCCAAAGACATAAGTTTCATGAGGACAGTTAGGAGAATGCCATAGGATTTCAAAGAAATTCCACAAAGAAGGGAGGCCACGGAAGGGGCAAGACTTGGGGTGGGCAGGGGTTGTTGTGAATTAGATCAAAGGAATGAGGAGGAAGGTTGCTAACCAAAGTCTACAGCATCTCTTTATACCCTTCAAACATCTATCAACCACTCCAAGTATCACTTGTTCACTTCTATACTTCTTTAAAAATGTGAAGAAACTACAGTAGTTGTACATGTATGGCTGAAGTTGTTTTCTTTGTTGTTGTTGAAGTGGGCTAGGAGCTAAAGGGACTGAATTAAACAAGGTGCCAGCAAAGGCGAACTGCAAGACTACACCTGCCGTGGGTATTAGCTGAAAGGCTGTGGTCAACAACGAAGCCTAGTTTAAGTTAGCTGGGCACCTTGAAAAAGAGCCCAAATATTAAGGGATTTGTGGTCTCCAAGGTAACCACACAGCCCTCCCCCCTCAAAAAAGCATCTGTCCTTCAGAGAAGCATCCAAGGCTGATGTTGACAGCTTCCTATTTCTATTCAATGTTTCCTAAAACCTAAAATTCATCATTGAGAAGAAACAAATCAATGAGCATAAATGACAAGTTTTATTTAAATTTTAAATATACCTTTATTTCTCAAACTCAAAGCTTTATCAAGTTCTAACACATTTTGCATTGACAAGTGATTTTATCTGCATCAAGTAAGGTTAGTGACCACCACGAAAGAGGAATCCCCAGACCTCCTAGGCACTAAGAAATATTTCAAAGGCTATGCAAATATAGAACAAAAAGCTTTCAATTTAGTCTAATTGGTATCTATTTTTCATCTATATTAATTTGGAAATAAGTTGCTACCTTAGAAAAATTACATTTTTATCCATTAAAATAAAACACCAGATAGGTTGAGTTTTTTTAAAAACACCCACAGATCTGTATTTAGCTACTTCCTCTTTAGTAGATGGTCATCTCACCTTCCTATGCAAACACACACAAGAATTTGCACCAACTCTCACTAGCCCAGGCAAAACTCCAAGCATTTTATTTAGCTTACACTTCAATTATTTTTTTAAAGTGATAGGTAAACAAGATTTAGGCACTTGAACACACACACGCACACACACACACACACACAGTCTTTTATTTCCTGATCTTAACCTTAGAGTTCTCCACAAATAATCCTGAAAAGTTGCCAGATCTTTAAAAATACCTCTCCTCAACACCGCCCCCCTCCCCCACGACTTGGTCCTCTGATTTTAACTGGTTGAATTGGAATATGTTCCAAAGCGAGCTGTGAAATTCTAGTCTCTGCAAGATTAAGGATGTGAATCTAACCTTGGAAACTGGATTCTTACAAAGTCCACCCAGAAGGTTTTCCCTGACACAGAGCCCTGGTCCGACACCCAGGAAGGAATGGCCTCTATGAGCGTCAGGGTCTCGTCTCACCATTGGATAACTACTTTGCTCTCAAAAAGAGGACATTTGAGCTAAGAATATAGCTGTATCCCAATACAAGGCACCAACCAGTACCAGAAAGTAAACTACAAAGGAGTTATTCCTCAAGTTAGGAAGTTGCTTTTGAGTGGCACCATTTCCCAAAGTCAACAAAGCAGTACTAGTTAAAATCCTGACGTACCATAAGGGTAAGGGGTTAGTGCAGAGGTGAAGCTGAAGAATAAGCAGATTCAGGGTTTTAGCAATTTGATTATTAATGTGTCACCACAAAACACAAGTTCATACACAGCTTGCTGTGACTCAAACCCCAGTGAAAATCAAACTGGACAAAAACTGAAATGCCAAACTACATCTGTAGCATCTATCAGGAACTAAGCATCATCTTCCTTACCCAACTCACCCCATCTGCCAGGTCCCCCAGGTGTGGGCCATCCCACAGGCATCCCCATCAGGAACTCTGATTGGAAGGCATTAGTAATAGAGTTCAGTTTCAGCATTGAAATTATTGAATGAGGAATAATGTGTTACTGCCAAGGTAAGATTTAAAGGGGAGACTAGAGCTCAAGGTCAGGCATCTAGTGCGTGCTATTCTGCCAATGTGAGAGGAAAAGGTACTGTCTTCATCTCACTGATGCTCAACCTGACTCCAAGCAGCAGGCTAGGAGAACAGGCTGCAGACATGCCGAAAGCATCAGAAAAAGAGTCAAATCAGAGTCCCGAAACAAATAAGAGACTGCTTAACTTTAGATTAGAACTTGCATGTGAACTTCAGTGCTCTCTGCTACTGCCAAGTTTCATGTTACTCAACACACACACATACACACACACATAAAATAGGAACCACTGGACTCAGTATAAGCTCAGGGTACCTGGTGCTTGTGTGAGCATTAGGAAAGGCAGGTTTCAGCTAGAGTTTCCAGGGCCCTGAAATTCAAGGTTACCTCGCCTATTCTGAGGCTGGCAAAAGGCTCATAGAGCAAGTAGAGACATCACTAGCCCAGGGGTTGTGTTTTAAAAGTACAGCTTTGGTCAGTGCAGCTTTTAACCCTGATAGCTCTTGAATAGGTCTATTCTCAAACTACAAAAAGATCTGAGCTGACTAAAAAGGTCAGGTGAAGGGACTCCGAGACAACCATGGTGCAATGGTGGCAAAGACTGGGGACTGGGTCTTTCTCGCAACTTCTGTGCCTCCTTTCATTCTCAGAAGAGGACTATTACCAGATGGGGGGGAAAAAACATAAGCAGAAAGAACCCCAAGGACAAACTGGAAATTTAATTCCTTGATGCAGATCTTATCTTCATCTGGTGCCTCATTACCCTGGGCCCCAAGCCTTCTAAGTAGAAGAAATACTGATTTCTGTTAGGCAAGTGCTTATGTTGGTGGCTTCATCACATTTCAAAGCTTTGGTTAAACACATCGGTCATTTTTGTGCAAACACATGCCATTTGACCACCATGGCAGCTTTTTAAGGTCATGAATGACCAGATAGTTTCCAAAGTTGGGATCACTCTTCATTGGGGTTCACTCTTCATTGCCCCACTCTTAACACTGAAGCACACTGGGTCCCCTCAATTAGAACCGGCCTTGACTCAAAGCCACTGAATTAAAATATAACTAAGGCTCACAGGGAAACAGGAGCTGATTACACTAAGAAGTGGCTTCTAGTCACCTAATGTAGCACAACATAGATACCAGCTAAGCCTTGAGTTTCAGTCATGGCTGATCTGCTTTTAAGAGGACCAAGACATCACATTCCAGAATAAACTTGAAAATATACTTTTAGAAAAAAAGGTAAACCACTCATTTTCTACTAAGCTCTTTTGCATTAGGATAACTTCACTGCTTAAAGCAAGGAGAAAACAATCACTCCGGGCTTTGGGTTTTCATAGCCAAAGGAAGGGGGAAAAAAAAGATCAGGAGCATGAATTTGATTAAATCACTTTAGAACCCAAGCTGGCTGGCAATATTGAGTGTCTCTGCCCTGAAGTGATGCTTTCTAAGGGATCCCACAAAACATTTCAAAACACATAATCTCATCTAAATCTACTGGAAAAAGCCACAGTAGCCTAGAACTCTCTCATCTACTAAGCTTTCTTTCAACTACAGATTAACACTGTTTTTCTTCTAAAGTGCAGAATTATAAACAAGTCAAATCTACCAGAATAAGGAAGAGCATTCTCATTCACTCAATTCTTCCCAAATATACTGGAATGATTTCAAAGTGCCTTGGAAGCTCCAATGCACACAAGGCCAGACTTCATGCTAACCCCCCAGCTTCCCCTTCACACAGAGCACGAAGACAGCAGGTTAGATTCTAAAGCAGTTCCACAGGTCACTCAGTTCTACCGAAATTCCTGAATTGAGTTGCTGTCAAACACACCTGGAGAAGGAAGTCACTATTTTTGGAAAAAAAAAAAACGAAAAGAACAAAAACAAAAAATAGCTAAAGTACTCCAGAAGAACAGCTGTGTCATACTTGGAATGTGACCAAAGTGGGTTTCCAGTTAAAACATGGGAAGACCCTCATGTCAGTTACCACAATGACTCTGGACTCAGCACAATCCTCAGTCTTAGGAAGAATAAAACAAAATTCAGCCATGAAAGAGCTGATGAGGAAAAAAGAAAAAAAAGGCAGGGAGCCATTTAATAAGAATTCTTTAAAGAAAAAAATGAACATTCATGTTTCCTATTTACAATTATCCCCTTCCACTACCACCACCACAATTCTAATTAAACATTATGTTCCACATTTTATTTTGTTTTCAAGTTACATTTCAAGAAAAGGTCATTTTTTTTTCCCCTCAGCAATATCTCGCAATTCCTCAGGATAGTACAGCATGTAAACCATAAACCACTTTCAACCAGATCTCAATTCTCCAGCTATTGGCTTTGGTTTATTGATGAATGACATTCTCCACTCCGCTGACAGGGAATAAACATAAGCAATTTAGTCCCTTGAACAAAAATTAAGTCACAAGAGCACCCTCATGTTTACCATTTTCTGCCTGACTAAAATTGGTACAAGAGAAGAGATTATCAGCACAACTTTCATGTAACTGCTGAGAATCCCAAGTGAGGGCCAACACAGCCTACCCGGGCTCAAGTGAGAAAACAAGTAGCTTAGCACTTCTCACGCGCTGCCCAAATTCTCCCAATCTCGATTACTGCACAGAGCTCAACCCCCACGTGCTAATGTTTGGGACATGACATGTTAGTGTCTATCTTGGAAAGATGTGGATAGGTCATGCTTCCTGTAGCGTTTTCCAACGTGGCACTGTAATACGGGTCCTTTGAGGGTTGGCTCATGATACACTGTAGACCCATTCCAATGGGTACACAAAGGAAAAAAAAAAAAAAAAGCAGAATCAGAGCTGAGTTCCCCTTTAAAAGCCAAATGCCTACATCTAGAAGGAGGCTCCCCTACCTGAGAGCCCTAGCCCTATTGGGGTTCCCACTGTGGAAACCCTCAGGTCTCAAGGTTAGTTACAGGGCAGCCAGGTAGGGTAAGGCTGGCTGTAGGTGACTGGAGGATGGGCAACGTAGTAGTTGCTGAAGTTGCCATCACTGACGTAAGGGGCCGGCTGGTAGTAACAGGTGACGTTGGTGGCACTGGGGATGATGTTTTGTTCCGCCAGCACACGCAAGGCCAGGAGGGAGATGAGGTTCAGAGTCTGCCTGCGTTCATGCCCCATGAGACACACGGTGCTCTCGTTCACCACCCTGCGAAGGATCATGAGGTAGTCGTACTTGCTTCTCTCTTCTTCAGCGAAGTGGTTTTGAAGGTAAGTCTCCAACTTCCTCTGCTGTTCAAGGATGTCCGGGAAGTCGATGAAGAACCTGGAGCACATGTAGCGCTCTAGAGTTTTGATTTCTTCCTGGTCTGTGGGCCTGAAGTCCCGCACAAGAAGGTTGCTGTACTTGAGAAGTCCCCCGCCTCTGATTTCTTCTGGGTTCTTGGTGGCGATCAGTCTGTTCTGCAGATGGTCAAAAGCTTCCTCAAAGTCCCCGTACATGCTCTCCCCAATCACGGTGGGGTGGAAGTGCTCAGAGATGGGATTATTGGAACAGTCATAGAAGAAAAGCAAAGAATCCAGGATGATTTGGAAAGAGTCCACACTGAACTCAAACTGACGCCGAATGGAGTCGACAAACTTCAGCTCCACGTTCTTCCCGTTCTTGTTGGAGAGGGAGATCAGGCTCCAGCGGTCAGTGTCCGTGCAAACCTTCACTAGCTTCTGCACATATGCCTCCTTCAGAGTGACTGGACTGATTTTGAGCTTGTTCACACCCTCTGGCAGGAAGTTCAGAAGGGAACACAGAACCACATCTCTAACCAGCTGAAATTCTGCCTCTGTTGGAAGAGCCACATGGAAGATTAGGTCCAGGTCTTTGCAGCCCAAGCCATTGTCTTTGACCAAAACGTGGCCAGCTGCGGAGCCATTCAGCCGGACGTCGTGCACTTTGATGCCTGCCTCCTCCAGCCGACTGCGGACGGTCTGGACGATGTCCTTCAGAGTTATCTCCAAGGTTGGAAAGTTGCCTCGTCCGTGGATAGGTACAACTTCAGTGAGGACCTCATGCAGCCGGCTAACCTGATCCCAGTTGAGCACGCTGAAGGACATGCAATCCCTGGTACAGCTGCTCTCCTCTGCCATCTTCAGGGGATGTTCTGGCTGGGGAAACTGAAAGTGAGGGGTGAGAAGCAGAGTTAGGATTCACTTCTACATGGCAAAGCAGCTCGAGGAACTCACACTGTTTAATCTCTGAACATCTTCCTGTAAAATGGTGATAAATAGCACTTACTGCTCAGTGTTGCCATGAGGACTCAATGAGTTAAATATGTAAAAAACAGTGACACTGCAGAGAAGGACAAAAACACACAAACTCATTCTCTATTACTTTAGATTATTTCATAGTTTTGTTTTGTTTTTTCTGGGTAAGGGTGGAGTGTGCTGAAACGGAGTGTGTTTCAAATGTTCTGAAAACAGAATGTGAGCAAACCATATAGGACCGCAGTAGAATTAGTTACTCCTCCAGCTTTCTGGCTCCCTAACCACATCTCGACCTGGTTGACACCTAGGCTGAAGGTGTCTTATAGTGAAAAAGAGAATGTCTACATTCGTCTAGGCTACAACATTCATACACAGAATATACAACACACACAGACACAGACACACACACACACACACACACACACACACACACACGACTTCCTTCACTCCACAAGTAGATGGATTCTCAACTTTGGGCTACAATCTCACCAATAAGTGGGAATCCATCCCCTTCTACTAGAATAAAGTATATTCCCTTAGCAAAATTCCCATGTTCCTTTCATTTATAGGAGAAGTCTATCCTAACAAGTACTTGTCATCTAGGGTAGAACCAAGGAGTGGTTTTTATGACAAAATTTCGAGTCAACAAAAAGTTAGGTCACCTATGTAGTGGAACCACTCTTCCTAGCAAGGATGCCCAACACAGGACATGGCCAACTTCCCCCGGGCAGTGTGCGCCTTCAAGTGTACTTGGAAAACAATAGTACCTTAAAGCTACCCGAGGAGAATAAAGTTGGCAATGAGTACTAGGAGAAAAACACCACTTCATCTGCTAGGACCACAAAGTTTCCCAAGTAATTTTCAGCTATGTTATACTTACCAAAAAATAAAACACAATGGATCCCTGGAAATCCTAATATATAAAAACAAATACTCATATATTAAAATGTCAAGGTGCCTGTAGAGCCACGAGTCGAATATTTGCTAGATGGATGTAAAACCCAGAACAAAGTGTCAAGGCGCTGTCCTCAGATTTCACTGTAAACAGTTTTCCCACCCCCTCCGCCTTTCTGACTTGCTAGACCCACATAAAACCCATCCCAATGACTTCTGCAGTTTCATTGTTTGGAAGCTGCTGTGTTTGAATACACATCGGCATGCATTCTCCTGGGGTTCCAACATGGATTTCTGGCCTTGCACCGGTGCCAGGGATCTCCTATGGTTGTTACTTGGTTGTCAGGGCATTGCTGGGTACATGGAGATGAGCTCTTCAGGCTCTCCCATCAAGAAGAAGGTGAAAATATGAGCTATCAATACAAGGCAGTGTGTTGTGTAGACAACTCCAGTGGTGGAAATAAAATGTAATATAAAAGTAGAAGAAAGGGTGTCCCTGGTTGGGGTGAACAGGAAGGTCACGGAGTTCACTTATGGAGAGGGGACACAAGCCAACAGAAAGACAACATGAGCTGTTGGTTGGGGCCGAGAGGCAGAAAGCAGCGGGCTGAGTATGTGATCACAGCAGGCTCTGCAGGACCAATCTGGGGATGAGCGCTCTATTGCTCGCTACAGAGTACTCGTGGAGGGGAAGACAAAAGTGCCTCTGAACAGCGTTAAAAAGTCCTAGGCTATCTAGATCATCCTACAAAGCACTCCTAGGTTATGGATCCCAAGCAAAATCTGTGACGAATAATGTTTACTGTGACTGGCATTTGGTTTCAAGGCAGATTTGGGATAGTAGAGTTCTCTTTTTGCCATGCCCTTTAAACACTTAGCAGTTCTTTGTGGTCTCCCATGATTAGCACACAGTACATTTGTGTCCACTGTATGTGCCACACCAGTGGTCCCCAACCTTTTTGGTATCAGGAACCAGTTTTGTGGAAGACAATTTTTCCATGGACCTGGAAGAGGGGAATGATAGTTGCAGCATGAACCTGTTCCTGTTTCACCCTCAGATCATCAGGCATTAGAGTCTCATAAGAAGGGCACAACCTAGATCCCTCACATGCTCAGCTCACACTAGGGTTCATACTCCTAGGAGCATCTAATATGCTGCTGATCTGACAGGAGGCAGAGCTCCGGTGGTAATGCTCGCTCACCTGCCACTCATCTCCTGCTGTGCGGCCCAGTTCCTAACAGGCCACGGACTGGTATTGGCCCGTGGTCAGGGGGGTGGGGAACCCTGAGCTACACAATTAAGTTCTAATAATTACAGAAAGTTACGGGGCTGGCTTTACTGTGACCAGAGCTAGACTATGGTTTGGTGGCATGGGTTTTATAGATTTCAGGTATGTTGGTCTACCTGAAGAAATACAACTCACTTGCTAGTGTGAATCACCTGTTGTGCTTTCAAAGCTCATCTTTATGACACAGGCATGAGAAGTCACACGGAAACCAGAGGCTGTAATGCAAGCAGTACTTGAGATACAAGCAACAATTTTTTTAAAATCTCCAGCAAGAACCTCAATAATGTTACAGAGGAGAATAACTGTAGGAATGTATTCTGACTCAAGTCTTTTTTAAAGGAGTTGTTCAAAAAGACGTCATGTAGGATTAAAGTCAGGACAATGCCTACGCTACAATGGTGGTTCTGAACATTAGAGGAGGGACATCTGAGACTAGTGATAGCCTGGAAGCTATGAGCCTTTTTTTTGGTGGGGGGAAGTACACAGGGTTGAGAGTTTTCATATATTTTAAAGTATGTGAACTTCTAGTAGACTCAAAGTTAGAATTTGTTTTAGACAGAATTTGTAAGGTTCATATGGTAGGAGAGGCAGAAACAGCCAGAAAACATTGTGAAAAATAGGAATGATATGCACTAGCCTGTAACAGATATCACAAAACCACAATAATTGAAACAGCATGTTATTGGCCCAAAAAGACAAATCAATGGAACAAAATTTTTTAAATCTAGAAACAAAATCAGATATGTAAAGGGATTTAGTATATAATTAAAGGAGGCATTTCAGAATAGTAAAGTGAAGAAAAACATCTGGATGGTTATCTAAATTATCAAAAAGAAAAAAATGAAGGACTCCCTATTTCATGCCAAACTAAGATCTAGATTGGACAGATCAAAGACTGAATGTAAAAGCATGAAACTCTAAGAGTACTGAGGTGGAAATGCATTTATATATACTTATACAGAGTGGGTAGTTTTTTTTTAAATAAGTCACATAAAATCTAAAAGCCTCAAAAATTGCTATATTTGACTATATAATTCAAAAACACCATAAAGTCAGAAGGCAAAAGTAGGAAAAATATTTGTAACATTAGGCAAAGTACTCATTTCCATAATGAATAAGGAGCTTCAACAAATCAGAAATACCAGAAGAACCCCAACAGAGAAGACACAAAGGACACAAACTACATCTCAAACACCTATTACAGTCACAACCTTACTTAAGAGAGGGGCAGATTAAAACCTCAACGTATCATTTTTATCCATCAAATGGGCAAAGATCACTAAGTCTGATATGTGGGAATCAGACACCCTCTAGTATACTGCTTGTGGGCTCTCTCCGGACACAAGACACTTAATTTTAAGGAGATATACTCTTTGACATAGGGATTCTACTTCTGGTAAGTCTACTTTGAATTATATCCTTAGTATATTTGCAAGTATACACAAAATATTCATTGGAGAATTATTTATAAAGCTATAAGTATTCACCAATAGAAGATGGTTAAATGATCTGATGTGTGTATAAAACAATACAGAAACGCATGCAGTTGTTCCTACAGATTTGAGCATTCAGGGTTTGTTTTCAACAATTCGAGATGACAATTCAAGACAGCTGTTCTTTCTGTATGACTGTGAAATGCTTATCAAGACTCATTAATAGAAAAACAAGTTAATAGCAAAACTGCTAACAGCAAAACTGTTAAAGTCTGTGCTTACACAAGCATATAAAGTCTCTGGAAACATATGCAGGTAGTAGTTTTAGTCTGTACCAAATACTTCCTCTAGTTTAGGGGAAGTAGATTCAAAGTTAGAAGAAGAAAACTTATTTTGTGCCCTTTGAATTTGGAATCTATATATGTATTAGTTGAAGAAAAATTAAAACCTTATGATCCTAAAGCTTCTCCCTTAGGAGCCTTCTATTCACCTGCTGCCTTATTTAACTTCTTCAATCCCCTTTTTCCTTCCCACCCCTCCTCTCTACATTCCACATTCTGCATTCCCACATCCATGTGACAAAATTAAGTACACTTGGAAGCTTCACCTCCAAGATGTAAATGCTGATCTCTACAGATAAGGGGATGAACAGAGGAAGAGAGACTCTTTTCCTTTAGAATGCCTTTCTATCAAGTTTCTACTCATATACTTTTTAAAAAGATGCTCATTAAAAAAAAACCTCAGACTCTCTAATTCATGCAAATCCATCTCCTCTCATCTCATTCTATGTTAACCAAAAGAAATTTTTTTTTTCAGTTTCACAGAATTGCTATTTCTCATTTCAAACATGTAGCTACCCTTGTGATACTGTTAAGTTGGTTGCTGGCTACAGCTGCAAAAACTTTAACAAACACTTTTTTCAGAAATACAATATGCCTGTGGTTAGCATCTTCCATGACAACTTCTTCTCATACATATATGAATATTGGAGTTAAATTCTAGGGGAAAAAGTCTGTATAAAAGCACAGTGTGGGACATGACAAATGCCAAGTCCATGGCGTAGTTTTTCACTTTCTCAATTTACCATGATTTACATAGAGAGGAGTTTAAGCCACTGAAGACACAAATTTAAGCTGAGTTCATACTAAGTGCTTAGCTCATTGGAAGAGCATAAAATAAGTCACTTGTGCCTATTAGAAAGGGATTCTTCATTGTCCCTCACTCGTCCAAACAATTTCAAATACCAAAAGTACATTTTAAAGTTACTTAGACAAACATTGGTATTACTAGAATACATCCAAGTCATAGGCCCTCAGTGTTTAGGTAACACATCAGTGCTTAGTCCAACAGTTTTTAGTTTTAATTAACCACGTTAAATCAACACTGATATAATCCCCATATAAAAGAATCACGTGGAACACACATTCCCAATTCATGAAAGGCCCTGGTTAAAGGCAAATTCTAGTTAGCAGAATTAACAAAATAGAGAACAAATTAATTTGAAGCCTAGTAAATTCAAATTAAAGTGTTTCATTTCCCTTTTACTGTTTGAGAAACAGATTCATTATATTTATACAGTAGAAATGGGGAAAGGTGGAAACCATAATTTGTTCCTGCAGATTTGAGAATTCAGGGTTTGTTTTTGACAATTCAAGATGACCAACTATCTCAGGTACTTTCGTACTCCCTTTTCTTCTATTATCTGACTGCAGTAAAGGTAGAATACACACACTGAAGGGAAAAAAAAAAAAAGAGGTTTGCAGAGATAGCAGCAAAAGAAAGGAAAAAACAAACTAGGCCAGAAGGTTAAACCAAGGTCCCTGAGAAAAAGTTTGATGTCTGATCTAATCATTTCCCACTGCCCAGGACAGAGCTGCTCAACGCAGATTGGTCTGAAAACCTATGTTTGAGCACTGAAAAGAAAAAAAAAAAAGCTATTTCTAGTCCTGCTTCATAGCTTATCTAGATCTCTGGACTAGCCAGTGAACTCCAGAAACACGATGAAAGTGTGAGGAACCCAAGGTGGGCGAGCGGGAGAGGCAGGTGCATGAGCTGGAGGGGAGGTAACTGTGAGCATTTATAACATTTGCACACAGTCAATTCGGTCAAAGCAACATTAATTCTTATTTTGTGCCTGGCATTAGACACAGAAACCGTCCACAAGGTTCTTAGTATGTGTGGAGACATACATCTATCAAGTTAAGGACTGCATATATCTAAGTCTAGGTCTGTGACCTTTAACATGAAAGCTATGGAAGTGATTGTCTAGAAAATTTCAGGAAAATGCTGAGGCTTGAACTGAGGCTCTCAGCTATTGAGGGCTTTCAGCAGTCCAGAGGCAACTAAGTGTTACCTTCTTCTGACCCTCCTGAGGGTTTATGAATACAAAAGAAAATCAAACACATTTCAGCCTTCCTTTGGGGACAAATTCTCTTTCACTATTTCTGGATGTTACCTCAAATGTGTGGTTCTTCCCAGTAAAACTTTCTAACCCAAGGTAAGAGCTGGAATCTTGGGCAATGCGCCAAGCCTGGTGACAGACTCCAAGAGAAGTGTGTACCTGGAACAAAGACACCTGTGGGCCCTGGCTCCTGGCCAACAGGGGACCCGTGCACCTGTGGCTCTTCCCACACATCTTCCACACAAACTCCTCCCCCGTGTACAAGAGGACACTTTAGACAAAAAGAGACCATTCCATTACATATGAAAACCTAGAGAACATAAGCAGAAATAAAAGTGGTGGCAATACACTTCATACTATCCTATCCCACTTCTTCCCTTAACAAGAGTGAATGACAACCACGACTCCAAGTCCATCTCTTCTTTGCTTGTGAAATGAAGGGTGTAGAGGTGTGTGTCAAAGCAAATGAAATAGTACTTAGTATGAGCCACTTCACTTCAATTCCCATCTAATCCTCATAGGAACTCTAAGGAATCTACAACTATCCCTTTTTCACAAATTAAGTAATAAGGTTCAGAAAAGATTAAGCGAATTGACCCCAGGTCCTCAACTGCGAGACTAGTGTCTGGGAACTGCTGACTCCCTTCCACCAAGCTCAAGGTCTGCCATGGTGGATGGGAGGTGGACACGGAGTGACAAGCACATGTCACAACCCACATGTGCACTGGGATCACCAGTTCTCATAGCCATTAAAGTGATCTTTTCTAAAACAGACGTTATTGGTCCTAACAAAAAAGGACACAGCAACCTTCTGTTCACTATGTAACCGTGAGACCTAGTCTTTCCATTGCCCCGTCCCCACCATACACACCAAAGATAGCAAAAAGCTGGAATCAGCCTTTACTCTCTGCTTTTGTGCAGATTCCAGTTAAGCAAAAGATGCCAGGTGGCTTAGAGGTGCCCCCTGCCACAGAGACACCAAGGAAGACAATATATTGCCATAGTGTGTGGGAAATCCCACTTATCAGCGGGGGAGCACATTGTTTCATAACATAAACGTCTGCTTCTGCCCACATCCTTTTCTCTGGCAGGTGCTAATACATGCAGAGCCCTCCAAGGGCTCTTCACATGGCGGCAGCCACAGCCATGGCCAGGGGACACCACATGTGACTAGATGTTTAGCCAGGTACCCTAATGAGCCACCAACTCTTTTACAACATCACAAATAGGCAGTAAAACAGTGCTTTCAGGGCTCTACCTGGATCAATCATTTGATTTCTATAACAACCCATAAAAGAGATACCATTCCTCCTACTCCCCCACTTACAGATGGGAAAACTGGAGAACAAAGAGGATGTGCAAATTGTAAACTGTCCAAGGATGCACTGCTGGTGAGTAGCAGAAATGGAATTTAAGAGTCTTCCTAAAAGGTGGATAGCTTTGGTGGGGCAGGGAGCTTGAAGAAGAGCTGGTTGTGCTTAGATGGTCAGAGGAAGGAGATGACAGTAAGTAGAAAGAAAAGGAAGGAAGGTATAAAGATTTTTAAAAAATAAGATGGTAGGAAAGAAGTTTGGCTAGACCGCTAAGGCCACCTGAGTGAGGTAAGGCCAGATGGCAAATTCTGAAAGCAAGGGAGAAGCATTTAGAACTGAAGTATCTAACAACTGTCAGCATAGAAACTGCAGGCTGGAGCCACCAGAACTGAATGTGATTAAGTGTAGAAATGCTAATCGTTATGCTACTGTTTGTTTTAAAGGAACAATGGCTGGGAGATGAAGGCCTAGGATCCTAACTTCCCAGGGAGCTCCAAGATGCTTGCTACGTTGCAGAACAGTGGTGATTTTAGAGAAACCAAGTCCAGAAGAGAGAGAGAACCCAAGAGTGGAAGGTGCTGCACAGTCGCCTTGCTGAACTAGTAATAAGAGGAAAAATTAATGGCACAGGAGGGAGATTATCAGGAATGGGCTGATCCTGATCCAGAAAACTAAGGCATGCTGCTTTGCTCATGGAATAAAGGAACAATTACTGAGACTCCTCTGATGGCTGGGAGATCAGAGTGTTGATAGGCTGATGAAGCAACAGAACAGGACACTAGCTACAGTCGAGACGGCAACCTTCTCAGATCAAAGAAGCCAATAACCCAACTGGAGCTACAGAGAAATGGCTGATAAATTTGCAGGCAGTGACCAGGACTTAAAGGGCCAGCCCAGGAAGGAGAGCTGGAACAAAACTGAAAGCAGAAAGTCTGGAACGTACACAGGACCTCATGAATGCTGAACCTGAGACTGGACACCGTCACTTCCCCCACCTGCATGTAGTTTGACCCTTGAGATTCTTTCACCCATAAGAAAAGAGCCAGGCGCTTCGAATGACCATGGACCTTGGTCATTTTGCTTGGCATGTGCAGCAGCAGATAACCGGGCAGAAACGAGAAAAACCAGGGTCAACATGGATATGGCCTTCTGAAAAAAATCCTCCTCTCTTACTCCTTGAATTCCTTGGGGGATGAAGGCCAGAAGTTATCTAGGAAGGGTTTGGAGGCAGTCTAAGGAAGGCTTTTGTCTGCCAGCTCCTCCCTAGGGCCAGACCCCCCACATAGGGAGGGGGCCACATTCTGGAGACTCCTCCACAGCCCCAAACACATGAAAGTTACAGATAACAGACACTCGAGTGTTTCATGTACATGGAATAGCAGCTTAGATTATGAATGGCCTGAAGCAATAAAAACAGATAAAATAATGCTTTACTTTTTAAAAGGCCAATAAAATATATCCTATGCTCACTATTTTTCCAAGATGTTATTTTTACAGTTGCCCACTTAAATGCCCGCAACACATTCTACCTGAGTTCAAAGAAGTAACTGCCCCAGGCCACAAAGCTGTGCCCAGAGAAAACATTTCTAAGTCAGTGACGCAACAAACCCCACAGTTGGTCTTTTCTCACTCTCAGCTCCATTGCATTCAGCCAGCGTCTCATTCTATTTTCTTAAGGTTATTATCATCCTCCAGCCATTTACCAATGATGTTTACTAGAGTCAAAAAATGTGGTTAGATTCCCACATGAGCTGTGGAAAGCAGCCCTGGACTGAAACCCAGGCAGGCCACAGAACCAGGCTGTGATCTCCGCTGTTTAAGGGGCCTCCATGAATTCTCACTTCCCACTAAGAAGTGAGAAGCCAACACACAGTCTGAATGGTTATCACTGGGCTCCATCCATAGACACCCACCAACGACAACTCCAAACAGAAAGCTCTTTCCCACCTTTGAAAATAGGATGCTTGGGCAAGTGTGGGTGGAGAGATAACGCTGGAAGAACTAATGCTGTGGCCGCAAAACAGCAAACAGAATCAAAACACTGGCCTAGATATTACAGCAGGGATGCCACACAAGTTCAAGTGTTGAAAGGTATACTCTGACGTGGTTGCAAATGGAAATATTAACAAGGTCAGGACACAGACATCTTCAGATGGAAGCAGGGCATAAAAGCCTTGATTTTTTTCCAAGGTGTCAGCATTAAGTGCTACACACACAACTTGAAATGGAAATAATCCTTGTTGCTACTTGGTAACCACCTTCCCACCATCAACTGCTTCTTTCTAGATCAGAGGTGTTACTGGTCTGAATTCATTTAAAGAGCTCCCCAAAGAGAGCCTGCCTTTCTGTTTTAGAGATTGCCCAGACTGAGAAAAATGAGATGATTCCTAAGGAGGAGACTGCTTACTGTAAGAATGACTCAGCTTACACGTAATCCACAGGGTTTAAGAGCTGACAGCCTCCGGGTTTCATCAAAGGCTGCTTCCACAGGCTACTTTACCATCTAACTCTCCAGCCTACAGCTTTAAACAGTTGTCCAAAAGGAAGACCTCAGTCAGCTAAAAGTCCTGTCTAATCACTAGCAGCTTCCCTGCCCAGGCCTTATCAGGAAAGGGACAAGCAACTCTTAGTTCCTCAAATGCCACCCTTATCATACGTTAGACCATAAACACACCCCATTCACAAGTGTCTAAGTGTGAGCTGACCTCCATTTCAGAGCAGATGCTAATTACGTGCATAGTTCCATCCAGGTTTTTGTTTTGCATGGATCCTTCCCTTAGGAGTTGGCATTCAAGTTGCAGGTTCCGGGCCTCCAGGTACTGCGCATAGCAGCAGCTCATGTTTAGCGTTCATCAAGTAATTAATGTGCTGTCACCAGACAGCTCAAACACTTTGACTTGACTTGAATGTTACTTCCTCTTGCAATTTCACTCAAATTTTAATTGTTGATAAAACTTAATTGTTGATAAACTGAGTCCTGGTCCCCTGCCAGTCTCAGAAGATTTTATCAGCAGTTCCTTGAAATTCTATTGCCTTATGATTATTCTCTAAGAAACTATAAAAAAAAAAAAAAAGAATGAGCACCGGGCTAGGAATCCAACACCATGTGTTTTAGTGTCAAGTCTGACGCACAGTGTGAATGACTGTCAGTAAGTTGGCCATAACTGACTTTCCTTTCACTCTTTCAAAAATGTGCATGCCTACTATGTTTCAAGCACTGCTCCAGGAGCTTGTGATGCACTGGGAAGAAAGAGACAAAGATCCCTGGCCCTGTGGAGCTGATATCCTGCTTCCTACTCTCCTTCCATAACTTTGGGTTGTTAAATCTTGCCTCCCACACATGCAGAATCAGAACTTGAGAGTGAAACATTTTTGCTGATGGTCTAGACTTGTGCTGCCCAATACAGTAGGTACCGCTGTAAATGCTAAAACACATACTGGATATCAAGGTCTCAGTATGATAAAAGGAATGTAAACTATCTCATTTAGATTTTTTATATTGATTACATACTGAAATGATGAAATTTGATATGGTAGATTAAATACACTTATTAAAATGAATTTCACTTTTTTTTGATACAGGGTCTCACCCTATTGCCAAGGCTGCAGTGCCGTGGTTCGATGGCAGCTCACTGCAGCCTTGACTTCCTGGGCTCAAGCAATTCTCCTGCCTCAGCCTCCTGAGTAGCTGGTACCACAGGCACGTGCCACCACACCCAGCTAATTTTTTAAAAAATTGTTTTTATATAGATGGGGTCTTGCTGTGTCATACAGGCTGGTCTGGAACTCCTGGACTCAAGGGATCCTCCTGCCTCAGCCTCCCAAAGTCCTGAGGTTACAGCTGTGAGTCACTGCCCCTGGCCAAATTTCACCTACTTCTACTCTTTAATGGGACTACTAGGAAGTTAATCGTGTCTCTCATATTTTTACTGGAAAGCACTGATCTAATTTATTGTCCTTATTATAATGAAGAAGCTGAAGGCTGAAGAGGTAAAGGCTCTGCCAGGACCAGAGCCCAGGTCTCCCCACAGCTAAAGTCAGCCTCAGAAGCAGAGGAGGTAAAAAGATGACAAACAGCCTGGGCACAGGAGATAGCAGCGGTGCTAGCTCTAGCTGAGCAGCTGTGAGCAAGCCTCTAGACACATATCAGGCACTTGATGAGTGTACGCGTCATCTCTGCTTCTGGATCAGTCCTCTTTCTGCTACTGCTGTGCTGCAGTTATTCCACAGGAATGACGATTGAAACTGCCCAAGTCCATATAGCACTGGCTAGCTGTGGAGATCCTAATGCCCATCTCTAACTACGACGAGCAGAGGGCAACGATGGACAGAGTGTGTTTGGGGATCAGGGGCAAGCAGCCAGGAAAGGTGGAGGGTTACCTCTTCTATCTTCATAAGGGCTAAACAAGTTGAGAGATGCTTACGGCAACGGAAGAGGGTGTGGGCAGTTGCAGTTTCATGGATAATTTTCTTCTCAAAATGTTTTTATAGGAGGCTAAGTATGGTAACAGTATGGGACTTTGTGCTTATTCAATCAAAGATAAAAATTTAAGAACTAGAAAAGAAGGTAGAAGGAAGAACTGTAAGAAAGTATTGGCCGGGCATGGTGGCTCACACCTGTAATCCCAGCATTTTGAGAGGCTGAGGCAGGCAGATCACGAGGTCAAGAGACCAAGACCATCATGGCCAACATGGTGAAACCCCATCTCTACTAAAAATACAAAAAATTAGCTGGGTGTGGTGGTGTGCACCTGTAGTCCCAGCTATTCAGGAGGCTGAGGTAGGAGGATCGCTTGAACCCACGAGGTGGAGGTTGCAGTGAGCAGAGATCGTGCTACTGCACTCCAGCCTGGCGACAGAGTAAGACTCCGTCTCAAAAGAACAAACAACAACAAAGTATTAATGAATCGAGGTGTGAAAAGAGCGGGTCCCCAGATGGAATAATGTCAGTCAGAAGCCTGTGGGAAGGGCCTGAAGCTGGATTCAAAGTTTGGTGAGAAAGGAGTATCATTCCTTTGTGCAGATATGAGTATCTGTTCTGTGAGGCAAAGAAGGGCAGTTAGGGAGACTCTGCCATGGGGGGTGGAGGGTGGGTCAAGAGTAAAGAGTCAGAAAGGCACGGTCTTGAAGAGGAGGTTCAGCTTCCAGAGGTGCAGGCAGTCCCTGTGCGCTTGGATGGAGTTCCAAATGCACAGACTGTAGAACTAGCCAGAGGCAGGGGAGGCGGACTCACTTACTGCCCTCATCAAGTTCCTGTCTACGGGCCCCTAAACCAGGTCAGTGATGACAGTGGGAAACAATAAAAAAGAGAAAGAATCAGCAGAACTAGCAACTGAGTGAACAGAGAGAGAGAAAAGGCTGAGTGAGCCATGTGAGGCTGGTGTCAGGGAGGGTGGGAAGGATGGCAAGTGCTTAAGGGAGTGGGTCTGGAGCTCAGCTTGAGGAGTTTCAGCTGTTGGTCAATTAGCTAGTCACTGCCCCTCAGCTCCAAACCTATACCCCTGTGGCCTCTACTTAAAAGAGGACTCAGCCATTGGCCTGCCTGCCTCGGTCCACCAAGAGAACTCCCACTTCAAGTACGCCTCCCTCTTTGCAAGCCGCCAACCGAACATGTATCCAAATGACAGAACACCTTCTGTGTGCCAGGCCAGCTCTATAAGCAGGCACTGGGGAGTCAGCAGTGAGCACAGATTCCGCTTTCCGGCGCTCATATGCCAGTGGCTGAGACTAATGAGAGAAATCGGAGTGCCTCGACTGCATGATAAAGCCAGCCCAGCTCCTCTCGCATCCAGAGCTCTTCCAAAGGCATTTCCAAACACCACTGCCTTGGCGTCCTCAGCACCTGGCACTAGCTACTGCCTAGGAAGCACTTAACTACTTACTGACTCAATCACGGTTCTCCAAGAAATAAACAACACTCCATGCAGTTTTGTGACCAAGACTCCAAGACTTTAGTCTCAAGCTCCGACACTAAAAAACATCCTACAGGGAGAGAGTTGCTTAACATCAGCAATTATTTTTTCATATTTTTTTTCTGTTGTTCCAAGAAGTTTTCAAACAGTTCTAGAACAGACTGTGGGGGCCAGCTGTACAAAATCTATTAATTCTGAACAATTCTTAAGGCTTCCTTACCTAGTTGAACTATATAAAGATGCTTCCTCTAAACTATTTGAATTCCAAATGCAAGCCTCTTTATGCGGCCTGCAATGAAAGCGTAAAAACGTTTTGAGAGATCTTATGGCCTGAAAACATCACAAGAAATCAGCAGTACTAATGTACCCAAGCAGCTTTAAACACATGAACATTTCTTTAAACACAGAGGTGTCTGCTTCATTGTAATACAATTTATGCCATTTTAATGTACTATAGTCAAAACACCAAGATGGCAGGAAGCATTTTCCTACAGTGCCTTGTTTACCTCAATGACAACACAAAAAGCAACAGACCTTATCTAACCCAAGTAATGTTTTATTCCAAGTAACCTCACATTCCACATTACTCCTTAACTCCTAAACACACACACATGCACACAAAATAGCAGATACACCCAGAGACAGGTGTGAAACCAAGAAACCCCAAAACATAAGTTTAGCTTAACTCATGAAACTAGTTTTGGGCTTCCACGACTTCTCTCAGTAATGCAAAAAAAAAAAAAAAAGGTTCAACTCATCCACTGAGAGCCTTTGGGTTTCCATTTCTTTAGTAGGTAACTCCATGAACACAACATTGATCAGAGACAAAAGATGAAGACAAGGTCCTATGTACTTGAGCAGTAAAAACAACAAAAAAAGTTTTTTAAATGAAGTTTTTAAATTTTCTATCAAATGTGTCTGGTTAATGGTACTGTGAAAACAAGAGCACTACAGCCCACTTTTAAGTTATTTTTACTGCTGCACTGTTCCTTGGACTTTCAGAAATATGAGGAATTCTGTTCTCTGACCGGCAGCGCAAGATGTGCATGATCTGCCCTGGCCTTGAACACGGGGGAATGTGGGCTGAATGTGTGCACTATGGGGAGATACAGCTGAGGGGGGACGGGCCTCTGGAACTCGGGAGATTTCAGTGGCTACTTGTGCTCACGGTACAAGAGAAGAAACCAGGTAGAGATAGCCACAGGTGCACAACTAAGTCATGCTCACTCTGACAAGCAGGCTAAGAGCCAAATCCTTTCCTTCAGAATTACATGAATTTAATCCCTGGATACAAGGTAGGTATTGTGGAAAAAACAGCGTAAGAAATATGGCTGTTAATTCTATGTGCTCACTGAAGCTGCTTATGAAATTAGGGATCTTTGTTTTGGTAACAATTTAGAGGCCTCCTGGCAGAGTTTTTTTTTTTTTTTAAACTTTGTTATGGGAGCCCCCTACCCCCGCATAGCTACCTGAACAATTATATACAATATACCAAAATCTTCCTAAAAACTCTTTATTGAGAATATATGTACTCTAAAGCTATGGGTATACCTTAAGAGAAAAAGTTCATTATCTGAAATAAACTAAGCTTGACTCCAGAGATCATTTTCCATCTTCACAAACAAGAATGTCAAAGGACAGAACCCCTGCAGCCCAGCTCAGAGGTTTCCCTAAAAGCCCAGAGAAAAGTCAGCATTCTTTACTCCCCATCCCCCTCCCCCTTTTCCACTGCAGGGCCTAACGTGGCTGGTCTCACACCCTCAATAATACCCTTGGGGATTTAAGACAGTAAAATTCTGGGTAAGCTCTCCTACCACTCTTGCGGCTGCCCAACTTACTTCCTGGGCTCATTTCCTTGCCAATTTACTCACGTTGAAAGGTTGCTGTCGCCAACAACGGTCACCCTCTTTCCTGCACGCAGAGGGCAGCTGAGCCAGCCAGAAGTGTACTTTGGGAGGATCTAATCACCCTAACTTTATTTCCTGGGCTGGTTCAGTCTCCTAACCCACCTACAAAGTAACCTGAAGACCAAGTTGTCACAATACAAATAATTATGCACATAGTATTTATAAAAGCTTTCTTACTATAAGTGCATTTTAAGCACTTCATTTGTATGCACTTTATATCTCCGTAAGAAAGCAAAAATGTTAAAAAGGAAGCAGGCCCCTACTTAATTAAGCCAGGGAACTGGTTAGAGCCCTACAAAAGCCTACCTATGGACAAAAAAGGGCGAAGGGGAAGGGAGCTGACACTATCCCTCCCGCAGGGTCCAGCCCTAATAGTGGGTTCTCCAGAAGCTCGCCAGGCATTCATTTCTCCAGGGGAGCGCCCTTACTTGGAGGTAGCGCTGCTTGGTTTTCTCGCCCGCCAGCGTTGAGTTCAGGTGTGCAGGCTACCAACCTGTATTCTTCAGGTAAGTCACCCTCCTCTGACTCGCCTCCCACCCTGCTCCCTCCTGCCTCGCGACCAGTGCGAAGGGAGTCCCCGAACTGCGACACCTCCCGGGGCAGCCGCACCGGTATCCGTCCGAGTCGACCCACTTGCCGTGGCTTTTCACCTACGCAGTAAAGCAAGTTTCATTTTCAAAAGGAGAGGAAGCAGGTTTCACAGACACCGCATTCCCAAGAAGTTTCTGAGAGACGCGCAGCGCACAAGTCACTGGCTTGGATCCCTTTGCTGCTCATGGTGTCCACAGTCTGATGTGAGCGCATTAAATTTAAGGATCTCCGCCCTTCTCCTTAAAACTCAGGACTTGGCAATGAGCCTAGGAAGCGCCCCTCCCCTCCCCAACCAGATCCAAGCCCCGGACCGCTGCGTCTCCAGCTGCGCCTAGTGAAACCGCCGAATTCGAATTCACACTCGGCGGGCCGGCGAAGGTGTGCGCGCCCGCGGGAGCGCCGGGGCGAGCCCGAGGGACTGCAAGCCAGGAAGGGAGGCATGGGTGGCGGGGGGCGCCGTCTGATCCAGGTAGGAGCGGAGGCGCCGATCACACACTCTTCAGACGCCCTGCCCGCGCCTGGCCAGCGCGCAGCCTGCAGGACGCGCGGAGCAGGAACTCGCTGGAGTTTGCCAAGCCCCAGGTCTCTGGAAAGTTGTAGCTCCCTTTCGGAGCGTCTCTTCTGGCCCTTTGGGACGGGTGTGTCAGGGGCGGGGGTCCTCGAGGGAGCAGGAGGGGAAAGGAGCACCGGGTCTCGGCACCTGTCCGCAGCTCCCCTCGGGTCCGCCTGCCCCCTACCAGGCTGGGCAAAGACCTGAGCACCACTTAGTGGGGGCGGACCCCCACTAAGTGAGCTCGCGGCTCCCTGGGGCTGCTGCCGCATCGCCGCACCTTTAGAGGAGGGGGGTCGCGGACTCACCTGGGCAATAGAAGAGGAGGCGACAGAGGCAGGTCCTTGGCGTGGGCAGGCCCCAGCAGGAGCGGCGCGACCTCTACAGCCCCTAGGCAGCGGCACCGAGTGAGCCGTCCCGCCGCCGCCCCCTCCGTTCTTATACGGCGGGACCACGCCCCCGTCCCCGCCCCTGAGCCGCCCTCCCGGGGGAGCCAGGGGCGGGGCGTGGCGGAGCCAGTCCCCTCGGGACCCTTCCGCCCGGCCCTGACGGCAGGGGCGGGGCGAGGGCTGCCCTCTGATTGGCTCTTCGGGTGAATGGTTGCCAAGAGACGAGTAAATCCTCAGCGGCGGGAAGGGGCGGGGTGCTCAGGGAGGCAGCACTGCGCAAGCGCAATAGAGGGGGCTGCGTCGACACCCACTTAACTTCGGAGTTAGTGGGACACCTTTCTTTTTGCTTAGTACGCTTTTCTGCTATTCCTGCCGCATAACTCTCTCTTCCCCAGGCTTTTCCCATCTCCATCCTATTCTCTCGCAGGCAGGTTTTTCTTCCGCCTCTCTGGGGATTTTCGCGTTGGTTCTCCCTGCCCCCAGGAGTGAGGCGGGTAACGCCCACGCCTACCTCCGGTGTGTGTTTTTGAAGTCGGAAAAAACTTAATGGTTTCTGGGCCCTGGGCACCTTTCTGATTCCCCAAGCAAACTGGCTGGAGGCGAAGGCGTGGTCTTCGGGGAGAGAGCGCCGGCGGCTCTCTGGCCCCGGGGACCACCTGTGTGCAGTTAGTGGGACGAAGGGCCTCGGGGAGTCCATCGCCAATGTCGGCAGCCGCAGCCGCTTCGGCCCCATTCGGAATGCCACAGCACTTGGTCCAGTGTGTTATATAACATGCAGGCAGGGCTTGGACACCATCCATTCATAACATAGCGAGTGGTTTACAGCCCAGGTTCTGAATTCAGACTAATCTGAGTTGAGATCTCCATGCACCACTTAAACTTTCTGTAAGGCCTTAGGCAAGTAACTGAACCAACCCTCCAACAACCTGCGTCTCCTATCTGTAGGACAAGACTAACAATGGGACAGCTCTGTAGAATTATATAAGTATTAAGAAAATACGTGGGAAACAATTAGTGCATTGCCTAGTGCCTGTTAGAAAGTGTGTGGCAAATGCTGTATGTATCAGATAGTAGCCAATGTTGGACAATGTTATTTATCAATAGACATTATTGTACTTGTATTGATCGTTTACTAGGTGCTGGGGGAAAAGATTACTTCCCAGATGCAGTATTTACATCTCCTCCGCCCTACTCTTCCAACCCTGCCTGAAATAAGTGTGGTTCTCCTGTCTGTCAGACTATGAAGAGTTCTCAAATATGTCTTTCCCAGCGAGGGAGAGGAGAGTGAGTATCCAGGAACTTTAATGCGATAGGACATCAATATGAGTGTTTATAGGGAAAGCCAGTGATCCTATTGTTAGACGCGAAATCAAGACATATGATCTGATTTTTTGTTTTACTTTTTGTTTTTGAGGTATAACATTCAGTAAAGCGCACAAATCAAAAGTGTCCAGAATGATAATTTTTTACATATGCATACCCATGTAACTGCCATCCATATCAAGATGTGGAACCTTTCCAGCTCATTCATGCCCCTTCCCATTCAGTATCCGACAAGGATTACCACTATTTTAACCTCTATCACCATAGATTAGTTTTACCAATATTTGAACTTGCTATGGATGAAATACATAACACGTACAATTTTATGTCTGGCTTCTCTTGCCCAACAGTGCGTCTATGAGATTCATCCATATTGTTGTGTGTAACAATGGTCCATTCTTTTTCACTACTGTGTATTACTTCATTATATAAATATTCAACGATTTGTGTACTCATCCTACTGTTGGTGGACATTTGAGTTGCTTCATGTTTCTGCCTTTGATGAAGCTGCTGCAGACATTCTTACACATGTCTTTTGGTGGACATAGCATTCATTTATGTTGGATATATATATATACCTAGGATTGGATTCCTGGTTCATAGAGTGTTCACATATTAAACTTTAAATACACTGCCAGTTTTTAAATTCGTATAACAATTTAGGTTCCAACCAGTGATATGAGATTTCCGGTTGTTTCACATCTTTGCCAGTATTGGTATTTTCAGTCTTTTTAATTTAAAAAGGGGGGGGATATGTATTTCATTGTGATTTAAAATTGCATTTTTTGATGATCAAGGATGTTGAGCAATTTTTCAGATGCTTATTGTTCATTTCAATACCCTTTTAATAAAGTGTCTGTTCAAGTCTTTCGCTCATTTGTAGGGAGTTGTCTGTCCTAATGACCTATAAGAGTTCTTTACATATTCTGAATATGAGCCCTTTGTCCAATATATGTATAACAAATATCTTTTCCCAATCTGTGTTGACTTTTAATTATTCTAATGTTATCTTTTGATGAACAGAAGCACTTAATTTTAAAGACATTCAAAATATTAATCTTATCTCTTATGACTAGTGTTTTGTATGTCCTGTTTAAAATAATCCTAAGCCCATAAAAATAATATTCTTTGTTTTCTTCTAAGAACTTCATTGTTTTAACTTTCACTATCTGTAATAAGGCCTTGGGCAAGTAACTCAACCATCCTTCCATAAACTTCCAACCACAATAAAGTTAATGCAAATTATTACATTGGCCTTTCAACCATTTCTACTCTTTCAGTGCCTCTTGGAAACCATTAGTACAGTTAGTCTCAAGGTAGAACACAGGACAGAAATTCTTAACCTAAAATTTGACCCAGCATGGTTTAGTTCCACCTTTTCCTGGGTGAAATTTTATTCAACTTCCTGAATAAAATTAGGCAATTCTATGGTAGGTGAGAGGTGAGAGCTAAGAGCAGAAAAGAAACTCACTATATATGAGTTTCTCAAATATATATACATGTATATATATATTTTTTTCTTGGGCCCCTTTGTATTCCTGATGCATTAATGGACTTTTCTAGAATTGTGTTTCAGGGTTGTTTTTTTTTTTTTTTTTTTAAATACACTGTGTTCTTTCTGCCTCATAAAACTGGCATCCTGGAGCTGGCAGGAGTCTTAGAAAGTGGCCAAGTTCTGCCCGTTGGACACGGAACCAGATATTCAAACTCTTCTTCCTAGATTATTGGTGCCTTCTTCTTGCCAAATTCCAGCCCCTGCTGAGCACATCCAATCAGAATGGTTTAAAGACCTTCTTTGCATTCTGAATGATTCACTGGATTCACTGATTTATACCTAGGGAAACCGAGGGACAAAACAGTCTTTAAAATGCAAGCGTACCTCACTTGTAGTGATGATCCTGAAAGAGTTTTACGTCTCAATAGATTCTGATTTTAATACTTCAGAAAAACAAAGAAATTCCACCATAGTCCTACTGTAAGTCAAGAAAGACCTTTTGTATAGTGTCTAGTTATCTCCTGATCTATCAGTTTCTTTGAGCAATTTCTTAAGTCTTGAGTTTTTTGTAATAAAAACATTACAAATGTTTATTCAAATGCCCCCATCTAAATATTTTATTTTTCTTAAAATGATTTTTATGTGAAGTTCTTGTCCACATTTAACATACATGTAGAGAAGTACACAGCTCATAAGAGCACAGCTCAATGAATTTTCACAAACGGAATGAACCTGTGTTGCTAGCATACAGATCAAGAAACAAAGGAACATCAAAGCATTTGTGGACATATTTTATTTTATTTATTTTTTTTTATTTTTTTATTTTATTTGGTCTTTTTTCATGATATGTGTATCAGCAGTTCTTTCTTTTTTTATATATACTTGAAGTTTTAGGGTACATGTGCACAACGTGCAGGTTAGTTACATATTTTAAAACCATCACAGTGGCATTGTGTACATCCTAGTGAGTTTCTGGTGGGGCAAAGACATGACTTGGCTTTTCAATTCCCACCTACAACTCTCACCAGTAAATCTCTCTCTCCTCTCTGGCTCCTGCAGCCCAATATTTTTCTCGGGTGTTGCAGAAAGAGACCTGGGTTTGGAATAAAATGGTGTAAGTTTTATTTGGAGCAAAGTCCAGAAGTAATGGAACCTAGAGCTGGTCATATTTGGTGGGACAGGAAGAGAGGAAGGGGCTGCATCTTCAGGCATGGCTGTAGCAGCAGGCTCAAGTACAGCATGGCAGCAGAGGCACTGCCACCAGAGCAGCATGAAGGGGTAAAGTAGGGATCCAGAAGGGGGATGGTGGTGACAGTGGCAGTGCCAGGGAAAAGACGATGCCAAATATAAGCAGTGCTGACTTTATCCCTCCAATCTAGGTGTCTCTAAACTCCTTTCCTGCCCACCCCACTAGCAGTATGTCCCTGGAGAAAGGATGTAGGCTTGAGTCAGATGGCAGGCAATCCTTTTTTCAGGCAAGGTGAAACCTTAGACAAATGGCTTAACATCTCTGAGTCTGAGCTTCCTAATCCAAAAAATGGAAATGCTAACAGCAATTAGCCTACCTGCTTCATGGGGTTGTATGCTGATCAAATGAAGTAATGATACATATGAAAGCAGTCACCCCATTCACAAGATGTGTCTCGTTGCCAACCTCGTACCCCTTTCTCATTTCACTGTCAGGACACCTTGGGAAGCAAGTCAGATGAGAACAGAAAAGGGTAGATTCTGAATACCTTGCTGTGGCTACCATCACTTCTAGAGCCCCAGATTTCTTATCTAAGGATTAACATTTTTTCAAATCTCCCTTCTGGGAAAAGGGATTTCATAAAAATGCAAATTGTGAATGGATTATTTCATTATATCTCATGACCAACCACTGGGTCCACTCTGAGCTTGCCTTATATTTAGGCCCAGGATGTCTTTCCTACCATCCTGCCAGAATGCCTGAAGCTCCCAGCACTGGAGTCCATTCCTGTTGGGGAAGAGATTCTGGTCATTCCCACATAGCTTGCCAGAGGAAGAATACGGCCGACTGCCAGGGATGGCGAACTCCCCTAACACGTGTCATTCTCAGTGTTCAGACATTGGTCTTCCAGTCCTCATATCAGTCTTGATTCTTAGTTGTAAGCACTCAAAAATGACTCTGGCTGATCTAAGCAAAATGGAATTTATTTCAAAGATATTGGTGAGCCCACAGAATTAGCAGAATGCTGGAGAACTTGGCCAATTGGCTCTGCTACCAGAAACAAGGTTGAAAAATCATACTGTGGAACTGGCCCAGGAAAACACCATGAAGGACATAGGCAGCCTTGCCACTCCTGCCTCTGGAAACTGGATGTAATTGTCTCTGCCACCATACTGTCACCTGTAGATAGTCAGAGTCTCTGTGAACCTGTGTCCCTGCTTCTTCCCATCACTGGTTTCTGATTCGAACCCAGAGTGGGTGGGATTCTCTCAAATCAGCAAAGACCAGATGGTATGGCCAAGCCCTGGCTTGGCTGCAAAGAAGGCTGGTGAACAGATCATCTGATATTTTGAGCTTTAACTCTGGGAAGTAGACTTTGCCTCTTAAAGGTAGAGGATACTCCAAACAGAGGAAGGAGGTTCAGATGCTGGATGGCCAGAATACGCACATCTCCCTTCCAGCCTTCCGCCACGGTCTCTTGTGAGCATTGCCTAAACAAATCGGCATTATTTAATCCAGCTAGCTGTGGGACACAGATGCAGTCAGGATTCCGAAACCTCTGCATCTGAGGGCCAGAAAAATGGACTCTTGGGAAGCTTCTAGGAGGAACACCATCCAGCTGACCTCGCCCTGCCAATACTTTCTGCTTTTGGCCAGGTGACACTTTTCTTCTTTAGAATTCCTAGAATAGGCACTCAGTGAATATCTGATGGGGAAAAAAAGAAAAAAAAAAGAAAGGAAAGAAAAAGAGGCCTTGGGTAACCACCCCTCCCTCAGGTCCCGGGATCCATCCCTGGCTCTGTGTGATATGGTTCACTTCACTGCTGTGGGCCTCAGTTTCCCCATCTGTTAAAAAAAAAAAAAAAAAAAAGACCCAGCCTGGCTAGCCTGCAGTGCCTCCGGCTCCAGCAGTGAGCGTCAAGGAGCTAAAGGGTGTGGGGCTGTCCCGCCCACGGTGCTTCATGGGGTTGGCTGCACATAATGACAGTGTCCCAGAGCTGGCGCTTGTGTAACAGGCAGATTTACCGAGAGGGGACGACTGTTTGCTCAGCAGCCGAGAAGTCTATAATTAGACTGTCACAACATCAGCAAAAGTACAGGATCAATGTAATCAGAGAAGAAATGGAAAATAACACGGCATCAGTAAAGTCCTCCAGTGGTTCCCCATGGTTTCCGGAGCACTAATCACCCAGGCGAGGTTCAATGTCCCGCTTGTGGGTTTCCTCCTGGGTGATGACCAGGTTGGTTTAGGCCTACTCTGCCTGCCCCTCTCAGCAGCCTGGTTCTCCTCCTCCTCTCTCCCTTCTCCACTCCCTCTGCTCACTGAGTCTTAGCGATGAGGGGCCAAAAGAAACAGGACTTGCACCCCAAACTCTGTAGCCCAAGCACCTCTATTCCTCATGATGTGTGTGGTGGGAGGAGAGGGGAGGGAGGAGAACCAGTCGCTTTAAAATGCAGATTCCAGGGCCTCATCTCAGCCCTATTGAATCAGAACCTCTGGGGGAAGAGCCCTCGTCTCTGCATCCTCAGACGATTCTATGCATGCTAAAGCTTGGACACTGCCAGGCTAAGCCACCCTCCTGCTGGTGATAGACTCTCCCTCTTGTGTCTATTCTGTACCTGGTGTAGTTAGAGCACAGTCAGGCTGCAGCAAGATTCAGGGCAACCCAGGTTAAAGGGCCTTCCCAAAGTCAGGGAATGATAATGGGCTGCTTATTTCCTTTCTAATCACATTAAGAATTCTAAGGTGCCAACATGTTCCTCTCACTAATCCTCATGGCCTCTGAGCCAGGGGTAGTGTCTGGTGTCATTAGTTTCTTTCCACCAAAGTAGATCTGGGCTCAGATCTGTCCCCAAAGGACTGGATCTGAGGGCTTCTAGTCTCCCCTGAGTCTGATCCTCATAGAAACTGTTCTTTAAATCTGTGAACTTTTGCTTTATTTCTTAAAAAAATTTTACATAAATATTATCAGATTATTTATGTAATCAGATATTGCAGAGAAGCAAAAGGAAGAGATAAATCATGACTAACCCCACAGCAACTGTTCTGTTAATATGTTGGTGTTCATCCATCCACACGTGTGTGTGTGTGTGCACTCACACTCACACTCAGACTCACACATTCTATTCCTGTCTCAGTCAGGGTCTCCGAGGAAACGAAGGGCACACACTGAAACGGGATTGAGGAGAGCTAGTTGGGGCAAGGTTAACGGAAACCTTAAGGCATGGGTGGCCCCATAGGACTGACAACCAGTGGGGAACCATTTCCACCTAGGCCTGATGGGATGAGAGAAGAGAAGTTACCAGAACTGGGGAGACTCACTGCAGCTCCGGGGAGCTGCCGCCTTAGGTTGAAGATTGTGGTCACCCTTAATCTGCTCCCAGCAGGGAGGGAGCCAGAGGAGGAACACCTGAACTCTTCTTGCCCTCTGACTGCCTGTGTGTGCCTCCCACTGGCAGAACCCAACCAGGAGTCAGCCTCCAGAGACCCCGCGGAGTTAGAATGTTGTCTAGAGAGGGTGTGGATAGCCAAATGGAGACAGTCTCAGTGCGCTTCTTATGTGTGTTTATGAGTTTCCAATACAGTAAACAATAATGGAAGTAACTTAGATTTTAAAAACTCTTTGTATTCTCAGTAATTGTTAAGAGTATAAAGGGGTCTGACGACCAAAATGTTTGAGAACCATTGCACCACTCTTTTCCTGTGGGGTTTCAGAGCAGGAGGATCCTATTAGATTATGGGATCAAACTGATTGTCACTAATTCCCTTGCCTAAATCATAGATGAATACGAAGCAGTTTCTACATTAGAAAACTACAGAGTCTGCAGGAACATGGAGAAGTCATCTGGCCCTTTTTTCTTGGTTTTGGGGAGGGTGACTCCAAGTGGGCTGTGGGCTTCCCTTCCCCTGGCTGCCTCGTGGGCTTGCTGGTGGCCAGGATGGCCCTGCCAGTCTTGTCCAAGACCCCTGGGCCAAGCCCACATCAGGTCAGGGTTGGAAATCTTCCAAGGAAATTGAGAGTATCTAGTTTGCCTCTTTAAAGACCACAACAGTAATATTTATCCTCTCATTTGTGATGGAGACTGAAGTTTATGGTTTTGCATTTTTCAGTAGAAGAGTATAATTTTGATTATTTGTCAAGAATTACAAACATGCTTGTAATATGCCCTAGTTTTTTCAGTCTATGAAATAAGAAGTAAATAATAGCAATTTGCTTTTTAGTGGTAGATACTGGGAGTTGTAACAAATGAATTTTAGACACCCCTAGGGAAAGGCTGGAGTAGGATACTACGTAGGGTATAAAATAATTGGTGTTCCTTACTTAAGAGAGAAAAATAGGAAAATGTATGTCATGGGCACTCTAGGCTGGTGCCCAGCATCCATGTTTCCTTCCCTAATTGGGGATCCAGTTAGCCGCTTGAGTAGAATTGACACCGCCAGCCCCAGGGCTGGGTCCTCACTGGCCTAAGCCCATCAGTGTAATTCCATCGCCCTGTGATCATTCAAGGATGAGCAGGTATCTCATGCCTGCACTCAGTGGTTGGAGAAAGAGAAGCAGAGAGCATTCATCTTGTCTGGGCAGGATGCTGGAATGGCTGTGTTGTTTTGCTGCCCTGAGAAAAGCCAGAGTATGATGAATTCTACACACTGGCAAGGGCAGAACCAAAAACTCAAGGACAACCAAGCCAGGAGACCATACTGCCCCCAGCCTCTCATCTTCCAGAAGCCCACAGCTCAGCTCCTTATAAGTGTTTAAGCCAACTCAATTATATTTTCTGATGCTTAGCAACCAAGAGTGTCTGATATAATTAAATATATTTTCCAATTCAAATACTATCAGGGAAAAAGTGGGACTTTGATGTTGACCCAAGAAAAACTGTCAAATCTGACCAATTAAGGACAACCCTGATTTTACATCATCAACACTGAAGCTGACCTCCCAAATGATGTCTTCTTTGACTTAAAGTCCCCCTACTTGACCTTCTACATAGGCATTTCCTGTAACGATTTTGTTTTTCTTTCCAAATAAACTCTCCCTCCCTGTTTTACTGTGCGGTGACGAAGCAACAGAAACTTCAGCCTCCACGATCGATGTTTCTCAAGTGTCAAGGAAAATGGAGCCTAGGAGGGCAGCCCCACAAGCAGCGTGATGGGCATTTAAGCCGACGCATGTGCCAGGTCCTAGAACAGAGTAACTTCCCCATCTCAACACAATAAAATGGTGATATGAGAATACCTGTCTTATGCGGATGTTGTGAGGATGAAGTGGGCTAATTCACACACAGGAAGTTTTCAAAAAATGTCAGCTAGTATTATTCAGGAGGCTTCCCTCTCTGGGACTGAGATTCTTCTCCTGAAAAAGGAGGGAATCTTCCAGAAAATCTCCAGGGCCCCTACCAGCCTGACATGCAGCTCTTGGCAGAGAATGGAGCTGAGGCAGGAGCTTCTTCAAAGACCCTCTCATTGAGGAGCAAGGGACCCTGACCAGCCATTGCCCACTGTTCACCACGTGAGGTCACAGGGACTGTCTGCTAGGCGGCCCCCAGGCCCCTCAGGGAAGACATTGATGTTAGTTTTGTTTTTGTTTTGTTTTCAGTGTAGAAATGTAGCAGAGAAACACAGGGCAAGTCCACGCTGATCATCACATACATGGTACATCAAGAGCAGGGCTGAGCACGCAGTCTAAGACATTGTGTCATCCTGTGGGGCTCAGGCTCCTCATCCATACAATAGGGTCACCCTGCCTGTCACTTGGAGTAACCATGAGAATTACATAAGATAACCTGTGTGACCTGTGAAAGTGTGTGTCCCATCACAGCACCTGGTGCATATCTGTTTTCCTTCCTCTTTTTGGAACCTGAGGCCACCAGCTACCACTGTAATGAGGAACAGAGTTGGACAGAGCTCTACCTTAGGTTGCAACAGAATAAGCTCTTGCAGCTGGCTTCAGATAATGAAGAGTTTTTTTGAAAGTTGCTGGGGTAATGAGGAGACAGGAGTCTCATAGGGACCCCGGACAAAGGTAAGGGAAAGCTGACTTTACAGGACTGAATCTGGGGACTCAAATGTGTCCTGGCAAATCTAGGAATCCATTTTTCTCATGGCCCTCTCAGCAGCATTAGAATTAATGATTTCTGATTATTAATAAGACCTAACTACTTTCTTTTCTAGAGTCTTCTTCCACCACAAATTTTCAACTCCTTTGCTATCCTTTTTTTTTTTTTTAAGACAGGGTCTCACTCTGTTGGCCAGGATGGAGTGCAATGGCATGATTACATCTCACTGCAGCCTCGACCTCCCAGGCTCAAGTGGTCCTCCCACCTCAACCTCCTGAGTAGCTGGGACTACAGGTGTGTACCACCATACCTGGCTAATTTCTTTTTATTTTTTTGTAGAGACGGGGTCTCGCCATGTTGCCAGGGCTGATCTTGAACTCCTGGGCTCAAGCAATCCCCCAGCCTTGGCCTCCCAAAGTACTGGGATTGCAGACATGACCACCACACTCAGCCTCCTTTGCTATCTAAAGTTCAAGCTCCCAGAGAGAATCCAACAGGGTAAGCTGGTACCAGCAACTTTTTTTTTTTTTTTTTTTTTTGAGACGGAGTCTCGCTCTGTGGCCCAGGCGGGAGTGCAGTGGCGCAATCTCGGCTCACTGCAAGCTCCGCCTCCCCGGTTCACGCCATTCTCCTGCCTCAGCCTCCCGAGTAGCTGGGACTACAGGCGCCCGCCATCACGCCCGGCTAATTTTTTTGTATTTTTAGTAGAGACGGGGTTTCACCGTGTTAGCCAGGATGGTCTTGATCTCCTGACCTCGTGATCCGCCCGCCTCGGCCTCCCAAAGTGCTGGGATTACAAGCGTGAGCCACCGCGCCCGGCCCCAGCAACTTTACTTGGGAATGAAGTTTGTTTCTGGCAGCTTCTAGGTTGGGTGTCTTTCATCCAAATGTGCTCAGTTGAGGGCACGGGGGTGGATCAAAGGGCACAGAATAAGGCACAAGTGATTAAGGTACAGCCCAGGGAAACTTCTCTCAGCCGAAGAGATGCCAAAAGCCCGAGGGTTCACGGCTGAATTGAGCTGTCAGCTCCATGGACACATCCGTATCTACAAGCAGCCAGGTGATGCAGCTATTACTCGGCTTTGGCCTTCCCTCCTTTCTCATTGTTTTATTTTGGGGAGAGCCATCCCAGGCCAAAGATCCTCTCCAACCAAGCTGGTGACATTCTCAAAGCAAAAGGAACTACTGTGCTATGAGTCTGTGAGCTGTTATAGCCTGTCTCCCCAGTGGTTCATTTTTGTATGAAAGAGTAAAATAATCACAGGCCTGGCACTTGCAGACCGTACAGGAAAGGTTTTATAACCACTTTGGCCCTCACCTGTGCCAAGTTAGCTAAAGCAGAGGGTGAGATGCCTGTTGCAGCCTGGCCTCTGGGGGTGCAGGTTTCCTGTAACAGCGTTTAGAAATCTGTTTCTATTTCTGAACCATCAGGTTCACAGCCATGTGAACCTGAATGAGGTGACAGCTCTCTCTCATTCTTGCTTACTGGGGGAGATGGGCAGAGGGCAAGACAGAGTAGAGCGCTGAAAGTCGCAGCAGTCAGGGGATGACCCGCCCTGAGTGCTGACAGAAGATGCTCTGATCACTGTGCTATATCTGGACAGAGGACCCACACTGAGGACAAGGCTGCCCTGGAAGAGGATGGAGGGTCTCGTCTCCAGGTGTCAGTCACCCAGATACAAGGCATGTCTCTCAGATTGGAAACAGTGCAGAGCTCCCAGGGAGGAAGTCCTTCCCCTGAGTCTTGACCTGAAGGGTCAAGAGAGGCCCATCTGTGAGCATTAAGTTTATTCCTCCATTGAAGACATTGTTCTTCAAACTTTGAGACCATTGGAACCACCCGGGGGCACTTGTTATAAAGGCGCATTCCCATGTCCCGGCCCTATTCAACCCCTTATTCTGTAGCTCAGGGATGGGACCCAGGGGTCTTTGATTTTTATAAGAAGCCCCTGATAGCCCACGTTCTGCAGGAATGAGTGTTAATTCTAATGTCCTGAAGAAATGCCAGTTTAGGCAGTTCCATTCAAAATCTTCACTGATAAACAAGTCAACCCTAACACCCCTCAGCCCTGGGTATACTCACACCCTCCTTCTTTCTCTTTCCAACCCATCTTGGAAGCCCCCAGTGCTCCATATGCCTGTTTGCACAGGCTATTCCTCAGCCAGGAGCACGTCCCCCACCTTCACATCACAGCTGTGCACATGCCCATGTAGCCACCGTGAGTGCTCTTAAGTCTTAGACTTCTGGTTTTTCAAATAGTCTTCCAAAAACCCACGTCCATCATTGGAGAAATAGGATATTCTGTGTTGCCAAATGTCCGGGCACACTGAGAGATGGTACAAATTAGATGCTTCACTGATTTTATGCACGTTAATCTTTGAAGATGCCTACTTTTATTTATTTATTTAATTTTTTTAGAGACAGGGTCTCACTCTGTCACCAAGGCTGGAAGACAGTGGCATAATGATAGCTCACTGCAGCCTCAACTTCCTGGGCTCAAGTGATGTACCCACCGCAGCCTCCTGAGTAGCTGGGACTACAGGCACGTGCCATGATGCCTGGATAATTTTTTTTTTTTTTGAGACAGAGTCTCGCTCTGTCGCCCAGGCTGGAGTGCAGTGGCACGATCTCGGCTCACTGCAAGCTCCACTTCCTGGGTTCACGCCATTCTCCTGCCTCAGCCTCCCGAGTAGCTGGGACTACAGGCGCCTGCCACTACGCTCGGCTAATTTTTTGTATTTTTTTAGTAGAGATGCTGTTTCACCATGTTAGCCAGGATGGTCTCGGTCTCCTGACCTCGTGATCCACCCGCCTTGGCCTCCCAAAGTGCTGGGATTACAGGCGTGAGCCACCACACCCGGCCTGGATAATTTTTATCTTTTTTGTTTTTTGTAGAGATGGAGTCTCCCTATGCTGCCCAGGCTGGTCTCACACTCCTGGGCTCAAATTATGCTCCCAAAGTGCTGGGATTACAGATGCTAGCCACTGCACTCAGCCTGAAAATGCCCACTTTTATACTGAGCATTTGGCAACTCCCAAACTCTGCTCAACATAATTTAATCTTTAGAGATGAAAAAATTACTTTTTAATCTTCCAAAGCTTTGCTGTCCTTATTATGGATAACCATTATCATTATTTCTGAGAATTCCTAAATGGGCATTTCTAATAGTTAGAATTCAGGGTAAACCAGCTTCTACTTCATTGAGCTTAAAGCTCTGGAAAGCATCTAAGAATTATATCTGTCCCACACAAAACCAGCTGGGGAAGCTGGGTAGAGAGAAGTTCAGAGCTGTGGGTTCCAGTCTTGGCTCTCTGTAACTTGCTCTATGTCTTGGGTAAGCTGCTTCTCCTCTCTGAGTTTGGGGTTCCCATTCGCACAGCAAGGGTGTTATCCCTAGGTCCCAAGGCCCTTCTGGCCTTAGTCTGTATCTCTTGAGGGGTAGGGGATTGGCCTTCATGGTTCCATGGAATGACACTTGGTCTTTGTTCTAGTTTAACGGGTTAGAGGGCAGTTAGAACTGCCCTTGCTGCCAGTGATCCAGTTCGAAATACGTTTTTATTTGCTTTGCACAGAACAAATTCCCCAGGGCAGCCATCCAAGCAGAGCGGGGTTGGTGGTAATGGAGAAAGCCTGAGATGAGGACATAGTTTCCAGGACCAAAAAAACAATAGCCGAGTCTTCCTGATGCCAGGACAGTGAGAGGAAGAGTGGACAGCTCCTCTGGGCACCCACTTGTTTGGTCACAAGGCGCTAAGCAGCGGCCTTGCACGGTCACGTCTGGGAGGGCAGGGCTGGCTTCTTAGCAGCTGTCATTTCCAAAGTGGCACCTGGCAATGTCAGCCTGAGGGTCTGGCTGGGAAGGTGGCTTGTCCCTTCATCTGGCCTGCCTCAGTGGGCCCTTGTCACACTGATTTGAGGAAAGGCTTTGGAAGGTGGATGATGGGGCCTTCTGAGCAAAGCTAACCTGAATCCTCTGTTGGGTTTGCCTCATCTCCACACTCATACTTTTGCCTGTTTCTTCCTGACTGAATCTGGCCATACACTGGAGAAGTTGCAGCTGAAAGTGAGGAGAGACTGCTTGGTCTGGTAGCGATAGTCACAGTAGTAGCCAACCATTATTAAGTGCCCAAGTGTGCTGGGGCCTGTACCCAGGGCTGTTTCCTGGAGGTAGGATCTATTGTTTCATATGGAAAAAAATTAAATGACCTATTAAAGCCTCAGAGCTAGTAAGCTGAGGAGCCAGGATTCAAACTCAGGCCAGGTGGCTCCAGAGCTGGCCACTTTTGAACAGCAGTGTGTTTTTTAGGATGACAGTGACCCCTGGACAGCTCCTGGGTAGCTCTGGCACCCTCCTTTCCCCCTCCTTTTCCCCGCTCTTCCCCCTCCTCTCCCACTCCTCTTCTCCTCCTCTCCCCCTCCTTTCCCCCTCCTTTCTTGGAGCTTAATGCTGAGCCCTGGAGGGAAGCAGACCTCTACCTGGAGAAGTTTCTACTGTTTACACAGTACAACCTGTTTTGTTCCTTTTTTCCTGAGGGACTTGGGTATAAGAGTCTGGGCTGGGAGCCACAGGCAGTGGGCAGAGCCTCCGCCCATTAAGCAGCAACTCTAGGAACGCTCCCAGGTTGCCAACAGGGGTGATTGCTAAAAAGGTCACTTCTTGAACACACCTCAAGCCCTCTAAATCAGAATTTTAAGCAGCTGGGGGGAATATTTGGGAACCCATGGCATAGGAAATGGAGCACCCAGCTTCTGGGTGAAAGACCTGGGCATGTGTGCCAGGCAGCCCTCCACATAACCTCTCTGAACCTTTGCTCCCTCTGTAAAATGAGTATAATAATAATGCCTCATTCACACCACAGCTTTATTGGGAGGGGGAACTGTGATCATGTATGCAACAGCTTTTTAAAGAATTTTGGTGACTAGCTAACAATTACTGAACTTTCAACCTCAGGGCTTCACAAGAATTATCTCCATTTTTAAGACATCCAGGCAGCGAGGAAAGCTCAGGAATGGCCCAAGGTCCCACTGCTTAGAAGTAGTAGGACCCCAGGCTTGCTCTTGGCTCAGTCTAAATCAGAGCCAACCTCCCTTCCAAATACTGGCTTCACACAAGGGCAATGTCATGCTGATCCAGTACCTGTTGTGTAAGTCACACATTCTCGAGATCAGACAAAGCAGAGATGCTTAGCAGAGGCATAAGAACCATTCCACACACAGGAAAGCCTGAGAAACGTCTCCTGCTGATCAAAACCGCCACTTGGGGCATGCAGCACACTTTTTACCTGCAAGCATCCCAGCCTGCAGATAGGGAACCCCAGCGTGACTAGAATCTTCAGCCAAACCCCAGGCCACGTTGTGGGCAGTGGCTTCAACTGCTGCCTCCCATCCTATGTTTTGTCTGAAGCATTACCAGGGAGCATGGACACATTGAATCAGATCATGGCCGTGGAGCAGCCTCCCATGCTGATTCTGTTCCCTTTGCCCCCAGCTCCTCACAGCTGAGTCAACATCACCATCTGCAGACTTGCTCCACCCAGCCCTCAAGCCACACTGGCCTGAGAGGCCAACCTTCAGCTGCCTCAGCTCCCATCAAGAAGCTTAGTGACCTTCCTGAGAGCCCAGACACAGGCCACAGTGTACCCGTGGCCCAACTGGTACTCCTGGAAACTCCTGTTCTGCAAATGAGCTCTTGTGCCTACATCTCCAAGCATGAGTCTTTCTAGGTCTCCAGTTTGTGTAACATACATTATTTTATGCATAATATTAATTTCAAAAGAGTTGTTAATATTTAACTGAGGTCTGACTGGCTGTTGGGCATTGTGCTGTGTGCTCTACCTGCATTATCATAGGGAATCATCACAACTAGAACCATTATTATTCCCATATGACAGATAAGGAAATTGAGGTACAGAGATATTAAGTGATTAGCCAAGTCCAGCAAGTGACAGAGCTGGGAGTGAGCCAGGGCTCCTGGATGGTAAAGGCCATGCTACACTGACATGGCCACCATCCTGTGTCCCTGGTTTAATAATCTGCCCCCCCGTTCCAGATCCTGCCCACACCCCAGGGTCCTGCCTTCCTACAGACCAGGGTGTGGCATCCATGGACAGACCCTCTATTAGTCTGGGTTCTCCAGAGAAAGAGAACCAGTAGGATATATATATACATATTTATTCTAGGAATAAACTCACATGATTATGAGGAACAGGAAATCCTGCAATATGCCAATTGCAAGCTGGAGAACCAGGAAAGCCAGTGATGTGATTCAGACTGAGTCCGAAGGTCTGAGAACAAGAGAGGCTGCTGGTTTAAGTCCCAGAGTTTGAAGGCCCAAGAACCAGGCACTCTGATGTCCAAGGGCAGAGAAGATGGGTGTCCCAGATCAAGAAGAGAGAAAAAGAATTCACCCTTTCTCTGCCTTTTTGTTCTGTTCAGGCCCTCAAAGGATTGGATGCTGCCCACGCACATTGGTGAGGGTGATCTTCTTTACTCAGTCCATGGATTCAGATGTAAATCTCTTCTGGAAACAGCCTCACAGACACACAGAAATAATGTTTTGCCAGCTATCTGGTCACCCTTTAGTCCAGTCAAGTTGACACATAAAATGAACCATCGCAGACCCCGAGTCCATAAGTCCCATCTTCCTGGACTTGGTTCCTTCAGTACTCCACACGCAAGTCCTGCTGGTTCCTGTCCAGGCCTCGGCAAGTCCATTCACACCCCACCCTAGTCCATGTGACTCCTTAGCTAGGCCCACAGTATTTCCAAAGCCTCCCAACCTGGGTCCCAGCTTCCAAGTTTATCATGCTTCCATCTGTCCTGCTGGTGCCTGCCAAAGGTCTCTTTCTGAATGATTCCTGCTCCATCCTCAGCAAGGCTTTCCAGCCCCTCACTGCAAGGTACAGGGTCAGAGGCAGACTTTAGGCCTGGCATTTAAAGCCTCACAGACTGACCCACGTTCCCTTCAGCCTGGTCTCCTCACGTTGCCCTTGACCCCTTCAGTCTGTCCAGGTGAGCCTCCTTCCTGTGCCTCATAATATACCTAGTGATTTCTCACTTCCATTCACATCAATGCGTCAATGTGGACGTTGCTCATTCAGACACTTGAAAATATGAATTGAGCACCTACATGTGCTAAGGATCAATTCAGGTACTGTGAAAAATCAAAGAGCCCAGTGCCCATCCTGTGGAGCTTGCAGATGAGCTGAAGAAGCAGAGTTCAGTGTCTTTGAAGAACTAAAAGCCAGGATCATGGAGCGGGGTGAGCTAGGGGAGTGTAGCTTGAGAGGAAAGTTGAAGAAGTCGGCAGGGCTGGGTCATGCAGGTGCTTGTCAGCCACACAGAGGGCTCAGTGTGACTCTTGTTACAAATGGAAACCACTAGTAGGCTTTAAGCATAGGAGTGACATAATCTGATTTCACAAATACTGCTGTTATTCTTGAACCATTCCTGGGTTCCTGTCTGATCTCTCCACTTCCACTAGACACAGAGCTCCTGTCTCGCTCCTCTCTGCGTCTGTAGAGGCTGGACCACAGGGAAGGGAGCAGGACAGTTAGTGGGATGCCACAGTGTGGACGACTGACACCCCACAGTGGCCCTTATCAAGCTCCAGCCCCACTGGAGGAGCAGTGTGGGGGTGACACGTGGAAAAGAGTACAGGACAAACCTTGTGCAAGGACCATCCCTCTGCAGGGTTAACAAGCCCCCTGGAAAGAAAAGGTGATTGAAGAACACTGAGGAGGAGCTGGAAGTGTTGAGCAGGAGGTGGATGGAATCAAGGAGGTGGGACTGCACAGGGGGTGATGGCGCCACCCATAAGAAGCCATTGGAGGTGTGTGTTGTGCAACAGTAGGAGAACGGAGGACTGGTCTTAAGTATGACACATGATGGTTTGCTTGACTTGGGAACGGGGGCCTGAAGCCTGGTGCAGTGGGTTGCTGTTAGATGGCTGGGAAGTCCATGGGTGCCCACCAGACACACACCCTATTCAGAGCAGAGCAGTCCCAGGCAGCTCCTTATACTCCATGCCTGGGGTCATGTGACCCTGCAATTATAGCTATAAATAACCACTTGATCTGTGGCTCAGCACCTGACTCAAAGAGAGCCATCTATAGGCTCATGATGATGATGCCAGAGACCTGCGAGTGGCCTGACACAGAACTCAGAGCCAGAAAGAAATGATCGCCCCAGCTACGTGCTCTTGAGGAGTACCGCTGTGGGTTGAATGGGGAGGACCAAGGCGGCTGAGGTGGCTAAGCTTTGCTCCTGCTCCCCACATCCTGCTGGCAGCCCCCAAAAGTGCCTGAGTGCACCTCTTGTCCTTGCACCCTGAAAGCACCAAACAGAACAGAGCACACACTGCCACGAGCTGGGTGGGGGCCGGGTGCTGCTGGGCTGCACAGGCGGCTTCTCCAAGGCTTTCTGTGACAATTGCCCAGAGCGACCACACGGACCAAAATTTGCCCAGAAATTCTTCAGCGCAGTGAAAGCCTGCAAGCACTGGGTGGTAAATGACAGGACTGGAGACCACAGAAAGCCACAGGAAAATTCTTGTCAGGGCCAGCAGCAGACACGAGGAGTGAGAGGCTGTGAATGGCTGCCTGGTTGGGAGGGATGAGCAAAGCCACCGGAGCTCAGCGAGGTGGTATGGAAAGCAAACGGAGAAACGATGGAACAATGCCTGGAATCCCCACATGGTGGCTGGCAGGGAAAGGGGAACTGTGCAACCAGATGTTTGCTTTGCCTCCTGGACAGAAAGCACTCCACATGGAAACTTTCGTGGCCCTGTGAGGTCAGAATCCATGAGCAGCCCCTCTTCCACAGAGCAAGATGGTGGGGTCCGCCAGCCAGACCCTCTGTGACCACTTGTGAGGCCCACTGGCTAGAGGGCAGCACCACAGCACAGTCCTTGGCCTCTCCCTCTTGGGTTCCCACTTCTGGATTGGACAAAGTCGGACAACAAACCATTTTCTCTCCAAGTTTACAGACCTGGCTCTAGAAAGAGGACCCACGGGAAGGGAGCCATGGCCAACCGGAGGCCGGGAAATGTTTCCCTTGGTCTGCGGTGGGGGCTGATGTTGGCGTGCTTCCTTCTTGTCCACAACAGGATGGCACAAGTGAGAGCAAACAAAACAGAAGCCAATGCAAAGGGCTTCTTGGCCTTCCTCAGTGAGAACAACCCAGGAATCAAGGCCAGGAATAAGAGAGGGGCTCCTGGGTTTGAAGTGGGGACCAGGAGACCTTATGGGAAAGCTAGCTAGCTCCTGGGTCCTGCTAAGTCTGACAGTGACTTGTGTAAATAAAGGGCAGACAGTGTTGAGGGCTTCTGTGTATGGGGTTCATGTGTGTTTTGTCTACCCCAATCCTCTCCTTGACTTCAGCTGTCAGGACTAAGCACCTCTTCTCCCCAGTAGGCCACAGCACACCTCCTTGGAGACCCTTCTCCTTCTTCATACTGTATATGTCAGGTTGGCTGTGATAACAAGCAACCCCAAAGTCTCAGTGGCTCACAACTATGAGCATTTGTTTGTCACTGACATCACAGTGAGTGGGCAGGCCATTCTAATGGCAGCGGATAAAGCAAGCATGGTGGTGGTACAGCTTCTGCTGAGACCTAGCATATGTCATGTGCTTTCACATTCTGTGAGCTGAAGCATGCCATGCAATGAAGCCCAAAGTCAAAGGGGTGAGGATGTGTATCACTTTCAATGGGAACGAGGGCATGAATAATTGCAAACAGCAATACAGTCTACTTCCCAGCCAACAGACCTTTCTATAGCTCAGCAGTCTCCTCTGTGCAAGTTTGTTTTGTTCTTGTAAGAATCTTAGGAAATAATAGCAATATCAGCCAGGTGTGGTGACTCACTCCTGTAATCCCAGCACTTTGGGAGGCTGAGACGGGTGAATCACGAGATCAGGAGTTCGAGGCCAGCCTGGCCAACATGGTGAAACCCCGTCTCTACTAAAAATACAAAATTAGCCAGGCATGGTGGTGGGCGCCTGTAATCCCAGCTACTCAGGAGGCTGAGGCAGGAGAATCGCTTGAACCCAGGAGGCAGAGGTTGCAGTTAGCCGAGACTGTGCCATTGCATCCAGCCTGGGTGACACGGTGAGACTCTGTCTCACAAAAAAAAAAAAAAAAATAGCAATATCAATGGTAATTAATATTTACTAGCCCCTTTCTTTATGCCAGGTGTGGTTCTGAGTGTTTTGTAGGCATTATTTGAGTAACCCTTGCAGCCCGATGAGGTAGAGACCACTGGTATCCCCATTACACATACTAGAAAACAGACTGAACAGTTTAGTGACTTGACCAGCAGCTAAGGATCTAAAGGTATCAAAGGCTGCACTTATAACCCCAACATTAATCTGCTTTTTCCTATGAGGTAGGATTGGGCCTGGGGAGGGGTAGTGGCCCCATTTGGCAGATATACAAACTGAGGCTCAGAAAAGGGATTTGACTCATCCAAAGATATATATCTTAGAACAGAACTTAACACCCTGGTATCTAGGCCGAGTCCCTGAGTCCCTTTTCTATCCACCCACTGGCCTCCTGGAGCCCTCCTGCCTGCCCTGGCTTTCAAAGGCTTCAGGGCTGTCTTCTGCTCAGCAACTCCTCCCCAACTGCAGGCCTGGGGCACTGTCATCCAGCACTGCAGAGTCTCGCTCTTTGGTGCCCAGCATCGACCACTCCCCACGCTGGAGCCTGTTGTCATCCCAAATATGAGGGGTCAATGCATCCTCTGCACATGGAGCTATGCGGAGTGAGGCCCAGTGACTGCACTATCCCCATCTGTCTCCCTTTCCCTAAGAGGCAACCAGGGTGGTGAAGAAGCCCAGGCCCCGGAGTCAGACATACTCCTGCTCGAGTCCTGGCTCTACTACTGATGACTCGAGGCAGGTTCCTCGACTTCTCTAAACTTTTCTTTCCTTGGCTGTAACATAAGAGCCCCAGAGCTTGGAGTACAGCATCCACTGCAGAGTAACTGGCCTTCCTTTCATCCTTCAGTCCCTTCAATCCAAATCCTGCTGAATTTCTTTGGCCAAAACACTTTCATACCTCTTACTTGCCACCCCCATTTCCCCATCCCTCCTTCTTGGGTCTGAGTTACTTCCACTGCCCACTCAGACAGGTTCATGCCAAGGTGTGAAATCAGGTGGAGGCACATTCCCATCTGCACTCCAACAAAGAACCCAAATGGGCTGGCTCTCTGTGCTCGCCACATGGACACTCACACACACACATTCCCACACACATGCACACACATGCACACATATGCACACATGTATATACATTTATACATATATACACACATACACATGCACATATCCATGTAAACTAACATGTATACACACATGCATACACAAACATACATATGCATACACATACATACACCCATACAGGCACATATCCATGTAAACTCGCATGCATACACAAACATATACACATATGCGTACAAACACAGATACATGCACACACATACAGACATGCAAATACCATGCTCACATGTATATGCACATACTCATGTACACACAAACACATGCATGCATGAACACCAACACACACATACACATTCATATACATATACACAAACATGCATGTGCAAACATGCACATGAACACACACATATACAGGTACACACAAACGCATGCACATGCACACGTGTACATACATGTACACACCAACCCAAATATGCACATGTACATACACACAAACACACACATACTCACAAACACATATACAGTTGACCTTTGAATAACACGAACTTGCACTGGCGAGGGTCGACTTTTACACAAATTTTCTTCTGCCTCTGCCACTCCTGAGACTGCAAAACCAACCCCTCCTCTTCCTTCTCCTCCTCCTCCTCAGCCTACACAACATGAAGACAATGAGGATGAAGACCTTCATGATGATCCACTTCCACTTAATGAATAGTAAATATTTCCTCTCCTATAATTTTCTTAGTAACACTGTCTTTTCTCTAAAGTACTTTATTGTAAAAATACAGTATCTAATATGTGTTAACCAACTGTTTATGTCATTGATAAGACTTCCTGTCAACAGTAGGCTATTAGTACTTAAGTTTTGGGGGAATGATATCGTTTGGCTGTGTCCTCACTCAAATCTCACTTTGAATTATAATAATCTCCACGTGTTAAGGGCGGGGCCAGGTGGAGATAATTGAATCATGGGGCGGTTTCCTACATACTGTTCTCATGGTAATGAATAAGTCTCACAAGATCTAATGGTTTTATAAAGGAGAGTTCACCTGCAGAAGCTCTCTTGCCTGCCACCATGTAAGATGTGACTTTGCTCCTCCTTGCCTTCTGCCATGATTGTGAGGCCTCCCCAACCACGTGGAACGGTGAGTCAATTAAGCCTCTTTCCTTTATAAATTGCCCAGTCTTGGATATGTCTTAATTAGCAGCGTGAGAACAGACTAATACAGGGTGTCACAAGTTATATGTGGATATTCGAGTGCACGTGGGTCAGTGCTCCAACTTGTGTTGTCCAAGGGTCAACTCTATACATATACATATACTCATGCATATATGCACACACACCCACAAACATATACATATACACATACTTATGCACAAACACACACGCACCTTCCTTACTTGCACAGCTACAGGGTGGGGGGTGGCTTGTGGGACCTGTAGTGCTGTCTGTCCAGCCAGTTCCTCCTTGGAGGGTAGGTGCCCTTCTGAGGGCAGGGCCTTGTTCATTGCGGAGCCCCATGCTGCTCCCACAGCCAGAGGACCCCAGCATGAAGACTACCCTTGGTTGTCAAGTCCTACCCTCAGCTCCATCTTGCAGGTGAGGAAACTGAGGCCCAGAGAATAACAATAGGTAACACACAGTGCTCACAGTATGCCAGGCAGAGTTCTAAGCTCTTTGTATGTATGAACCCATTTAACACTTACGACCATACAATGAGGTACCTATTATTATCCTTGTTTTCCAAAGGAGGAAACTGAGGCATGGAGGGGTCATTGGTTAGTGGTCACACAGCCAGTGGTACAGTGGGATTTAGGCCCACTGGCTGCAGTGCCTCCGCTCCTGCCCACTGAGCTGTGCTGCTTATCTGCCACCAGCTATATGTGTGCGTTGGGCAGAGGGACTTAGAGCAGCAGAGCAAGAGCTCCATCCCAGCCCTCTGACCCTGGGCTGCCTCACTCTGCTGTCTCACCTGGCTGAGATGCCTGCTACCAGGCCACATGGTAGATAGGAGGGCCTGGGGTGCAGTGGGGTGCTCCACTCCATCCTCCCCCACTGCCCACAGCTCCTGAGAAGCAAGGCCAGCATCAGAGAAGCCAGAGCAGGCCGGACGCCTGGCGTCTTTGGCAGGCTCACTCACATTCTCCTGGCTGTGCTCTTTTGGACTTGATTTAAGTTTAATTCCAGCTGGAATGACTGGAAATGCCATGTATTTCACTAGGATTAATGCCTGGCTGGAAGAGCCAACTGCCTCCACCACAACCAGGTACCATGGACTTCAGAGGATTCTTAATCCCAAGGAAATCCTCTGTGACTCAGCTCCAGTGGCTCCTCAGCCCCAGGAGGGCCAGCCCACTTTACAGATGCCCAGGCCCTAGCTTCTCCTTTGGTGGGGTAAGGAGAGAACAGAACAGGATGGATCAGCTTAGAGCAGCCCTGTTCTTCCCACCCCCACCCATAACAACAGCCCAGTCCACCCACCCCATCAGCAAGCTACAGGAAATGGGGAGCAGAAGGGAGGAGCGGAGCAGGGCAGCTCAGTGCCCAGGGACAGGCCAGAGTGCCGTGCAGTGGTTAGGGGCACAGCTCCCAGCTGCTCCACACTTGGAGTTGCTTGGCCTTGGTTGTGTCCTGAAACATCCCCGTGCCTTGCTTTTTTGCCTTTAAAATAGGAATGATGACCACCTCCTACAGGGTTGGTGTGAAGATTAAGTGAGACAAGGTTTCCAAACACAGCACAGTGCCTGGCACATGGGAAGCTCCACGTCAGTATTGGGTATTAATGTGAAATGTTAGGCTTGTCACACCTGCCAAGCCATGGACATTTTTTTGAGAACAGAACCCAAAGTGACACTCTCCTCCCCAAGGCCACTGAGCTTGTTTTCCCTCCTGCCTGTAGGCTCCAGCCTCGCCAAGGTCTCAGCCAACTATGCTAGAGGAAGAACAGCTAGCAGTGGGCTCAGCCCCACCATGGGGCTCCCAGCTTCACTCTGCACTAACCCCCCGCTGCTCCCCAGGACCAGGCGTCTGGAACCGATGCCTTCACCCCACCACCTCGGTTTGCTCCGTTTTCTCTATCCCAGTTCCTATGCTGGTTCTGACCAGGCACCCTCCACCCTGCTGATACCGCAGGTGCCCTCTCAGGTAGAACCCTGCTGTAAGCTCCACTTGGTGATCAGTGAGCAAGGAGGTTGCTTGCCTGTCCTTCCCTCTGCCTGTCCCCGCAACTGGGGGCCTGCCACCCACAGATAGGTCCCAACCTGTCCCCTGAGTATCAACTGCCTCCTGGGATCCCTGCCCTGCACCTCACCTCTCCAGGCCTTGTTGTGTGACTGAGAAAGTCGCGTGGTGACTTGCACCCAGAGAGGCAGGGGAGTTTGAGGAAAAGAGAAGGGCCCAGGAAAAGAATGGCATGAAGCAGAACTCGGAAGAATGCAGACAAGACATAGCTTGAGGCTGCAAAACAGCCAGTGTACAGTTGCCCACGTTGTTCTCTGAGATGAGCACCCTGCTTCCCAAAGCTGCTCTTGAACTCTAGCAACTCAGCAAGGACATTATCAGTGATTACAGCTCTGGACCCTTCATTCTCCAGTCTTCCCTGTCCCTGCAGAAGCTGTTTCCCATAAGTAAAATGCCTGCCAACCTTCCCTAATACACATCATGAATGAATTCCTATTTATCCTTCAAAACTCAGCTCAAATGTCACCTCCTCCAGGAGGCTTTCCCTGAACGCTCCCTCCACAGTTAATCACACCCTCTTGTGGTGTCTCACAGTGCCCTCTGCATCTCTGTTCTCTATGTTGTGCCCTATTGGCTCGTATGTCATCTTCCCTTGCTCTTCTCAGGTCAGGGAGTGAGTCTTGTCCATCTCCACATCTCCAGCTCCTGTCACAGAGGCTGGCACTGGGTGGAGGCTCAGCTAAAATATGCTGAAATGTGTGACACCTTTTGACCCATCTTTCGTGGCCTCCTAGCAAAGCAAATGTATTCCCAGCCCAAGCCCTCTGTGGGGCTGGACATCTTAGATGGGCATCAAGACAAGGTTTCAAGCATCACACGGCCTCATGGAAGAACCAGGACATGCCCACTCTTGAGAAGGGGTGAGTCAAAAGGAAGCATGGAGGCAGCAGTGCACTGGGTGCGTTCAGGAAGGATTCAAGAAGTCCCAAGCTGGCCACTGTGGAGAGGAAAGAGCAGATGCATGTGTGTGCATGAGTGAGTGTGTCTGTGCATGTGTCCACCTGTGTGTTTGTGTGTGTGTGTGTGCAGATCATGGAGGGGGCACAGATTCCAGTTCCATGTTCTGAGTGGGCCTAGGTATCAATCTCACAACCTTCTGCAGGATTGAGCACCACTGGTGTGGATAGAGCTTATTGGTAGCTGGCTCTCCAACTATGCCGAAAGCCCATGGAGGGTGGGGATTGGGCCATCTCTGCATCCCCAGGGTCTCCCTACGTGCCTGGCACTGAAGAGTGCTTGGTAAATGGTGGGTGGATTTAAATGGTGTTGATTCAAACTGAATCACGCTGACAGGATTTGACCTGTCTGTGCCAGTGGGAGTCCCCCAGGCTGGAGGAGCAGGGTCCAGCAAAGCTTGCTGTGGCTTTGTGCTATGATAACCCTGTCTCCAGGCTCAAATGTTCCTGGGTGATGTGTAAGGTGGGACAGTTGAGGCAAATACAGTTGCTGATGCTAGACTCACCTTCCTTGCCAGTCATGTCCAGCTGCACACCCTCCAGGATGCTAAGTTCCCCCAACTCTGCCCTCACACCACAGGCCCCAGCCTGGGCCTGTATTCAGTGGCCCTAAGCCTGGGGACTGTCAGCCTCATCTGTCTTCAGGGACAAAGAAAGAGGATAGAAAAAGACAGCCAGGCAACTCAGGAGATCACACGAGGTTGGCTGGCAGAGGCCTTAAATGCCTGTGACTGTGTCTGTCACTGGAGGTGCAGGCGGCACCACTTTGGAAATTCTGGAGAACAGAGTTGTGAGGAAAAGATAGACTTTGAGAGAAGAGGAAATCCCACGTTTCTTGAGCAAATGCCATGTTTTAGGCACTGAGCCAGCACTTCACCTCTGTCACTGATGCATATTCCCAGCAATCTGCAAGGGGCACTGGGTCTTCATTTTACAAATGCGCAAACCGAGTCACAGAGCAACTGAGTCATTGCCCAGAGCTGGTGTGGCAGAACTGAGGTTCAGACCAAGTCTCTTCTGATCCCACAGTCAGCGACCTCAGAGGCAGAGTAAGGAAGGGGCGCTGTGAGGAAAGATGCTCCCTAGAGGAGCTGGGAGGCACAGGGTGAGTGGGCCCAGTGGCTGCAAAAGGGTTGTTTTGGCCAGAAGCCGAGGGCTGAGCCTGGGGCTCTGGGCAGAGAAGGCCATGTTTCCCCCAGGCTGAGGGACAGTAAACCTGTTAGGGGCCTAGGGACAGAAGAGGTCCCAGCAGAGGATTCGAGCCAGGGGCTGGAAGAGAGCACAAAACAGAGAGGAGCTGGGAGACTTCACTTTCAAGCTGAGTGCAGTGAGCCCCCATACCTGCAGACCTCCGCTGCAGGGCCACAGACACAGCCTCTCAGGTCTTTGCAGGGTGCCATGTTTCACAACACCTACAGGTGTTCATACATGACCATGTTCCATTGCAAAGGCAGCCTTGTAAAGCTGTCAGGGCGCATGAGGAAACTAAACCCAGGAAAAGTTAAGTGATTGTTCAAGGTCCCACAGAAAGTAGATGGCAAACTCAAGGCATAAGCAGGCCCATCAAAGGACACGATCCTTTCCCTTGCCCACTTGTATCGATGGTCTGTGTGCCTCCAGAAGGCCTGAATTACCAGGCTGGGTTGCCCTGGATGGGAGGTGGGAGGGTTAAACCAGGTCAAGGATGTCAGGATCTCAGCCTTTGGAGGAATAATATCACCCTTCCCCACGCTCCCTAGGGCTAAGGGCTGAATTGGCCAAAGCAAATGGTCCTGAGTTCAGTTAATGGCCATTTGGTTTGAGGGCTGCATTTCATTTTAGCACTGGGGATGGCAAACATGCAGAGTGAAAATCATCCATCCGTCCGTCCACCTATCCTCCATCCATCCATCCATCTGTCCATCATCTACCCATCCATCCATCATCTACCCATCCTTTCTTCACTCCATCCAACCATCCATCCATCCATCCACTCATCCTTCCTTCCTTCCTTCCGTTAATCCAACCATCTATCCATCCATTCATCTAACAAACTGAGCCTTGCTCAGAGCTTGGCACTGGGGAACTCTGGGAGGCAAAAGCCAGAGCACCTTGAACCTCTGCAACCCAGTCAGGGAAGTAGATATCAATTGCGTAGCACGATACAAGCAACATTGCAGCAACAAAAAATGCTTCGAAGAAGAAAGACGTGGCCTTCTAAAATGAGGATTTGACCTAGTCGAGGAGGTCTGAGGGAAGAGTAGGTAATGAGCAGAGGAGTGGAAGGATCACTAGGAGGGAACAGCATCTACCAAGGCTCCTGGGGTGTGCAGCAGCAGGTCAATGACAGCGACAGAGGCATGTGAGTGTGGGTGGGCTGAGAGAATGGGAAGGAGTGGGGAGCACAGAAAGCCAGAGCCTGGGAGGCCAGACCAGGCAGGGCCCTGGGCCTCACTCTTCCGAGGACAATGGAGAGGAAAGTTGTTGAGGGCTTTGAGTAGAGGGTTAGGAGCTCAGGCTTACATTTCCAAGAGGTCCCGCCCCTGGGTGATTCAGTGCTGAGAGCCAGCTGGCTCCAAGCTCTTCCAGCGCCACCCTGTTCAGCTGCTGAGAAGCTGGCACTACCCACAGGGGGCTTGGTGTCCTGCTGCCTGGGTCTCCAAACCATGGGCCTGGAGGGGCCTCATTGCGCGCGCGCGCACACACACACACACACACACACACACACACACACACACACACACACGGTCCAGCTGCAGTCACTCAGGGTAAATAGAATTTGTAGGGCTTGGGGACTTCCCTGCATGTGCAGGTGAGCTGAGGCCCCAGTATATTCCAGTAACCTGGAAACAGGGTGCAATCCTAGGTAGAGAGCTTGGCGGAAGTGCTTTCCCATTTCTTGCTGCAGCCCTCCTGGTCCTGGCCTGGTTGTTGGGCTAAGCCAGGAATCCACTAGTCTCTTAAAGGGCCAGCTCTCAGATTTTACTGTCTGAAAGCTTCCTATACCATCTCTGTGATATTGGAGTGCCCAGGATCTCTGTGACCACAGCAAACACACATTGGGTGGGCCCACACTGGCCTCCCAGCAACTCTGAAGATGGTAGGCAGAGGTCCCATCCCTGCCCCATGATTCAGAGGTGAGGACTTAGACTCTAGAGATTTGAATGACCACTGCTCAAGGCCTCAGCCTCAGCCAGGCACAGAGCTGAGCCCCAAAAATCCCAGACTCCACAGGCCACAAGGGAGATGATTGGACAACAGGGGCCTTTCCCCACCTTGCCCATCACTGTTGTAGGACATTTTGCTGTTGGGAAGGAGGAAGGGGGAAAAGGTAGCCCCAGATTCTTAGCAGGAGAATGACACTCTCCCCTCTATTCTGCACAATTAGACCTGAACAGCTTTTTGGAAACCTAGAAACCAGTGCCAACATCAGCTCAGGGAGAATCAGACCATCCCAGAAGGGCTGCCACACCAGGACAGTACCTGTGCTCCAGTTACCCATGGAGAGGCCAAGGGCAGATGGAGTCTCTGACTGTAGGGCTCCAGGGACAATTTCTTTACATAGCAACCCTTCTGTGGGCTCCAGGTTTTGTAGACTTTTTCACCACTGACTGCCAGGGAAGCCACGGCTCTGGGAGGCCACAAATGGAAGCAATGAGGGGCACCAAGAGTTGAAGGACAGACTAAAGTGAGCTTCCAGAGGGGAAAGGCTAAGGCAGCTGGAACTCTGGCTGTTATTAGACACACGTGGTCCTCCCTACCAGCACTGCCATGGCAGAAGGTAAGGGGGCCCTGAGTAACCATCTGTGCCTGTCTAATGAGGTGTCACTACCTCTCAGCAAGAACCTGGGGACTCCCATCAGCACCAGTCTGTCTTTCTTAATGTCCCACTCCCTTCTTAAGCATGAAGGTTCCCTGCCAAGACTCCAAACATGGAGCAAACGGGATGGATGAGGACAAGAGGAGGTGAAGGCCCTGGGACAGCTGCAGGCAAGAAGAGGGCCAAGGAGGCAGATGGGAGATCATGCTGGGGCAGGGCCTGTCCCAGGTGGGTGCCAGATGAATGGGGGCAAAGAGAGGAACAGCTCTCCAGTGGTCTCCAGGGATGGGGGCTGCTATGATGGACAAGCCTAACCTGCGACCACACTGTGCCCATGGAGGGTGGCCTGGGAAGACATAAACAGAGGCCCCACAGCCATACATCCACTGACCACTTGGGGGAAGGGGCCCATTCCAGGCCAGAGAGGCTCTCACTGGATGACGATTGACTGAGGTGAATGAGGTTCTGGGCCGGTGTGAGCCATTACCAGGTGTTCAGAAGACTCTGATCTAGCCCTGCCTCCACTCTGCTCTATCCCCACTCCTCCCCATCTCTGAGCTTCTCTCCAGAGCAATTAGGACTACCTCCCACCCCATTCCAACCCTAATCTGGCCTCAAATTGAAAGTCCCTTCCTGGGAGTCAAAATCGCCCGGTCATCTTCTTCCTCCTGCAGCTCTACTGGAATGGAGCTGGGACACCGTCCTCTGGGTGCCCCCCAACAGGGCAAGAGGCCAAGGAGGCTTGGTGTTGACCTTTGCTGTCTCAGACCAGCTGGGTGACGAGGGATTCTGCACACCCTCTCCTCTAACCACAGAACGGTGGGTGTAACACTCAACAGGTGTCCCAGAAAACTTCTTTTCCCAGAGCTCCAGAGAAAACATTTCTCTAGAAGAGGAACCTGAACTGGCAGGACCAGGAGCCCAAGCTTCCCAGGCTGGGCACAGATGCCCTCCCTGGTGGTTAATCTCCCATGCAGGGCCTGGGCGTAGCCCAGCTCTCCCCAACAGGGGCTCCACCCACCCCCACCCTGCCTTGACCGGGTCCCTGGGGGATGCAGGTCCTCAAAGAGGGCAAAGCTTACTGGCTGCCATGAAGCTGGGAAGGGGGAGGATGGGATGGCACTACCTTCCCCAGAATGCCAGCTTCCAGCTCACTCTCTTATTGGTGATTTCCACCCTGCTCTGCGCTCCTGACCTCACATCCCTGGATTGTCAGAACACAGCCTGCCCTGTGTCCAGACAGGAGGAGAGTGCACATCGAGGGCACTGGGAATGCTCTTCCAAACTCTCGTCCAGCTGTCTGCCCATATTTCCGCTAGAGTCTTCCTCTATATCAAGGGTCCCCATGTGGGGTGACCATGACTCCATTTCCAGTGGCCTGTGGCTGCAAGGCTCACGTGCTTGCAAGTGTGTGTGTGTGTGTGTATCTCTGTGTGTGTGTGTGTGTGTGTACAGAGAGACCTCTGACCTGGGTATCAGGCTACTCAGGTTTCTTGGCAGTCACCCCCAAGGCCCCAGTATCTCTGTGGGAGTCTAGGGAAGGGGGAAGCCTCTCTAAGGCCTTGCTGGTGGAAGCCTGGAAGAAAAGGAAATCTTTTCCTTCCTAGGCACAAATCAGAAGCTAGGTGAGAAAATGGAAAACTGCCTTCATTCCCATCCTACCCCTTACCTTTACCCTCCCCCAGGTTCCCAGCCCTAGCGAGCAGATGCAAGCCCCTGGGCAGATGGCTTGGGGGCAGGTTCTCAAGGTCTAAGAACCTGGGAATGGCCTGAGGCCTCCCTACGGCAGGCTCAGAGAAGTCCCCCCAGTACATGGACTAGTTTATATTTATTTATGTCAGTGTTTCCCAAATTTATTATCTCTAGGATGCTTTTTGATGTTTAGCACCTATTAGCCTAGGGCACTAGCTGCCACAGAACTCACAAGCAATCATTGTGCCAGAAAAATTTCCAACCTAGAAATGTCCTGTGTAGGGGATTCTCATTTCCCCACTTGGGGTCAAATGATCAAGGGCTTTGCATGCATACCTGCAGGGCTCTCACAGAATCAAAGTGCTTTTTTAAAGAGGTGTTTTTGGCTGTGCATCTGTAAAGCAGCTTTTGTGTTCCCTTATTCAACAAATATTTATTGAGCTCTTTTATTACCTTTCCCTTTGTTAAATAATTGCTTCCTATGTACTTTTCAGCTGGGTCCACAGGAAGCAAGCATTTCCCAGCAGGACCAATACATTCCCGAGCCTTGGGTCCTGGTCCCTTTACTTACTGTCCCCTTCACAAAGTTGGAGGAAAGTTCCAAATAAGTTGCCTTGGCCAAACACAGGGCCCAGCAAGACAAAGGCCCAGGCTGGTGAGAGTTGGGTGTGTGTGGGAAGGGAGGACAGACAGGCGGGAAAGCTGCAGGAGAAGGAGGATGGGGCTTAAGAGGCAGCCGAGGGAGCACCCTGTGATAGGAGGCCTGTGAGGAGGGAGGCAATCCTGCGGGGCATGGTGGGCCTGGCCATGACAGGAAACTCCACAGGGGCCCCGAAGGCTGATGGAGCTGGGTCCTAGCAAAGGCTGAGGGAGGAGAGGAGGGTGAATGGTTCTTTCTCTCTACTGGGCAGGGAGCTCCCAAGCTCAGTTCAGGTGTGAGCACCCTCCCGAGCAGAGGGCTAAGGAAGCAGAGGTGGTCAGGGAGGAACGGTGGAAGGGAAGGGTCCATGGGACATGACAGATACCAGTGGCTGCAGCGGCAGCAGGTGTTGAGGGTCCAAGCTGAGCCACACAGCAGCCACCAGCCTACAGAGGCTCCCAGAACCCCTTGCTGGTGACATCAGGCCTAAGCACCCTTTTACGTGGAATTGATAATGCCTGGCAGAGGTGGGCCTAACACAGTTCTCAAAAGATGAATCACCCAGGAACTGGTTGGAAATGCAGATTCCTGGGTACTACCTCAGACCTACTGAATTAGAAATCCAGGGGTGGGGCCCAGGCATCTGTGTTTTTCCAAGACCTCCAGGGGATTCCCGTGCACACTCAAGTTTAAAAACGACGAAACTGATGGAATCCCTGACATGACAACCCCTGCCCTAGCATCCTACCGAGGTCTGGGATCAGGGCAGGCTGAGGCCGTAAGGCTGGGCCTCTGAGAGCCAGACTGAGCAGAACTCAAGGCCACGGGAAGCTGGAGTAGTTTGCCTCTGTGAGTCACGCCCTCCCTGAAGGGAAACCCCACAGATGAAAGGAAGCTGTCCTGCTGGGTTTTGCAGCCTGGCTTCTTGGACCTGGATGGTGGAAGCAGTGCCTCATCCCCTCCACAGACCCACAGGCCCACAGCTGGCTGGGGCCTGGGGCAAAGCCGCACGCAGGGACATCCTTCCTAACTCCAGAAAATGGAATGCCTTATTCAAATGTCTGACAGTCCTACAGCACCTGCCACCATTCATTCATCTAACATTTGTCCCCTACCAACCATGCATCAATTAGTGTTAGACCCTGGATACACCACAGGTAATGAAGCAGTAGGGCCCCAGCTCTCATAGTGTAGTGTGGACTAGTGAAAAAAATGGTGCTGAGCTCTTTATTTATTTGTTTAGAGTCCGGGTCTCGCTCTGTCACCCAGGCTGGAGTGCAGTGGCAAGAAAAAGGCTTACTGTAGCCTCAACTTCCTGGGCTCAAGGGATCCTCCCGCCTCAGTCTCCCAAGTAGTTGGGACCACAGGCATGTGCCACCACATCTGGCTAATACACATATATTTTGTAGAGATGAGGTCTCACCATGTTGCCCAGGTTGGTCTTGAACCCCTGAACTCAAGTGATCGTCTCACCTCAGCCTCCCGAAGTGCTGGGGTTACAGGTGTGAGCCACTGCACCTGGCCTGAGCTCTTTATTGACCTATTTATTCATTTTTCTATCCATGCACATACCTGGCCTTTCCTCTCTCCATCCATCTTTTGGAGCATATGCTGTGCTCCCACCACACCGGGCTAGCACAGTGCTTTCTGCCATGCAGGGCCCAGGTCTCAGTGTTGCACATTGCTGCACCAGCAAAACAGGAAGTGAACATGACCAGCACACCACACCCCCCACAGCCCTGCGCAGGAGGGAGGAGAGCAGATGGGCATGGTTAGGCAGAAGCCAGAGGATCTTGGTGGCCACACTGATTCTTAGTCCTGGTCACTCTTGGTAGCACGGGGAAGAGGTACAAGGAAGAGGTACAAGGAATGTACCCTTTGCCGGATGCCAAGGAAAGGGATAAAAGCCACTTGCCATCTGCGTTTTATACTTTGTCTCATCCAGTGGACAACAGCACTTCATCAGATTGCCTCAGGTGCTGCCAAAGCTTCTTTCCAGTGCTGTTCTCAGCAGTGTTTACCAGGAACTCAAGACTGGTTGGCCTAGAGTATCTGTTGCCTATCAGCCAGACAGTAGAGCAGTGTAGTACGGTGGGTGGGTATGTGGCCCGTAGAGTCAGACTGACTAGAATCGGTCCGGATCCACCACCTGTTTACTAACTGCGTGACCTCAGACAAGCCACTTTCTGCATCTTATATAGTTTCCTCATTCCCACTATTAAAATGAGCATACTAATAAAGTCCACCTCCTAAGATTAATACCAGGATTACACTAATAAATATGCATAATTTATTAAGTAAATAATAAATGTTAGAATTTATCATTACTGGCAGGTTTGATGACAAGTCTTATATTTCTTACGTACAGGCTTGGCATTTTCATGTGGCAGATGACACCTCAGATCTCAGCACAGAGTCTCTGGCTTGAGACTTCCTGCAGGACTAACTCCCCCTTGACTTGTCTAACTGGCCAAGGAGCATCCATGGGAAGTTACCTGTGGATGTTCAGAGATCCACAGAATAGGCCCACAGAATTGACTATTCCAGATTACTTGCTACTGTACGTTTTAACAAGTTGAGGTTGGATAAGATCAGTCTTTGTGAGATCATCTGAACATATGAGAGAAAAAACAGAGCTAAGCCTGGTTTCCAATCCTCCTGCACGGTCATCTCCTGTATACCTCTCGTGGGAGTGTCGGGGCCTCAGCCTTTCTCTTCTGGAAAGCTGCTTGGCAGCACACAGGCAGCAGTAAATGAGTTCATGCCCTTTGACCTAGTAACTCCACTTCTAGGAATCTACCTCAAGGAAATAGGCATAGAGGTGCACAGAATTTTATGAGTTTGTCCACCGTAGCACTGTTTGTGTCTTAACATAGGAACAAATGTCAAATACAAGGGAAATGGTTAAAGGAGTTACATGTCTATGACAGAGTACTATATAGCCTTTAATAATCTCTTCAAAGACCAACAATGAACATAAAGTTTAATGGAAAGAAATCAGGCTATAAACCTACTAGCTTCTGTGCCTCCACTTGCTCCTCTGTGAAAGGGAGTGACCTCACCTCACTCAGAGGGTTGCTGTGAGCTTTACTGAGGCTGCCACTTGCAGTTGCAGGTCCTGTGTCCAGTGGAGCGCAGGTCACCAGGTAAGCACTCAATAAACCGGTTATATCAGTCCCCAGCAGCTCCCATGAAATAAGAACAAACCTTCCCACGTTAACAAGAAGGAACGTAAAGCTCAGAGTAGCTGATCAGGGGCCACACAGGTGGAAACAATGCTGTTCCAGCCTCAGAAAAAGTGGGTGTGGAGTGACTCTCCCAGACCACACCTCTCCCATCGTCACTGGCTAGAACGATACACCACACGGCAGAGCACCTGTCAGTTCTCAGAGCAGGTTCTCAGACGGTGTTGCCACAAACTCTCAGCAACCCAGTGACCCAGGCTGGGCAGATATTATTCACAGTGCCCAGCCTGACGGAAATGCATTCAAATCCACACACCACCACTTAGCAGCTGTGCGAGCCAAGGCAACTTGCCCTCACAGCACCTCAGATTCCATTTGTTGCTTTAACCTCTTCTTGGAGATGCTGCAAGAAGCAGGTATGAAGTGTTCTTTCAACTGCACAATGCAAAGTAGTGTTATGGGCCATGTTTTTCAGATAAGGAAACGAAGGCTTGAAGATGCTGGGAAGAAAGCTTTCTTAAGGTCCTGGGATTAGCCAGAGACAAAGTTGGGAAGGACCCAGCTCTTCCAAAGTCTTAATTTTTCTTTTCTTTTCTAAATAGCTTTATAAAATATAATTCACATTCCATAAAATTCACCCCTTCAAAGTACACAGTTTAGTTGTCTTTAGTATTATTTAGTATTTAGTAATTCACAGACTTGTGCAACCATCAGTGCGATGTAATTATAGAACATCTTTATACCCCAAAAGAAACCAGATGCCCATTAGCAGTCATTTCCATTTCCTCCCAATTCCTTCCACCCCAGGCAGCCATGAATCTTTCTATCCTTATAGATTTACTTAATCTGGACATTTCCTATAAATGGAATTAGACTATGTGATCTTTTGTGATCATTTAGCATTGTTTTCAAAGTTTGTTCAGGTTAGCATGAATCAGTGCTTCATTCTTTTTTATGGTTGAATAATATCCATTGTATAGATATTTTGCTATCTGTTCATCGGTTGATGGACATTTTGGTTGTATCTACCTCTTGACTATTATGAATAATGCTGTTATGAACATTCATAGACAAGTTTTGTACAGACATATGTTTTCAATTTTCTTGGCCATATACCCAGGAGTGGAAATGCTGGGTAATCTCTCTTTACTGTAATATTTCTCAGAACTTTTGACATGTTAATGTGCTTTTTCCAAACTTATTTGGCTGGGAAAATCTTTTTCCAAAAGAGCATCTCAGAAGACTTTGGAAAAGTCTGATTTAGTCCAACTCCCTCCCTTAGGGGAAACGGAAGCCCAGAAAGGTTCAGCAACCTGCCAAGATCACACAAGCAGGTGAGACGGGAAGCCATCACAGCACAGGAAGCCAGGAGAAGCTTGTGACTATTTGCACGGGAGAGAACTTCCTAAACATAAAGGATACTGAAGAAGTCATAAAAGAAAAGGAAGAGAAATATGGCTACATACACAAACATTTAAACTTCTGAACCTCAAGTGTATATAAACAAAATTAGCAAGCAAATGACAATGTTAAAATAGAACACCGCATCTGAGCCCTGGCTGCAAAGGAGAATCGTCCCAAGTCCAGTCTGATGCCCTGGCTTTACCTGCAGACATCGATTTAACTTTTAAAACCTCTCAGGTGATGCTGATGTGTATCTAGTAACAAAATTTAGAGGGTCTAATATTATATAACTAGCAGAGGAAGACATGTTAAACGATCAGTAAGAAAAGTCCTGTGCTCCAACAGTAAAATGGGCAAAAAAAAGCACATTTTTTGCCAGAGTTCTCCTTTATTAGGCAAGGCAAATGAAAAAAAGTTCAACTTCACTATTAACTAAGGAATGCAAATAATGCACATGGAATGCAAATAATGTACTTATTATTTATATATTATAATTTATATATCATTTATAATTATACATAATTTATATATTATATATTATAATGCAGGTATTATGCTGCACACAGCTGACATTTTCTTATTTAAGCCTCACAACAAGTCCATGATGTATTCCCATCCTACAGATGAGAAAACCGAAGCAGAGGAGCCAGCCCTAGGTCACACAGCCTGTAGGGGGCAGAGCCCCCAGAACTTAAGCCAAGACACCATGCTTACTTAATCTCCGCAATGGGGTGCCTTCTTACCACCAACACAGAAACGATCTCGAAAGCTAACTCTCCATGATGAGGAGGACACAGGGAACGGGGTGCTCTTGCCTGATACTGGTAGAATTTTTAATGGGTGCAATCTCTCTGGAAAACGACTTGGCAATATGTAGGACAAGTCTTAAAAGTGCTGATGTCCTTTGATCCAGGACTTCTATTGATCTATTCTGAGGATAAGTACAGATGAAGACATAGATTTATGTGCAGACATCTTCCCTTGAATGTGAAGGTGAAAGGATTTTTAAATTAATTTCCTTTCTAAACTAGCTTATGTTAAGTTCCTCAAGAGAAAGAGCTGTGAAGTGCTCTGGCCCAACATCACCTTCGATCCTCCAGATTCCTATATGGGCCAAGCAGCTGTTGGGCCTACCTGCTTCCCTGTTCCTGATGCAGCCCAGGCCAGGAATCGCTGCCTTAAGTCCAACCAAAATCTATTTCCTGGCCACTTCTAATCATTCTTTGGTTCTGGTTGGATATGGAACAAGCTTAATTCCTTTTCCTGGTGACTGATTTTCAACAAGTCAGCTATCAACATTTTGATTAGTTTCCTCTGAATAATACCATTTAGAAGGTATCCTTCTACAGCTTATTTAGCTCTAACCCCTACAACAACCAGGCAAAGTAGACTCCTAAACCAATTTCACAGGACAAGAAAACTGGGTTGGGGAGATCAGTAATTTGTCAAAGGTCACACACAGGTACATGGTGGAGGGATGTGGGAACCCAGGCCTGCCTGAGCTCAGGTTCTTTCTACACTTTCTTTCCCTGAAGAGGCTCCAGGTTTTCTGCCTTCTCTGCATGGACTGATGAATGCAGAGTGAAAGTGACTTCTCTTTCTCTTGTTCTGGGCTCCAATGTGGCCAAGGATCAAATAGGGCCAGTTTGGCTCCATGTCCCATTGAGCCCCCACACCCTGCACAGCTGCCAAGGGGGAGCCCTGGGCCTGCTGCCACCCAACCATGACTCGGGCATTGGGTTTTTATGTAGCTGGACCTGATTCATACTCGTCTTGTTAGAGTCACCATCACTCTGGCTAGACAAAACTTTTTGGACCCTGGTTCTGTCACCAACAAATGTTCTCCCTGCAGTCCAGCTTATTAGTCCATTGACAGGAACGTTTCTGAGAAGCAGTGCAGTGGTGCCAGGGACTCAGAACTCTGGAATCAGATTTGGGGGTGAATTCCAGCTCTGACACTTGGTAACATATGGCCTTGGGTAAAGGAGCGACGCACTTGGAATTTCAACTTTCTGTCCATAATGGAAATAGCGGCAGTACCTAGGACCCAAAGGTAGGGAGCATCATGAGCAGGGGGCAGTGACATGGCACAGGGAAGTGTAACAGGTGTCAGGCGGACAGTGCCAATATGAATGTGTGATCCCCACTGTGCGCTGAGACGGAAATTCTCAACTGCTTCTCTTCAATTCCATCTAAGTATGTCCCCTCCGGCCAGCCTGGGTCCCGTCCTCTAGGAGGGCATGGCTTTTGAGTGTCCCGGGCCATTGAAGAGGAGGCGTTGCCATGCAGGGTCAAGTCCGGAGGCGTGGAGGAACACCTCTCTTCCTGGAGGTCCAGGACACCACGGGATGCCAGGGGCTGTGCCAGTTCTTGGCACAGATTCCATGCACTATGAAGACTCCCCCCCAAGGGCAATGCCATGTCTATGGGAGGCTGTAGGTACCTGAGCAGAGCTGGACAGTGTCCTCCACACTGACTCCCTCTTCTTCCCAAAGACGCCTGGTCTGGGAGGCTCCACTGGACTCCATCTCTTCCTTCCACACTCCCCACCTCAACTTTACCCCCACCCTCAAGCCCACAAGGCAGGGTAATCCCAACCCCTCCTGGGGCAGAATAATTCCTTATCTGTTCTCTTTCCCACTGTGTATATGGACAAACAACAGCCTTAGTATCCAGAACAGTGTGTCACAAAACAGGTTCTCAGTAAATAGCTGTTGAATAAGTGAGTGTGATCAATTTGGATTAGCAAAAAATCTTTTTACCACTCAATGCTCCTTGATTTTATAAATTAAAAGCAATGACTTTCATAACTATTGCTCCTGAAAGGGAGACTTAAAAACCTCTTTTGGAAGTAAAAAATCTGCGTAATGACTTTCTTTCCTTTGTATTCCTGCTGTAACATCCCAATCCTCTTGAAAGCAATGGATGGCTCTGTCTGACCTTGGAGAAGGCACCATGCAAACATGGAAGCAGTGGGAGTGAAGGGAAAGCCCAAAACACAGCTCAATACGTACTCTTCCTGCACAACAGGTGTATGTTGTGTTAATATTACTATTTATCCAAGGATGCCAGGGGCAATGCCACCAACCCATCATTGAATACGTGAGGTGCCACCATCCAGTAGTTGTGAGTCCATCTCCAGCCCCGAGGTCCTGGAGGTCACAGTCCATGGCTTACACCTATCCCACTCCCCAGCACTTGGCCCAGGGGTGCTGTTTGGATCACTCCAGTTCATGGACATAAAATGTTTAATATTTTAAAAATATTATTCTTAAGTGACCCTTTGCCCATTGGATTCTGTGTCTGCTACCAGAGCGTGGTATCAAGGATTTGGCAGAGAAATGGAGGTCCCTGCTGCAGAGTCCTGTGGGAGAGTGAGGCAAGCCCTATGCTTGGAGGTATATGGCCTGCTTTCCAAGCTGTGTGACTTTTGGAAGTCACTTAATGTTCCCTGAGTCTCAGATTCTTCAGCTGCAATAATAGATTGAGTAACCAGGAACTTTTCTTAGCAAGGGGTCCTCCTGGCTTTGTCCTGATTCTGGTATTTCAGGGCCTGTGACAGGCCAGAGGGTAGGCAGATGGCACACACAGGCCTTCCCGGGGCTTCATCGCTTACTCTGCATGGGTCACATATGACCCAGATCTGGCAATCATATTCCACAGACAAAAAAATCAGACGACACTGTCTGGCCATGAGCCAGGACACTGGAAACCAGGTCTCAGGTGCCAAGCTTTTCCTGTGTCCATGAGCACTCCATGCAGCTCAACAGGATCCCCCAAAGGCAGTGTGGTCACTGCCCTTCCCCCTTCCCTGGCCTGCCTGAGCCCCAGCAGGGAGCACCTCTCTGCATTGACTGGACAGATGGCAGCTCCCCCCACTCCACCCCATGTTCCACTCTATCGCCAAGGTGATGCTGAGCACAGGTCTGTGAGAGCAGAAGGCAGGTGCCTGAGCTCTCGCAGGTCCATTAGTTGCTAAGTTGGAACTGCCTTGCAGCTGGGAGCCTGCGGGGCAAGCAGATACCCACGGGGCCTGGGGAGGGCATCTCCCTCGGAGCAGTCTTGGGGCCTCCATGTTTGCTGGCCTTGTTCTCTCCCCATGTGTGGTGGCTGCACCAGCTCACTTGGAGGTGCCCAGGGAACCCTGCAGGGGAAATGTGGGCAGGGAGACCCTCCCCACAGCTCCTGCAGCAGCTTCCAGAGGCAAGGAACATGGGCTTCTATAAAGCCATCCACTTTATAAAGCCAACACACTGCCCGTCCCCCAAACATCCCCTACTTGCCAGCCACAGGATCTAGAATTCACTTTTTGAGCATCTGCAATGTTCTGCAGACTCATCTAGGCTATAGAGAAACTGATTGTAGTCCCTCTAGCATGGAACTCACAGTCTAGCTGGGGCACTAACAAATAAAAAGAAAACATAATATGGAGCAACAAGAGCCATTTTAGGGGTATGTGTGGGCTTTTTGTTTTTCATCATGCCTGGGGTTGAACCAGGAAGGCTTCCTAGAGGAGGAGGCTGCCGCAGCCCTAGGTTGAGAAAAGCCAGGAGGCTGCGTCCAGTGGCTGTATCCTCACTTACTGAGGAGAATGCCCTCATTGATCAGTGATGTCGGTAACAGAAGAGAGGATTATGACAGCCCTTGTGCCGGATATCTGCTGACTCTGCCTTAGACCTTAGTATGAATGAGTACATCAGATTCTTTCTAAGGAAGTGACAAATGGAACTCATATTGTTTTGATTACAGCAAACATTTATTGATTATTTCTTAAATGTCAGGCATAACCATAGATGATTTCACAACAACCCTTGGAGGTAAGAACTATTTTTATCTCTATTTTCTAGATGAGGAAGTTGAAATCCAGAGAGGTTAAAGGACTTGCCCGTAACCACAGTGGTCAAATGTTAGTTCTGGAAGGAACTTCAGAAATCAACTGCTCTAAACCCTTCTTTGACAGATAAGGAAAGGAAGCCCTAGGAAGAGAGGCATTTTGCTCATGGCCATTCAGAGCTGGAAGGCTGATGGTGAGAGGAGAGAAAAGGTCAGCAGCTCAGCCGGTCTCAGGGAGGGGCCAGGGCTTGTCTGGGAGAATCAGGCATTTGTTTAGAGAGAGATGGTGAGTGAGTCTGTTGAAGCCCACGAATTGTCCCCAGTATCCATTCTCCCTTGTTTCATTTTAGTAATGAACATGGCTGAGTTTAAGATGGGCACACATCTGCCCCACTAGAAACTACATTTCCTAGGCTCCTTTGTGGGTGGGTGTGGTCATGTGACAAAGTGCAGGCTAAAAGACGTGAACAAAGACACCTCCGGGTCATCTTCCTAAAGACAAGTCATTGGCCTGCACACCTGGCTCCCCTTCCTGCTCTCTGGGAAATGGTGCCACTTGGGGAGCTGCCTTGGATACTTTTGGATGCAGAGATCCACTGCTGGGACCCACGGCTGATCCTTGAATAACCTCAAGGCGCAGAGCTGCCTACTCAAGAGAAAAGCACCTTTGAGGGTCTTACACGGGCAATTAAATTGGCCAATTGTACATCCAGCTCAGAAGTGATCTGTGCCACTGCTCCCCTGAGCTAGCTCCATGGACCCACCCAACCACAGGGGCAGAGAAATCTAATCCTGCCACATGCCTAGAAGGGGAAGGACTTTCGGTGAATAGCAATAATGATAATGGAGCTTACTCCACAGTTCTGCCTGGTGCCAGTCCAGTGAAGAGCTGCCCTCTCTTCCCTGAAGCCCAAAAGCCACAGTCCCTGGAGCCACAGCTCACCGCAATTGACCCATAGACAAGTCTGAAGGCAAAAGGCCTCTTAGATTCCCCTCATCACATACCCTGGCATGCTCCAGCAGCTCCAGGAAGAGTTCAAGGGTGTGTGCCCTGGCCTTTGCCTTCCTAGCACTCAACCAGGACCAGACACAGAGTAGAAGTTCAACCCCTAGGTGATGGATAGATGGGTGAATAGAAGGCGGGGTGGGCCAGTAAAGGAAATAATGGCAGAGTTCCTGGGGCCCGCACAAATCTCCCTCCTGAGGGAGGGCTTGCCTGAGGCATGGCCAGCTTCCTTACCTGGTCTAGATGCAGCTGAATTTGCAACTCTGGTTTCTTAGTCACATGTTTTGGATTATTCTAACTCAACGCTGCAAGCATTGACTGAGCACCTGCCAAGTGCTGGGGGCTTTTCTAGGCTCGTTGGGGCAACAGAAATGAACCAACCTCTTGCTGCAGCTCTTGACCAAGAAGGACTGAGACAAGTATCTAAGAAATGATCCACCCAAGGCAAAATAGCATAAATGCCACAAGACAGGAAGGAAGCATGTGCTTTGGGAGCACCAAGGAAGGAGCAGTGGTTTCTGCCTGCCAGAGGCGGGAGTGAGGGTGGGAAGCGGGTTAGGAAGATTCCCTGAAGAGGTGAAAAGTGAGCAGGGTCATGCATGATGAGTCCTCCTGCAAAAGTGCTTGGGTAGGAGGATTTCAGGTAAAGGGACCTGCTGGACAAAGCGTGAAGGCAGGCTCAGGAATGCCAGGCTGTGGGTCATGCTGGCTGAGCCCAGAGGGCAAGGACAGCTGTCTGGCAGATGATGAGTTCTCATTCCCAGCTGAGTAGCTTAGTGAGCGCAGATCCTCCCTTTGCCTTGAAACAGAGGAGCTAGGCAGCCCTCACTGCTCTCTGGCTGTTTACCTTGGAAAGCCATCTCTCTTTGGAGTTCAGGTCCTCGTCCATGAATGAGGGAACCAGAACTGTGTAGGCTGCCAAAAGCCACCACATGAGGAAGCTGTGTGTGGGAGGGGTGTGTTGTCTTTGGGGGCTCCGGTGCCAGGTTCTGCTCCAACTCAAGGGACTCTGGTACCTGTCAGATAGCTGGCTGGTTCACCGAGGTCACACCCTGGGGCCTGGGACTCCCACTTCTCCCTAAAGGTGAGGTGATGATGCCAACCAGGCCCCTGTGGACATTTCCCACCAGCTCTTCCTCCTCTTCTTACACGTGGTGACAGAAATGTACCCTGGCAGCTGCAGAGAGAAAGGGCCTTTGACTGGGGGGCCAGGGAGGGGCTCAGCTTTATTTGTTGACTATAAAAATGTCAGCTCCTTTGGGCAGCTTCTTGAATCAATATTTGCTGTTCTGAGGCTGAGTTCAAATGCTCAGTAATCCACTCAGCCTGTCCTCTTCCTCCCTCACCTGGGTGAGGGCTCACACCCACACATATTTGGCAGGGCCCCTCACTGACGGGGATGGGGAGCCTACTCCAGGCCCTGCACCCATCCCTGCGAGGGGCTGTCCTGAGAGCTCTCTAGCCCAAAGCTAGCTTGCTAGGAAGGAAGGATCTGAGAGACAGGATTGCTCTGAGTTTCATTCTGTGCATCTGAAAAATGAACAGAATAGTAACACCTACTTCCCAGAGTAAGTTCAAATAAAAGAAGGGATGTGCACAGTTTTCCTCAGTCATCAGGCTATGCAGCATAGCAACAATAATGACAATGACAACAATGACAGTGAAGGTGAAAGCATTTGCTGAAACTTCCTAGGTGTTGCTGTGCTGCTGAGTAGCCTCTAGCCCAGTCTTGTGGCTGTGCTCTGAGAGCACACATGTTCTAGAATATTTTTCCCTGTGACCTCTGCATCAACCACTAGCTCTCAGCCTCCAGCAGCTGCCCACCTCACACTTCTTTCTGGTAATGGGCCAGGGGAATCTTAGTGAAGAAATATGGGGCTGTGAAGGTAGATGGATCCTTGATCTTCCACTTCGCACTGTGTGCCTTTTGACCAGTTACTTAAGCTTTCTAAGCCTCAGATTCTCATCTACAAGATGGACCAAGGCCTAGCTTACAGAGCTGTTGTGTGGCTTAGAGATAATGCATGTAAAGCACCCAGCAGGGCATCTGGCACTTAGTAGGTATTTCTCAAGTATTTATTCTTCCCTCCTGTGGTTGGCGCATCCTGGTCCAACAGAACTTTCTCTGCTCAAACATGGGTCTGTGCATTGGGTGAGACCAGCCTGGGCCCCAGAAACCATAAGGCTTCTTTGCTGGCACACAGGAAGCTCTCACGGTAGAGAGTGCTTTCAAGTTACTCCATCCTCCATCTTTGGCTTCTGATTTGGCTTGGCTGCCAGAATTGGTGCACAGCTTAATACCTGCAGGGTGCAGGGAGAGCCATCAACCCCCTGGGGCAGGTGGAAGCCTTGCATCTGATGCCAAGAGTGGCCTTGGGATGAGAAGTACACATTGAATCTGACTCACACAGCACCTGCCTGGGCTCATCACTTTCCATCTTGTGGTCACTGCAGATGGACACAGGGCCCCACAACCCCTGTCCACCCATTGCTGTCTGCCATGAGTTTCTGAAAAGACGGCTCTACCTTTGAGAAGGCCTCATGGACAAAAGTCTCATGTGCACTGTGGAGCAACAGTAAAACTTAATCTTGGGCCAAACCAAAAGTGTAGCCATGGAGCCCCTGGGAGCCTCAAGGCTCCCCAGATGACACTCTCAGAGCACCCATTCTGAGACTGGCTGGGCTCCGGGCCCAGCTACAGTTGAGCTGATGCTCAGTGAAGCCTGTACCCCTAGGCCAGGGCTGGGGCTGGTCATGAGCAAGTGGGGAGGAGGCAGCCGCTCCTTCTCCAGCCTGTCTGAGGCACAGCCCAGGCAGTACACACCTGAGCTTTCTTCACTGGTGCCCAGGGAGACTTCATGCAAGAGAGTTCCCCTCCAAGATATATAAAAATTCAGGGAGTAAGGAGTACCTTGGCCCACCAGAGGCACAACAAGCTGTCTCTCCTCCTCTCTCTGCTTGAGATTTGAGCAATTTGTCCTAGATCCCCCTGCCATGGCATGATAGCTATGAGAAGCCCCTGCTCAGGATGAGAATGAGGGAGGGAGAGAGCCAGCTAGTGAGAGCACATGTCTTAAACAGTGTTCCTCCAAGGTTATTCCAGGGGCCAGCAGTGCCAGAATAACCTGAATTGTTTATTAAAAATGCAGATCCCTGGCACCACTGCAGATGACCTAGATCAGAATCTTTAGGGTGAAGCCTAGGGATCTGCACGTTTAAAAAGCACCCCAAATGATTCCTATATACACTAAAGTTTAATGACCCCTGCCAAAATCCCATGTCCAATACATGCTTGCTCTGAAATAATGTATGCCTTTTAATTGAGGTATACTTTACATATAGTGAACCTCAAACTTGTCAGTTTTAATGAATGCATATCAAGACACAGAACATTTCCATTATTCCAGAAAGTTGCCTCATGCCCCCTCCTAGTCAATTCTACCTCCTAAGCAACCACTGATCTGATTTCTATCATCATAGGTTAGTTTTACCTCTTCTCAAACTTTATATAATTGAGTTCATATCATGGGTACTTTTTTGTGGCCAGCTTCTTTCACCCAGCATATTTTTTGGATTCATCTATATCAAAATGTATATTGGCAGTTCATTCCTTTTTGTGGCTAACTAGTATTTCATTGCATGAACATATCACAGTTTGCTTTTCCATTCTTCTGTTGTTAGACATACAAGTTGTTTATAGTTTTTGGCTATTTTGAACAAAGTCCTGATGACAATTTGTGTTCAGGTTTTTGTGGACATATGCTTTCATTTCTCTTGGGTAAATACCTACGAGGGTGATATGGTTTGGCTGTGTCCACCCCCTCAAAATCTTATCTTGAATTCCCACTTGTTATGGGAGGGACCTGGTGGAAGGTAATGGAATCATGGCGGAAGGTCTTTCCCATGTTGTTCTCGTAATAATGAATAAGTCTCACAAGATCTGATGGTTTTAAAAAGGGGAGCTTCTCTGCACAAACTCTCTTCTCTTATCTGCCACCATGTGAGACATGCCTTTTACCTTCTGCCATGATTGTGAGGCCTCCTCACCCACGTGGAACTATAAGTTCAATAAACCTCTTTCTTTTGCAGATTGTCCAGTCTTGGGTATGTCTTTATCAGCAGTGTGAAAATGGACTAATACAGTAAATTGGTACCAGTAGAGTGGGGCATTGCTGAAAAAGATACCCCAAAATGTGGAAGCGACTTTGGAACTGCGTAACAGGTAGAGGTTGGAACAGTTTGGAGGGATCAGAAGAAGACAGGAAAATGTGGGAAAGTTTGGAACTTCCTAGAACTTGTTGAATGGCTTTGCCCAAAATGCTGATAGCAATATGGACAATAAAGTCCAAGCTGAGGTGGTCTCAGATGGAGATGAGGAACTTGTTGTGAATGGCTTTGCCCAAAATGCTGATAGCGATATGAACAATAAAGTACAGGCTGAGGTGGTCTCAGATGGACATGAGGAACTTGGGAACTGGAGCAAAGGTGACTCCTGTTATGTTTTAGTAAAGAGACTGGTGGCATTTTTCCCTTGCCCTAGAGATTTGTGGAACTTTGAACTTGAGAGAAATGATTTAGGCTATCTGGCGGAAGAGGTTTCCAGGCAGAAAAGCATTCAAGAGGCGACCTGGGTGCTGTTTAAGGCATTCAGTTTTATGAGAGAAGCAGAGCACAAAGAGCATAAAGCAGAGTGGAAAATTTGCAGCCTGACAATGTGACAGAAAAGCAAAGCCCATTTTCTGAGGAGAAATTCAAGCTGGCTGTAGAAATTTGCATAAGTAACAGGGAGCCGAATGTTCATCCCCAAGACAATGGGGAAAATGTCTCCAAGGCATGTCAGAGGTTTTCATGTCAGCTCCTCCCATCACAGGCTCAGAGGCCTAGGAGGAAAAAGTGGTTTCATGGGCTGGGCCCAGGGTCCCTGTGCTATGTGCAGCCTAGGGACTTGGTGACCTGTGTCCCAGCTGCTCCAGCCATGGCTAAAAGGGGCCAATGTAGAGGTTAGGCCATGACTTCAGAGAGTGCAAGTCCCAAGCCTTGGTAGCTCTCACACGGTGTTGAGCCTGCGAGTGCACAGAAGTCAAAAATTGGGGATTGGGAACCTCCACCTAGATTTCAGAAGATGTACAGAAATGCCTGGATGTCCAGGCAGAAATTTGTTGCAGGGGCAGGGCTCCCATGGAGAACTTCTGCTAGGACAGTGTGGAAGGAAAATATGGGGTCAGAGCCCCCCTACTGGGGCACCACCTAGTGGAGCTGTGAGAGGAGGGCCACCATCCTCCAGACCTCAGAATGGTAGATCTACTGACAGCTTGCACCATGCACCTAGAAAAGCCACAGACACTCAGTGCCAGCCCATGAAAGCAGCCAGAAGGGAGGCTGTACCCTGCAAAGCCACAGGGGTGGAGCTGTCAAAGACCATGGGAATCCACCTCTTGCATCAGCATGACCTGGATGTGAGACATGGAGTTAAAGGAGATGATTTTGGATCTTTAAGATTTGAATGCCCTGCTAGATTTTGGACTTGCATGGGCCCTGTAACCCCTTTGTTTTGGCCAATTTCTCCCATTTGGAATGGCTGTATTTACCCAATGCCTGTGCCCCCATTGTATCTAGGAAGTAACTAGCTTGCTTTAGATTTTATAGGCTCATAGGCAGAAGGGACTTGCCTTGTCCAAAGACTTTGGACTGTGGACTTTTGAGTTAATGCTGAAATGAGTTAAGACTTTGGGGGACTGTTGGGAAGGCATGATTGGTTTTGAAATGTGAGGACATGAGATTTGGGAGGGGCCAGGGTCAGAATGATATAGTTTGGCTGTGTCCCCATCCAAATCTCATCTTGAATTCCCACATGTTGTGGGAGGGATCCAGTGGGAGGTAACTGAATCATGGGGGCTGGTGTTTCACGTATTGTCTCATGATAGTGAATAAGTCTCATGAGATCTGATAGTTTTAAAAGGGGGAACTTCCCTGCACAAGCTCTCTTCTCTTGTCTGTCTCCATGTGAGATGTGCCTTTCACCTTCTGCCATGATCGTGAGACCTCCCCAGTCACATGGAACTGTAAGTCCAGTAAATCTCTTTCTTTGGTAAATTGCCCAATCTCAGGTATGTCTTTATCAGCAGCATGAAAATGAACTAATACAGAGGGGAAGTACTAGGTCATATGGGAAATGTGATGGGGTGAGGTAGGCAGAATTCTAAATGGTCCTTATGATCTCTGCCTCCTGGCTCTACACCCTCTCCTCTTGAGTGTGGGCAGGATCTATGACCTATTTCTAACCAACAGAGTACGGCACCAGTGATGGATGTCACCTCTATGATTATGTTACTTTGCATAAGACTCCATCTTAGCCAACTGGAATGAGAGACTCTCCCTTGAGCTACAGGGGCCTCTAGAAACTGAGAGCAGCCCCTTGCTCACAGCCATCAAGAAAGTGGGACCTCAGCCACAACTGAATTCTGCCAACGACCATGTCAGCATAGAAGAGGACCCCAAGCTCTGGAAAGGAACAAAAACCGATGGCAATTTTGATTCTATTCTTGTGAGGCCCTGAGTGGAGGTCTCAGCCAACCTGTGCCTGGACTCCTGCCTACAGAAACTGTGAGATAATTAATGTTCACTGTTGTCCATCACTATATTTGTAGTAATTTGTTATGCAGCATAGAATACTGATACATGAGGAAAGGAAAATCACATCAATAAATGGGCCACAGACCTAAATGGAAAAGCTAGAAAGTTACTAGAAAGAAACACTGAAGAATGTCTTCATGACCTTAGAGAAGAAAAAAATTTTCTCCAGAGGATTCAGAAAATATTAGCCATAAAAGAAAAAATTGCTAAATTGCAATTTCAGCAAAATTTTAAAAATTTTTCTAACTAAAAGACACAATTTAGAAAATACTTAAGTTACAGGTTGGGAGAAAATATTTGCAACACATAACATTGACAAATGACTTGTATGTGCATGCATAAAGATTCCTATAACTAAAGAATGAAACAAGTCAATTAAAAAGAACATAAAAGAAGAGGGACCAATGGCCAGTAAGCCCATGATGCCCATGACAAAATGCTCAACCTCATTAGGCATTAGGCAAAATGCAAATTAAAACCACAATGAGATATCAGTACATATCAACAGGAATGACGGAAATGAAAAAGACAATACCAAATGCTAAAATAAAAAGAGATCAACAACAATAAATGTTGGAGAGGATGTGGAACAGCTAGGATAAGATCTTATACATAGCTAGAGGAAGTGTAAAATGTGCAGTCACTTCACAAAACTGAAGTTTCTTCAGAGTTTAAATATCTACCTTAGTTTGATTTTATAGCTTACAACAATAAAACCACATGCCTTCATCAGTAACTAGCATTTGAAATGTGTTTTTTAAAATCAATGTTATAAGTGTACATGATAGAAGAGTCAGTTAGACTTAATTCAGTAAGACTTAAATGATAGAAGAGTCAGACTTAATTCAGTAAGACTTAAAAAAGAGGAACTATCAACTCCCTATTTCCTTTTCTCAAGAGGGAAATCCTTTCAATTCCATTAGTTTTCTTTTCTTTTTTAACTTTAACTTTTTTGGTTTTTCAGTCTAATTGACTTTTTACTAGTGAAGATAAGGATTTATTTCTGTTTAACCACCACTACTACATGACCAATATCTCTTCCCTTACCCTATTCTTCCAGTGTAGCTATATCTCAATTGTTGGATATTTAATATTTCTAATGTTACTACTAAACTCTATTAAGGACTGAGCCTAATAATAATAATACTAGCCACCCTATTATTTTTTCTTTCTTGCCCTACTTTTAGTTTTCTTTGAAGTTTCTTCTTTAATTATTTGCTTAGTTTTAATCTTAGCCTCTAAAAAGTAGAGTCTGAAGCAAAAATTAAAGTGCTGTTACTCTATTTGGGAGATGCAAATCCAGATCACTGAGGTTGAGGAAAAAGGAAGGGAGGCAAATAAAGACGTGAAGCAATGCAAAATGACATGTTACTGCACTTGGCTGCTGCTGCATAAAGAACCACTTAGTGACACAGCGGGTTGTTCAGCAGGTCTGTTCATTTGGCACCCGAGACTTCTCCAGATGGGTTGCAAGAATAAATCATGCTTCAATGTCCACCATAGAAGAAAAGAAGAAAAGTGATTTGTCCTCCAGGCTCCTTCTTGTCTCTGGATTCTTGTTTGGTAAAATTCATCTCATGTGAATGTATTCCCTTGTACTTCTAGATTGCATTAACCCAGTCCCTTCATGGGCTGCCCACTTGAGATCCTAGATCTCACACCCTGTGCTGTAGTGTTTTATCCAACCCTGGAAGAGACGGAAGGAGAAAAACTCTGAAGGAATGGCTAGTTGGCCTAGCTTCAAGAATAGCTACAAGAGATGTAGGGAGCTTGCATCTCATATAGTTTTCTATACACTTATCACTGATACAACCCCAGCTTTCACCTATCCACTGAAAACTCCTCTCAATCACTCAAATAAATGAGGGTATTCCATCATTTTCCACTTCCTGGAGCTCTATCTCTGGATCCATTTGACCATACTCCACTCTGGACTGGTTGACATCTATACTTCGTACACAGCTGTTATCCTGAAATCTCCTTTCACCGTCATTTTGAGTTTTTCTCCTTCTGTCTCTTAAGTTGAAACTGTTTCCTGAATTACATATCTTCTTCTTTTCAACCTATCCATCTGACAAATGGCTAATATCTAGAATCACAAGGAACTTAAACAAATTTACAAGAAAAAAACAAACAACCCCATCAAAAAGTGGGCAAAGGATATGAACAGACACTTCTCAAAAGAAGACATTTATGCGGCCAACAAACATATGAAAAAAAGCTCATCATAATTGGTCATTAGAGAAATGCAAATCAAAACCAAAAGGTCATACCATCTCATACCAGTTAGAATGGTGATTATTAAAAAGTCAGGAAACAACAGATGCTGAAGAGGATGTGGAAAAATAGGAACGCTTTTACACCGTTGGTGGGAGTGTAAATTAGTTCAACCATTGTGGAAGACAGTGTGTGATTCCTCAAGGATCTAGAACCAGAAATACCATTTGACCCAGCAATCCCACTACTGGGTATATACCCAAAGGATTATAAATCATTCTATAAAGACACATGCACACATATGTTTATTGCAGAACTATTCACAATAGCAAAGATTTGGAACCAACCCAAATGCCCATCAGTGATAGACTGGATTAAGAAAATGTGGCACATATACATCATGGAATATTATGCAGCCATAAGAAAGGATGAGTTCATGTCCTTTGCAGGGACATGGATGAAGCTGAAAACCATCATTCTCAGCAAACTAACACAGGAACAGAAAACCAAACACCACATGTTCTCACTCATAAGTGGTAGTTGAACAATAAGAACACATGGACACAGGGAGGGGAACATCACACATCGGGGCCAGTTATGGGGGTGAGAGGCTGGTGGGGGGATAGCATTAGGAGAAATACCTAATGTAGATGATGGGTTGATGGGTGCAGCAAACCACCATGGCACATGTATACCTATGTAACAAACCTGCATGTTCTGGACATGTATCCCAGAACTTAAAGTATAATAATAATAATAAAAAAATAATCCTTAGAGGAAAATTACCAAATTATCATTATTTCCCTATAAAATTAAAGAGGCAAAACACAACTAAGATAAGGTTTCTGCCCACAACACATTTACAGTTTTAAAAGAGATTAATAGGTTGGTAGGTTTAAGTTATACAAACATTAAGCAGTGACCAGGTACAGTGGCTCATACCTGTACTCCCAACACTTTGGGAGGCCAAGGTAGCCAGATTGCCTGAGCCCAGGATATCGAGACCAGCCTGGGCAACATGGTGAAGCCCCGTCTCTACAAAAATACAAAAAATTAGCCAGACATGCTGGCATGCTCCTTTAGTCCCAGCTATTCAGGAGGCTGAGGTGGGAGGATCACTTGAACCAGGGAGGTTGAGACTGCAATACGGCATGATTTTGCCACTGCACTCAGCCTAGCAACAGAGTGAGACCCTGTCTAAAAATAAATAATAAAAATATTAAGCAAAGCAAGGCATAATTTAGTACTAACTTGATTGATGCAGAACCTATAGGAGATGTGAAGCCACTTTCTTGGTTTATACTTTTGTTTTGGTAAAAGACCTCCTAAGAAATGGTGCATAGTATGAATAGGGTGCATATAGTTCAATTCTGGCCTTGGTATTAAGCCTCAGCCTTAAAAAGGCCAAAAAGCCAAATGCATACTTAAACATAATTTCTGGCATCTATAAATTTTTACTAATCAATAATCTTGTGACCTTCAGGGTTACCACCATATCTAATTAGTGCTGAATCATCAGTAATGTGAATAAGCCACACCATTCAAATTATTGCTAATATTAGAATATTCACCTTCAAATATCAGTAGTCACTTTAGATGACTTTTGGAGTGAGAATCTACTTGTGTGCTTTATACATTGTAAATCTATCAGTTACTTGAACATGTACTCCCAAACACAAAATGCATTTGTATTATTCAAAAATTGAACATCTGGTAAAATTTGGCTGTGAATTCATCTGGCCCTGGGCTTTTCTTGGTCAGGAAATTTTTTATTACTAGTCAATTTCATTACTCGCTATTGGTCTGTTCAGGATTTCTATTTCTTCCTAGTTCAGTCTTGGAAGGTAGTACATTTCCAGGAATGTATCCATTTCCCCTAGGGTTTCTAGTTTGTGAGCATAGAGATGTACAAAGTAGTCTCAATTGATCTTTTGTATTTCTGTGGTATCAATTGTAATGTCACCTTTATGATTTCTGATTGTGTTTATTTGAATCTTCTCTCTCTTTTTCTTGGCTAGTCTAGCCAGTGGTCTATCAATTATGTTTATCTTTTCAAAGAACCAACTTTTTGTTTCATTGATCCTTCATATCATGTTTTTTTTTTTTTTTTTTTTTGTCTCAACCTCACTTAATTCTGCTCTAATCTTTGCTATTTCTTTTTCTTCTGCTAGCTGTTGGTTTGGTTTGTTTTTATTTTTCTAGTTCCTTGAGGTGTGACATTAGGTTGTTGATTTTAGGTCTTTCTATCTTTTTAATGTAGCCATTTAACACTATAAGCTTCCAGCACTGCTTTTGCTATATCCCAGAAGTTTTGGTGTGTTGTGTCTCTTTTCATTTGTTTCCATCTTTTTAATTTCTGTATTAATTTCATCATTTACTCAAAGATCATTCAGGAGCAACTTGTTTAGTTTCCATATATTCAAATACTTTAGAGAGCTCCTCTTGATATTGAGTTCTAATTTTATTTCACAGTGGTCTAAAAAGATATTTCATATGATTTTTTAAAAATTTATTGAGACTTGCCTTATGGCCAAGAATATGGTCTATTTTCCAGAATGTTCCACATTCAGATAAGAAAAATGTATATTTTGCAGTTGTTGGGTAGAATGTTCTGTAAATGTCTATTAGGTAGGTCCATTTGGCCTAGAGTCCAGTTTAAGACTTTGCTGATTTTTTGCCTTGATGATCTGTCTAGTCCTGTCAGTGGGGTGATAAAGTTCCCCACCATTATTGCATTGCTGTCTCTTTTCTTAGGTCTAGTAGTATTTGTTTTATGGATCTTGGTGCTTTGGTATTGGGTGCATATATATTTGGGATAGTTATATCTTCTTGTTAAATTGAACCATTTGTCATTATATAATAACTTTTGTCCTTTTTTACAGTTATTGATTTAAAGTCTGTTTTATCTGACATAAATATAGCTACTCCTGCTCATTTTTGTTTTCTGTTTGCATGGTATAGTTTTTCATATGTTTATTGCAGCACTATTCACAATAGCAAAGTCATGGAATCAACCTAAGTGTCCATCTACAGATGACTGGATAAAAAATGTGGTAATTGTATTTATATATATATACACACACACACACATACACACACACACACGATGGAGTGCTACACAGCCACAAAAATGAAATTATGTCTTTTGCAGCAACATAAATGGAGTTGGAGGCCATTACTATAAGTGAAATAACTCAGAAACAGATAATCAAATACTACATGCTCTCACTTATAAAGGGAGCTAACCAGTGGGTACACATGGACATAGAGAAGGAACTAACAGACACTGGGGACTTCAAAAGTGGTAACAGTAGGAGGGGGTAAGGGTTGAAAAATTACCTGTTGGGTACAGTGTTTACTATCGGGGTGATGGACACGCTGGAAACCCAAACTTCACCATTACACAACATATCCATGAAGCGAACCTGCATCGGTACCCCCTCAAACTATTAAAAAAATTGAAATGCTATAAAAAGTAATGAGCAATTTTACATATGAAAACAATTATTAAAAACAGCCAAATAGCTGAATATATAGGAAACAGAGTGTTGATTTGAAGGTTAAAAAAGAGTGGATTCGTGACATAAACATAGGAAGAACTTCATATCCTTTTTGAATAAAATGTTAATTAAAAACTAAATGATACAAGAAAGAATAACAAAGATTAGATTATATCATAATTCACATCATTATAGAATTGTTTGAGGTACTAGCACTCAAAACACTAACAAAATAAACTTTAATAACTATATTTAACTTTTTGTTATTTCCCTTTAGGCCGAAGGTATTTCAAAAAAATTTGTCACAGCTTGTGAGGATATGCTTTGCCCTCTCAACATTTCATGAAAAGAAAAAACTCCAAAACCATGTACAACATCATCCATGATTAATCATCTTCAATGTAGACATAACAAAGATACAAATAATACATTTCACAATTTTAGAAAAAACTGAGGTAAACAAAACACATATTTTTCTTGCTGATAAAATATCAAAGTAACAGACATCACAAGAGTTCTTTAAGTTTTTTTAGTTTTGAGTCTTTGGAGGATAAAAATGTAAATAATATACTTGTTCAAAGAGTTGCAATAGACTATGATAAATTTTCAGTAATTAAAGATGATGGATTTTTAGCTGGGTGAGGTGGCTCATGCCTGTAATCCCAGCACTTTGGGAGGCCGAGGAGGGTGGATCACCTGAGTTCAGGGGTTCAAGATCAGCCTGACCAATATGGTGAAACCCTGTCTCTAATAAAAAATACAAAAATTAGCCGGGCGTCATGGCGGGTGCCTGTAATCCCAGCTACTCAGGAGGCGGAGGCAGGAGGATTGCTTGCACCCAGGAGATGGGGGTTGCAGTGAGCTGAGATCGTGCCACTGCACTCCAGCATGGGCGACAGAGTGAGACTGTCTCAAAAAAAAAAAAAAAAAAAAGATGATGGATTTTTGAGATTTGTTCAAGCTATGAATTCCAGATTAAATTAAATAAAAAGATATTTAAAAACACTCCTGATTATATTCTTTTATGCAATGGAGATATGATTTGTCATGCTTTGGATGTTAATATAGTTATATCTGCTTTCTTTTGATTAGTATTTCCATGGCGTACCTTATTCCTTCTTACTACTTTTTACATTTCTAATCATTATATTTCAACTGAATTTATTGTGAGCAGCATATAGCTCAGTTTTTATTGTCTGAAGTGGGGGCAGTTGAGATTTTAATAACATAAATCAATGTTGGGCCCTGCCTGTCAGTGCCAGGCCCATGGGCCTCCTATCTTTCTATTGCTTGGATGGCTGCCTGCAGCCAGGCTTCCCACATTCCCTAGGAAAGATCCAGCAGCAGCCTGAGAAGGGAGGCAACAGCAGCTAAGGGGATAGAAGATGGAGGAGACAGAAGCATGTGCAGGTGCATGTGTGTATGAACTTACATATGTGAACACACATAAAGTGTTAGGTTTACAGACCCTGGCTCAGAAGCAGTCTAGGATAGGAAAGGAAGTAGGCAAGCTTTGAAGAAGCATTTTTCTCTGGAGTGCCTCAGCCTCACCCTGTCCCAGGGACAGACATGTTGTGTATGAGAAACCCACCCCTGGGTCCCAGGCTTCAGGACTGGAGCCCTTTTGAGTCTGGTGGATTCACAGGTTCAATGTGTGGGTCCACCGAGTCTGTCTCCTCCTGAAAGCCCTGGAAAGGTGGGAGATAGAAAGTAAAAGGAAGCAGGTCTCTGACAGATGGACCTGACACCTCAGCCATCACTGGTCTCCGAGTGAGATGGTGATGATCTCAGCCTTATGTTCCTACTGAAGGGCCTGCAGAGCCCACAGAAGGCCTCCTTTAGTCCGTGGAACACCTCATTCTCTATGTCTTCCCCATTGGTCAGCTCATACAGGCTAAGTACGGAGTTGTTCTGGCCACTCCTGGAGACCCACTGATAGATGAGTTTTCCCCATTCTTCTGGCCTCCGCCACATGATTAGGAAACTAGACTTGCTCTTATCCAGCCACTGTAAGTTCCCATTCTTCCTCAGTTCCTCTAATACAACCTGGATTGATCCCACAGGAAGCTTCCACAGCTTGATGTTGCTGAAGAGCAGGATCTCCTGAGCATCCATAACCATCATGCTTGACTGTCTGTGCAGGCAGCAGATGGACAGAACCAACAAACACCAGGTGGCCAGCTGCTTCTGCCAAGTGGCCACGTTCAGCTGTAATGTAAAGGGCGGGAAAGCGATACTGCCACAACCACTTGAAATTCGTCACCATCATAATAGCCCAGGAAATCCCACTTTTTTTTCCTTTAATTTTTAATTTATGTTTATTTATTTTTTTGAGACAGAGTCTGGCTCTGTCACCAGGCTGGAGTGCAGTGCCGTGATTTCAGCTCACTGCAACCTCTGCCTCCTGGGTTCAAGCGATTCTCCTGCCTCAGCCTCCCAAGTAGCTGGGGCTACAGCCATATGCCACCATGTCCAGCTAATTTTTGTATTTTTTAGTAGAGACAGGGTTTCATCATGTTGGCCAGGCTGGTCTTGAACTCCTGACCTCAAGTGATTCACCTGACTTGGTCTCCCAAAGTGCTGGGATTACAGGCATGAGCCACCACGCCCAGCCTCACAGAACTTTTGAATCTGTTAACTGAATTTTTTTTTCACAGTTTTAGAAAATTCTTGGTTAGTAGCTCTTAAAATATTGCTTCTGCCCCATTCTCTTTTTGTTTTTCTGAGACTATTACATATTGTTATATATTAGACCTCATCACTGTATCACATATGTCTCATGGTCTTTTCTGTACTTTCCATCTCTTTTTTTCCCTTCTCCCTGAACTTTAGGATGGATATTTTCAGTTAGTCTGTCTTCCTGGTGATGAATTCTCTCTTCTGCTGTATAACTCTCTGGTAGGGAGGTAGAGACGGAGCAGATCATATTAACCCCTATTAATCACATTGGGATTACACTGGTTCAGGACTAGGTTTTAGTCTTTTGTGAACACCTTTTATTTCTGGTTTACCTTACCTCTTAGAGTATAGCTTCTGGGTGTCTTTTTTTTTTTTTTTTTTTGAGACGGAGTCTCGCTCTGTCGCCCAGGCTGGAGTGCAGTGGCGGGATCTCGGCTCACTGCAAGCTCCGCCTCCCGGGTTCACGCCATTCTCCTGCCTCAGCCTCCCAAGTAGCTGGGACTACAGGCGCCCGCCACTACGCCCGGCTAATTTTTTGTATTTTTAGTAGAGACGGGGTTTCACCGTTTTAGGCTTCTGGGTGTCTTAATGGGAGGTCTAGATTGTTTACTGGGGCCTTTTCTTGGTGAACCCTGAACTCTAATTTTTGTTTCCTTAGGCTTGTTAGACTGCTGAAAGCTCTGCTCAGCTTTCTAGCCTTATTTAAGTGTCTGCTGCTGCCCAGCTTCCTAGCTTCTCAGCCCTGTGCTGCTTTTAAATTGCCAAATGCCTCAAGGAAAAAGCCCTGCAGAATTCTGGGTTTATCTCAAAATGTATTTATTTGCTCTGATATTCTCGCCACTCAAGTCTGGCCACCTAACTCTAACTGACTCTGTATCTATTAATAGCTATGTAATGTCTTCAAAGAGATTTATTTTTGTCTTTTGTCTTGCTCTTATAACTTTTTTTTTTTTTTGGTGCAGGGGTTGGTCTGCAAAAAGCATTCCCAGAAGTATAAACTTTAATAATGTTATTTAATGTGCTACTTCTGTATCCTGAACATTAGTCATTTGGATGTGCAGAAAGAGACTTTGTTCTTAAAGATTGTCACTCCCGAGAGAGGTGGCTCAGGCCTGTCATCCCAGCACTTTGGGAGGCCAAGGAGGGTGGATCCCTTGAGGTCAGGAGTTTGAGACCAGCCTGGTCAACATGGTGAAACCTTGTCTCTACTAAAAATACAAAAATTTGCTGGGTGTGATGGCATGTGCCTGTAGTCCCAGCTACAGGCTACTCGGGAGGCTGAGGCAGGAGAATCGTTTGAACATGGGGGGCAGGGGTTGCAGTGAGTTGAGATTGTGTCATTGCACTCCAGCCTGGGTGACAAAGCGAGAATACAATGGATTAATGATGAATGCTTGCAAAGAAATGAGGTGGGAGATCAGGGTAAGGCAGTTTGACCAAGAGAATGGTGAAACTGATAGACATACTCATAAAGTAGAAAACAGATCTATAGACTGACCATGGGAAAAACGTGGTGAAGGTAACGAGTGATTTAGGAATCACAAGCAAAACATTCTGTACACATCCTTAAGTTGCATATTTAAAATATAATTATAACAGTATATTTTAACTGAATTACAGGCCAAAGCATGAAGATAGTGAGCCATTCTCATCATTCTGCTTTAAAGAGAAACTGCATGGCTTTGAAATTGTTTTGTTATTTACTTACATGAGATGTGAAAACAAGATGGAACAGCAGCCGTCACATATTAAAAAACAGCTTGATTTTTAAAAATACCTTAATATTGTATGCTTCAGGTAATAATAATGATAACTTGTTAGCAAGATTTGCTAATGCCCAAAGGTTGACTGGAGAGAAATCAATTCATATGCTGGACTCTGCTGGAGAAGTAATCAAAATCATGGATCTTGAGAGGATAACTTTTTCTTGAATTATCCTTATTGAAAGACCCACCTTTCATTCTACTTAAGAAAAGATGCTGACACTGATATGCATGCAATGAAATCTTGAATACAGATGGAAATTTATAGATTTTGCTATTCTGAAATCTAGTTACATTACTTTATTTACATCCTTGTTTATCCAAGGATTAAAGAAATACACAATCTATGTGAGGGCAAAAATCGGAAATTTCCTTCTGAAACATTCAGATAGCACAAAACTTCAATATGCTTCAAACAGCATCTTTACCAGCAATCAAATCTGCAAGTAGGAGTTGAAAGGGAAATAAACATTACCTTAGTTACTGCGGAGAAAAGAAAAGATTAATTATTTGGGAGCAACATCACCACTAGTGTGCCTTGTACTGGCAAGAAGATACTAAAAAACAGCTTGTGTCCTCACCAACCTCAGTCCAAAGTTTCTATTTATACGACAAATGTAATGACACAGGAGTAATCCAGCAGATTGAAGTGATGACAAATTATTATTAGTGACTTCTAATGACAAATTTTAAAAACTGACCTCTTTTAATAATAAAATTATATTAATAAGTAAGCCTTAAAAATAAATTTTCTAGTTTACTCATGTGTCTTGGGGTTTCATTCCATTTCATTCATTCATTCAATGGTGACTCATTGCTTCAGCTAAATACTGATCTTAGTGTAGCCATCTCTCATTAGGTGGTAAATTTTTTAAGACCTTGCTTGTCTGAAAATGTCATTTATTTATTTATTTATTTATTGATAGATAGGATCTTGCTCTGGCTCCCAGGCTGAAGTACGGTGGCCTGATCACAGCTCACTGCAGCCACGACCTCCCCAGCTCAGGTGATCCTCTCGCCTCAGCCTCTCGAGTTGCTGGGACTACAGGCGTGCACCACCACTCCCGTCTAATTTTTGTATTGTTAGTAGAGAGGGGGTTTCACCATATTGGTCAGGCTGGTCTCGAATTCCTGACCTCAGGGGATCCACCCTCCTCGGCCTCCCAAAGTACTAGGATTACAGGCGTGAGCCACCGTGCTGGCCTTGAAAATGTCTTTATGCTCCTTACACGCTTGATAATTTGGCTGAATACAAATTCTAGGTTGAATATCATTTTCCCATGGAATATTGAAAGCAATGGTCCACATGTTCTTGCTTCCAGGGTTACTTTTGAGAAATCCAAATCCATTCGATTCCTGATCATTTTTATATGACCTTTTTATCCCCCTACTCTCTCTAGAAGCATTCCAAATTTCTTTGTTCATAGTGTTCAGAAATGCCACAGTTTCAGATATGTAGTCTATTTTTTTTTTCTGTGATAGCTACTGGAGAGTCCTTTCAATTTGTAAAATCATGTTTTTCTTAGTTCTGGGAATTTTTTTTAAATTTATTTTCTGCCTCTATTTTCTCTTTTAGCAACTACGATTATTTGGATATTGTTCATTTTCTCAGGAACTGCCTCCTCCAGCTTAAACTTGAGAAACCTACTGTTAAAATCTAAATGCAGGGTTTTATATTTATCCCAAAATTTTCTTATTTGTTGGGGGAAAAAACACTCTTTACATAAAGAAGGAGGAAGACTAGTGGGTGGCAGAGGATGAAAATATAGGCTGGAGTTGGCCAGTTTCTATTCTCCTGACTCCCTCCTATTACCAAAACGAGTTCAAACCTGACAGCACAGAGAGCCTGAGCCCACACCAGACAACCTGGTTTGCACTCTCAGCTCTGCCACTGACACTGGGTGAGCTTGGGCAAACCATATCAACTCTCTGGATCTCTGTCTCCTCTCAGTAAAAAGAAATGTGAAAAATAATATCCGCACAGCCTAATAAAATAATAGCATCTCCTCACATGGCAAGTTGTGAAGAACTTGTGAGAGCAAACATCTGAACCAAGCAAGCTTTATTTAAGTGGAAGAGATTATTTTTATTGGAATAACATGAGGGTTGGTAGTTTTCAGATACCGTGTGAGTTTCTCTCTACTTTCTGAAGGAGCAGAGCCCCAAACAACAACTCCAGAAGCAGGTTTTCAACATGACAGCTTGACAGCCACCTGCCTCAACGGCAGGATTAGGAGGCTCAGAGGCCCCGTGAACTGATGACATCACTTGGAAGTGAACAAAGGTCAGACTTACACAATTCCCAAACCCTTGATGTTGGGTTCACAATGCAGGCCAGGTTTTGATTTCCCTGTTTGAGACCAGAGGCCAGTGGCTGTCATTTTAACTTTATCTCAGCATAACTGAAACGGCCTTTTCATCTCCGCAGCCCACCCAGCCTATCCCCACTGCCACTGCCACAGCCTTAGAGCAGGCCCAAGCTAGCTCAAAGCTCCCAAGCCCAGGCCTCCATCTTGTCCTCCTACAGTGCACATCCCATGTTACAGGTGGTTGCAGTCAGTATCACCTTCCTACAGCACAAGTCTGATCATGTCTCTTTTATGTTGAACCCCTCAATTTGTGTGGGATGGGACACTTAACTTTTCCATATTCTTATCACTTAGTTATGCCTCACATAAACAGCACATCACTGTTTCACCTTAGCCTGATCATTCCTGTCTTTCCTCATTCTTGCCTTTTATAAAAATTACCAAGCTATTTCTTTCACTTCATTGTGTTCTCTCTCTACAGATTGGGAATGTTTACATGCTGTTTTTATTCTTTTAGTGGTTACTGCAAAGTTGACTGTACGTGTTTATCATAAAGTCTTGCAGTCAATCCATATCTTCATTCCTCTCCTAAGATTTAGCTCCAGTGCTCCTGCCCTGAACTCAGAGTATTGTTTAGAATAATTTAATTCTGACTTTTTAACATCTTTGCTCTTAACTTCTCCTTCATTTTTCTTTATTCTTATATTTATTTCCTGCACTCTGGAAACATTCTCTTTCAATGTGTCTAATCTTTTGTTTAATCTATTGACTGTGTTTTTCATTTTGGTGGTTATATTTTTCATTCCTAGAATTTCCATTTGTTTGTTATTCAAATCTGTCATTTTTGTTGGTTTTCTGCAGTAAACTCATCTTTGCAATTGCATCCTTTTTGAAATAAAGACAGGAGGCAGGGTCAAAGATGAATTCATCACGAAAATTTAAAAATACTTAGAAGTAAGTGATAGTGAAATCACTACATATCAAAGCTTATTGAAAGCAGCATATGTAATATTTGACCTTTTTTCCAAATATTTGAAACAAATTCAACATTAGAAGCAAATACTTGAAAGAAACCTTTCAAACAAATTTGTACAAGCCTTAAATACTTGTATTAGGAAAGAAGAAATTAATCAGGTAAGTCTCCACCTTAAGAAAATGAACAGAAACCTTAAAGACAATAGAAGGAGGTAAATAATAAACAGTAGAAATTAATGAAGTAGAAAGCAAAGAAAAATAGAATTAACAAAGCTGAAATCTGATTCTTTTGAAAGAATAATCTATACTCATTATCTTCACCTCGACAATTTGGCTTTTACCTCTCTGTCATTCTATGAATGTTACTATGGCAAAAAAAAAAAGGTTCTAATAACTTCCTGGGTATTGAATATTAAAGAACTATTGTTAGTCCTTATCTAATTTGCCTTCTGGGTGGAATGGGTATTCTTGACTACTTCCTGAACTTCAGACTCAAATATCCTACTGCCTGTTCAAAATCCCCACTCAGATAGCTAGTGAGCATTTTACACTTATGACCAACATTGAGTCCATGAAGTCCTCCTTCCCCAAATTTACTCCTCTATTTTCCCTATATCAGAAATGTCAACTGTGTTTTTCATTTCTCAAATGGGAAATATTTCTCAAGTTCTCTTTGTTTCCCTTCTTGATCTCTTAAAGTTTATTCTAAACCCCAAAGCCATAATAATCTTCAAAAATACAAATTAGATCATATGACTCCCTTCAAAGCTTCTAGTAGCTTCCTACCACCCTTAGAAAAAAAAAAATCCATACTCCTTACCTTGGCCTTCATGATCTGGCCCCTGCTTGTCTTTCCAGCCTAGCTCTCCCCATCCTTCTGCTCATCGTGGTCCTCCTGCCATCCTGGGCCATCACATGTGTTTTTGCCTCAGGGTCTTTGTGCTTGCCACTCCTTCCCTCTGCCAAGAATACTGTCAGCCCAGAACTCCCATGGCTCCCTCTGTCCCTCCATTCAGGTGTCTGCACAAGTATCTCCATTTTAGACAGCCTTCCTTAACACTATGTTTAATACAGGATACACATGCCTTCCCCATCCACACTCACTGTTTGCACCCCTCACACTATTTTACTTTTATTTGCAATACCCATTACAATTGACATTCTATTTGTTTATTCATTTGTAGGTTATCGTCATCCATCCCTGCCCTACTAAAAGTACACAAATTGTCTTACCAGTGTGTCTCCCATGTCTAGAACTGTGCCTGGGACATCATGGGCTTAATGACTATTTGGCAAATGTGTGAATTACATGATTACATGAATTAATAAACAGGCTAGATTTGGAAGAGAAAAAGAAAGATAGGACCCATAGATAGAAGGGGTTGCAGGCAGTGTTTTAACTCTCTGATGCCACCTTCTTCATGAAGCTTTCCTAATTTCCAACTCTCTCTGCCCACAGCACATTAGGCCTGTTCTATAGCACAGAGTCCACCTTCCAGCTTGGGTACGTTTAGACTGCTGTGATATTCTTGAGAACAGGTGCCATCTTTCAGTCACCTCTGCACCTCTGGTGCCTATCCTCGTCCTTGCCATAGAACAGATGCTCAATCAATGCTTGTCAAATTGAATTAAACCCATAATGGCTACACTCACTCCAGCCAAAAATGTCTTTAGCTTAACTGTTAAATGAGTCACTTTCACCAACAAAAACCAGATTTTAAAATTATTGACAAAAAGACTAAATGGAATGAAGCTCTTTCTAGATAATTTTCCTGCTTCAAAGCAGCCTGAGAGCAAAGTAGAAATGACAATATATTGATAGCTTCTGGATGGTAGGGACTAAATACAATGAATCATTGTAAATCCTACAGTAACTCAGCACTAATGATTACCAATGTGATTTGTAAACAAACAAATGTTGCATGACTTTTTTAAAAGCCCCTCCCCCCTTTGCAGTTTTTGAATTTGCAAAGTACCCCCAGAAACGATCTCTAGGTCCCCCTCAAGCTAGATGATTAAAAATGTCTAGTTTCATTTAGGAGGAGTTTTGTAGTTCTTAAGTCCAAGAAAGTGAAAGCTCTGGGAAGCATCACTGTGTGGCTAAGGTGTGCTGAGTGGCTGTGGCTGTGCTTTCTGCAGCCTTTGCTCTTCCAGTGTTGCTGGGAGATCAGGAACCGTATCAACCAAGGTCTCTTCCGGCATCCACTGGCTCCTGGAGAGGCCAAGGAGTATTCTGCTCCCTGCTGTCACTTTTCAAGATACTTTGCTGGCCCGTGAACAATAAGCCATGGGCTCTGGGTGAATGAGGCTGCTGCACCTCTTCAGGCCGTCTCCCTTGGGCCTCCCCACAACACCAGAAATGCACTTTGAGCTGCATATGCACAGGTGATCTTCAATACCCTCTTCCTGAGCTAGGCTGACAGTGAATGTGGGTGAAGAAAGAAGGAAAGGAATAAAGTATGTGAGAAGCACCATGTGCCTTTGAAATCACAGATGTTTGTCAAGTGGAAAAATACCAAACCCTCAGCATGTTTCACTTTGTGTTTCTTGGAAACATTTCATCAAAGGGGCAAAATAAAATGTGCCATCTCTACTGGAGCCAGGTGAGAGCTGCTTCCTTCTTTTCTCCACAAACAGAGTTGCCATTTCCCAGTATTGGTCTGAAGAGTGCTGAGGCCCTGAATGCCCAGAGGGAACTGCGGATTGCGTCACACGGGTGCCCTTTCAGGAGAACATCCCTGCCTGACATGTCTTTGGGAGGCTTCCAGCAGTCTCCAGTTTTCTTCTCAGTCCTGACGTCTTCAGGGACTGTGCTGTGGACAGTGCCGAAAAAAGCTGGTCCTGCACAGCTCCTGGAAGCTGCAGCCCACCCTTGCCCCTACCCCAGGCAGAGGGTAACCTCAAGGCCATGACTTCCTCCTCCTCTGGTGCTGCTTACTGTGAGCCAGGAGGGTGGCCTGGCCAGGCTTCTGAGGTCCCAGTCAGCTGCAGACCCTTGTGGGGCAGCCCAGAGCTCCAGCGAAACTCACCCAGCCTGGGCAACAACCTTATACCAAGCTGTGGAAGAAGAGGCCCCCCAAGCTCTGCAGGGGAGTGAAGGATCCCTGTAACATTTCCAGTGGGCACTGGCTCTCAGGAATGGTTGGCTTCGTATTCTAAGCTGAAGTGGTGAGGGCTGGGCCCACAGGCGGACTCAACCAGCCATTGTTAGAGGTGGTATCGCCTAGTGGTTAGGAGTGCAAGCTTTTGTTTCGAATAACCGTGGGGAAGCCCCTTAGCCTCTCTGAGGCTCAGTTTCCTCACCTGAAAATGCGAGTGATGCTACTACCTCCCTCAGTTTGTTATGAGAAATACATGAGATGATGTTTGCAGTGTGATTAGCAGAGTGCCTGGCATTTTAGAAGGGCTTGACCTATAAGGGTGTTATTGCTAAGCTGAATGAGAAGAGCCTGAGGTGTAGAGAGATATATAGTCTTCACAGGACATGCGGCAACTACCCTCCACTTACAAAAGTCGTGGTAGACTGGAAGGTGTTGAGTAAGGCTGGAGCCAAGTGGTGATTGTGAGTGAAGTCCTAGACTCCTCTGCCCCAGACTCCAGTCCAACAGGACAAACTGTTCCGGAAGGAAGGATGGTCTGAGCCTCAGCTGGTCGGGCCTAGTGATGCCATGTGGGACAACCTATTCAATCTTCATAACCACTCTGTAATAGGTGTATAATTATCCCATTTTTCAGATGAAAAAATTGAGGCTCAGAAAGAGATGTTATAGTTGTGGCCCAAGATCATACAGTGAATATGCAACAGACACTGTTCACCTAAACACAAACTTCAAAGCTTACATGAGGCTGTAAAGCAAGGGGACACTAAGAACAGGTCTGGGGTGGTCCAGCAATGGGGCTGTCTGGAAGTGGCCCCTGTCCAGGGGTTTCTGTGGCCTGGCCTCTAAAACCCCTGCTGTCTGCCTATTCTTCAAGCCTAGGCCTCTGACTTTCTGCAGACTATCTGAACCTCCATATATCCTTCCATAAACACCTTTTATGTAAGTAGCCAGAGTTGGTTTTTGCTCCTTGCCCTGAAGAACACTGACAGTCCAAAGCCTCAGCAGGCTGTCTCCTCAGTGATGCCGCCTGCCTTGACTGGGAATAGGAGGTGGGTGATGCTTTGGCCCTACAGGGCTCAGCTGGCTGCTCTTTCTCACCTGAAGTGCCTTTTGCTAAGCCCAGGAGTGCAGGGCTTTCTGCTGGTCTCCATTATGTTAGCTTGGCTGCATAGTCAAGTGGGGTGGGACTCCAGCAGAGAGGGCTAGGGGCCACCCAGACAGTAACCCCTATGATATATAACCCCTCTCACTGGTCACACAGTGACACATGTACCCATAGATCCTTGCACTCTTACAAACAATGCCAGCTTCACATCTTCCCCCTTCTCCATTTGCATGTACACCCCACATGTGTACATTCTTTGTCCCTCTGGCTCCCGTGGCCCAGTCTATTTCTCTTCCCCATCAGCCAATTGAGCCACCTACCCATTTTGGTGCTGGAACAGTGTGAGCTGGGAAGCAGGAAGTGGTGGGTGATGAGGCTAGAACAATGTGGAGGGGCTAAGCTGATACCTCCCTGTGAGGACAGGGGACCTCTGAAGTGCAGTATCGCATATACGATCTTGGGGTGCTAGGTGGGGACTGCTGCTCTCTGTAGCTCCCTGCTCCCAGAAGTTAGCAGAACTGTGCTGTGGTTGGAGTTCTGCATGAAGAATCCCTGAACGACCCTACTGCTGCTCCCATTCTGCGTCTATCTTCTTCATTTTTAGAGACAAGGTCTCAGTCTGTTGCCTAGGCTGGAGTGCAGAGGCATGATCATAGCTCACTGCAGCTGAAGTTATAGCTCAAGCAATTCTCCTGCCTCGGCCTTCGGAGTAGCTAGGACTATAGGTGTGAGCCACCACGCTTGGCTAATTTATTATTTTTTGTAGAATCAGGGTCTCACTATGCTGTCCAGGCTGGTCTCAAACTCCTGGCCTCAAGCAGTCCTCCCACCACAGCCTCCTGAAGTGCTGAGTTACAGGCGTGAGCTACCATACACAGCCTTCTTTTCCTTCCTCATCGGGGGTCCTCTCCTTTTACCATACTGCTTTCTGCTTCCTAAGGCGGATAAGATAAAACAAACAACCCAATCTCCAGGGACAACTGCCTGGCTTCTCCTTCCTCAAACCCAGCAGATTATAAGGCAGAGGCTCTGCCTTGTTCCTCTTCCTAGAGCATCCCATAGACATATGAATTGAAGGTGAGCCTAAAAGGACTGGGAGTGCAGGTGGGTGGCTGATTTCGATGCTCCCCTCCAGGCACAGTTGAGGAACTCAGTGTCCTGGATGTTTCTTCCTTATTAACAAACGCCTTCAGGTCAAGGTAGCCTGGAATGCTGGGCAGTTTACTTCTTTGGGTTCATTCCTCCTAGATTTTGGTCTGGTCATCCTTCACTAGGCTTTTGGTTCTTCAATGCTTTTAAAAGATTTTTCTTTTTAAGATTTTTTTTCTTTTTCTTTCTTTTTCTTTTTTTTTTTTCTTTTTGAGATACAGTTTTGCTCTTGTTGCCCAGGCTAGAGTGCAGTCGTGCAATCTTGGCTCACTGCAACCTCTGCCTCCTGGGTTCAAGCAATTCTCCTGCCTCAGCCTCCCAAATAGCTGGGATTACAGGCGCGTGCCACCATGCCGTGCTAATTTTGTATTTTTAGTAGAAATGGGGTTTTGTCATGTTGGTCAGGCTGGTCTTGAACTCCTGACCTCAGGTGATACGCTTGCCTCGGCCTCCCAAAGTGCTGGGATTACAGGTGTGAGCTACTGCACTAAGCCTCGTTTTAAGATTTATTTGGCTTTTCAAGTTGTCCTCAGTCGGGGGGGTTGGTAGAGAGTCCACAGGTAACATTATTAGTCCAGTTTGACAGAAAATAAAACAGGCAGTTTCCCTATCCTTCAGACTGCCACTTTCCTATAAAACTATTTCTTATCCTTTTTCTCAAGTTCTTTTGCCTTAAATGCCAACATCTTCTCCCCTATTCCCACTCTTAATAATCTTACTTCCTATTTCGTTGAGAAAATAGAAGCAATCAGAAGAGGACTCCCCTGTGCTGCTCCTCGTACTACCTGCTTCTCTTCCCGGTGCTCAGCTTCCCTCCGGTTACAATGAGGGAACTGTCCAAACACTCCGGCGAGGCCACGCCTACCGCCTACCTAAGGACATGGTTCCTGCAATTATCCTCTCTCCTGCAATACCAAACTTTTCCTCTCTGAGGGAGTATTCCCATCAGAAGAGAAACAGATTGTAATATTGCCCTCCAAAAGAAAATCTCTTCTTGATCCTCTATCTCTAATGCCTGGCTACCACCTGTTTTTATGCTCCTCATCGCAAGTGAAACTCCTATAAAGGGTTGTTTACACTCATTGTCTCTACCTCTTCTTCCATTTCCTCTTGAACTTCCTCTGAGCTGGCTTCTGCCCCCTTATTCTACAGAACAGTTTTTGTCAAGATCACCAATCATCACCATGTTGCCAAACCCAATCCAATTCTCAGGACTCATTTTACTTAATCCATCAGTGGCTCACTCCCTTCTCCTTGGTTTCTGGGGTTTCCCCCCGAGTCCCTTGGCTCTCTCTGGTCTTCTCTGCTCCCTTCTTATCCCACAGACCTCTAAACACTGGATGGCCTCAGGGCTCAGCCCTTGGGTGATTTCTTTTCTCAACCTCTAAGTGGCTTACCCTAAGGGATCTCAAGTCTACAGGCTATATATACCTTGACAAATGTCCAAATTTGTATCTCCAGCCCAGACCTCTCCTGAATTCCAGGTTCACATAGTTAACTACTTACTCTCAGTAAACAGGCAGATGTTTAATAAGAAATGAAAATTTAACATGTTCAAGAACAAATTCATCATTGCACCCCTCCTAGATCTTAATCTTCTCCATTCAAAAATGGTCACTGCATTCTTCCAATAGCTCAGATCAAACACACTGGAGTCAAACCTTTTCTTTTTCATGCCCATAATCAATTGCGTCAACTTTACCTTCAAAATATAGACCATAGTTGTTCTCCCTCATCACTGGTCTGAGTCACCAGCATTCCTCACCTGAATTATTTCAGTAGCCTCCAAACTGGTGTCCCTTCTCCCATCATGGCTCCCCTACCATCTGTTTTCCACACAGAAGCCAGAGTGACCCTTTGAAAACAGAGCAGATCATGTCACAACTGTGCTCAGTCTCCTGGGGCTTCTATTTTACTTGGTGTAAAAGTCAAAAATTTTTTTTTCTGAGACAGGGTCTCACTCTGTCGCCCAGGCTGGAGTGCAGTGGCACGATCAAGGCTCACTACAGCCTTGACCTCCCAGGCTTCTCCCACCTCAGCCTCCCCAGTAGCTGAGACTCCAGGTGTGCATTACACCTGGCTAATTTTTTTGTAGTTTTAGTAGTGACAGGGTTTTGTCGTGTTGCCCAGGCTGTTCTCGAACTGCTGGGCTCAAGTGATCCTCCCACTCAGCCTCCAAAGTGCTGGGATTACAGGCGTGAGCCACTGCGCCTGGCCAAAAGTCAAACTCTTGACAAGGGACTACACAGGGTCTTCCAAGATGGGACCCTGTTACTTTGCTGGTCTCCTCTTCTACCTTCCCCTAGCTCATTCTGCTCCAGCCTCTTGCTCTTCTTTGAATGGGTCGTGCATTGTGGTAACCCTTTGGCAGCCCTGCCCAGAAGGACTGGGTGCTGTAAACTGCAGTGCCCTCCTTGCCTTCGTGCGTCAATGACTCCTTTTCCTAGAATGTCTTTCCCTCATTTGTTGCAGCTAGACTCCTATCACAACCTACAAATTTCTCATTGCTCAAATTTCAAATGGGTAATTCCTCTCTGAAAGCTCAAGTTACAAATTTCTCACCACTCTCTCTTCATCACCACGTAGCTCTTCCCTACTTCAAAAGGTTCAATTCCAGCCCCCAAACCTCACCCTTAAATTAGGTAAACTCACTTCCCCTGTTCCCTGACTCATCTTCCTTCTACACTCTAGTGGCATTTGGTACACACCTTTACTAGCAAAACATAACCTTCGGCTTGCCCATCATCCTCTTCCGGCTTGGAGGCTCCAGAGGTTCGATGTCATGGTTGGCTCTGGATCTCCAGTGCCTCACACAGTTTTTGGTACATATATATTCAATAAATGTTTAAAGAAAAATAATTTCAAAAGGACTTAGGCAGAGTTATGTCCTAACAACTATGGACAACTACAATTTATGTCAGGAAATAAACTATTCCACAACACACCTATTGTTCTACATGAGCTAAAATTATTCATAGGGTTCAAATCGGAATTTTTCTAGGATTCTCTTCTGTCACGAGATTACATTTTTCATCTTCTAATAACTCTTAACTATTAGCTCAATGTCTTTAAAAGAAGGCAGTCACGTTTTAAAGGAAAGGGGAAAGTCTTTTTAGTCTTCTGTTTGTAGAACGTTTCATCACTGACTTGGTTCCAGTGGAGGCCCCAGCAGGCTGCTGGTATAGTAGGCTTGCCTGAACAACCAAGAACCTTGGCATCCTACCGTCAGTCAGAGGCAGGGTGTATTGACAAACTTAAGCAAGGTGTTTCACTGTATCTCCAGCCTCCCAGGCTTCAATCAGCTAACAATGGGAGGGAGGGAGAGGCGAGGGAGAGAGGGGAGAGCGGACAGGGGAGAGGGGAGACGGAGGAGAGGGAGGAGAGGGAGGAGAGGGAGGGGAGAAACATACTACTGCCCTCTAGTGGCAAAAATTTCTAGACTCTTACTGCTGAACTGCTTCAAAATGCTGAGCCCACACCAAATTCATTTTGAGTCATTCGAAGTTTTGATGAGTGATAAGTATTTTTGAAAGCTATTCCCAGGGGAGTCCCTTAACCTCTTTTTAAGTAACATTCACTTTTGCATCTTATGGGCTCTTTGGTACTGGGGGAGGACTGAACGCTGAATTTAAAAGGGAGAATCACTCTTGGGGATCTTGGTAGGTGCCCCTGTTGGACCCCCACTCAAGGCCTTTAAGAGCTACAGGAGAGGGCTGTCTTATAGCTCTCAGTAAAATGGATGTCCTTGTTCAAGTTCAAGGCCAATCTTCCTACCTGTGCTTTGGATCTCATAGTCCTGGCCCCTTCGTCAAGTATCTTTGCCTTATCAAATAGCTCCCTTTCCCCTTGTTTTCAAATTCAATTAACTCTTAAAATTCAGTTCCAGTGTCAGTTACTTTCCTCATTATCCTCCTCCCTCCCGAATCTATGTTAAGCTTGATTAGGATCGTACTCTACCCATATAATACTGAAAGCCACAATATTAAGCAAGCCAGTCCTGTTTGAGGGTACAGATTTTATTTTGATTTCTATATATATTTTGAAGCCTATGAAAGCTTCTGGCAAACAGTAGGTGAAAGCTCAAAAAATGTGTGGAATAACTATATTAATGATCTCATGAATTACATTCCAATGTTCTAGTCCAGTTCCGTTTTACAGAAAATAAACTGAGGTCCAGAGAAGTTGAATAACTTGCCTAAGGCCTTACAACCAGTCAGGGGAAGACCAAGGACTACAATTTTGGATTCCTTACTAATTAAGGATCCCTGACACTAGGCCCTCCCGACACTCTGTGAATCATTGTTTGCTGTGTATTTTCTACATTTGCAGAAAAAGAAAGCAATACGTGCCATCTTTTTTATAAGGCGTAGACTTTTCTTAGTGTGTATGGTTTTGATAAAGCTTTTATTGATAGAAAACTCAGAATCAAGAGTAATGGACTACAATCACCCTTAAATGAGGCAGCCTGGCCTGGTGGAAAGAGTATCGGCCTCTGAGAACTAGGGTGTTTATTCAGTAAATTTGTTGTCAAGAGGAATAAAAAGATGACTAGGATACTGTCTACATCCTTAAGCACCTGATAACCTAATAGAAGAGGTAAAGACATGTCCACAAATGATTATTATAAGGCAGAATGTGAAGAGTTGTAGAAGTTATGAACTAACTATGGATGTACAAACATGGAAGAATCACTCAAAGTTTGGGAAATCAGGAAAGGTTCTGTGAAAGCTTTTAGTCTTGTGAGAATAGGAAAGATGTGCAGGGCTTTGCTGGAATTGGATAAAGGCCTTTCAGATGGGAAGAGTAAAGCTTTAAGAAGGCTGAAAATAGGCCGGTCACAGTGCCTCACTGCTGTAATCCCAGCACTTTGGGAGGCCGAGGTGGGCGGTAATCCCAGCACTTTGGGAGGCCGAGGTGGGCGGATCACCTAAGGTCGGGAGTTCGAGACCAGCCTGACCAACATGGAGAAACCCTGTCTCTACTAAAAGTGCAAAATTAGCCAGCTGTGGTGGTGCATGCCTGTAATCCCAGCTACTCAGGAGGCTGAGGCAGAATTGCTCGAACCTGGGAGGTGGAGGTTGCGGTGAGCCAAGATCGCGCCATTGCACTCCAGCCTGGGCAACAAGAACAAAACTCTGTCTCAAAAATAAAAATAAAGGCTGAAATTTGTAGAGGAACTTATAAAGAATATGAATAAAGGTATCTATATACACATCTATCTATTCATTTCTGGAATGGCAAATGGCAGAGTGAGAAGCTCAGCAAATCATTTCCCTCAAAAGGAATAAAATGGACAATTAAAAAACTCGAACCATTCAGGATTCTGGAAATTGACCAAAGGCATACAACAAAATGAGAAGTATTTATCCAAGAAAAACTCCTGAACCAGGAAAGAACAGTGTGTCTGTGATGTTTTAGCCCAGAGCTGCTCTCATCCCCTTCCAGCTCCATCAGCATGGCAGCTCTATCAGGGCAGGACAGGCTGTGAGGGTTACCTGATTTGGAGTAGAATGCAGAAAAACTCCGTGCTCCTGGGCATTGTTAGAAATGAAAGGAATCTCAGTAGCAAATGAATAGGAAAGGCCAGTGCAGTTAGCCTGAGGTTCTGGTTGGGGCAAGCAAGAGATTGACAGACAAGCCAGAAACTAACAGGGAGATTCACGGAATGAAACAGCCATAGTGTACTTGCCACACATCTCTGGTGGCATGGAAGGATGAACGCAAGAGCAAGGTTGAGCACAATTTAAGAGAAACCAGAGAAAGCCCTAGCTACCTCTGAACATTCCTGACTAAATGTGAGACCTTAGACATAAGGCCTTGGGTGAAGTAAAAGCTGGGAAGACTTGTAAACTGCATAAACTTTGAATGTGTTCTCCAGCTTACACACGGATCCACTGACAACACGCAGAAGCCCTTCCTAGTCAAAGGTATTTGGGTACAACCTCTGACAAATCACTTGTTGACCACTAAACTATACTGACAGAGGGCTGACTCCTAGGAAGCCAGGCTTAAAAAATATAAACAAGATTTTAGAAATACAAAACTAAGCAAAGACATCAATGACTGTGCAACATGGGGAAAAGAGCCTCCAAAGAATTAGTCTACACCAATCACTAAACAAAGAGAACAGCAGTTGCAACAACTACCACCTCCCTGGGTCACAGAGATGAGATCAGAACCCAGAGTTCTACAATAATGTTATCTAAAATGTCCAGTTTTCAACAAAAAATTACAAGATATGCAAAGAAACAGGAAACAGTGGCCTACTTTCAGGAAAAAGAAGTACCTGAATTCTACCCCACTAGATGCCAGAATCACCCCCTACCCCCAGTCATGACAATCAAAAATGTTTCCAGACATTGCCAAATGTCCCTGAAGGGAGGAAGGGCAAAGTCACCCCCTGGCTGAGAACTACTGCTCTAATGCTAGTTATCACATAGTGTGATACTGGGATAAGAAAAGACATATATCAATGGGATAAAATTAAGAGTCCAGAAATTAATGTCAGTTGATATTTCACAAAGGTGCCAAAGCAATTTATAGGAAAGGGATAGTCTTTTCAATAAATACTGAGATAACTGGGTATTCATGCACAAAACATTGTTAGACCCTTCATATACATGAGGAATTAACTCAAAATGAATCATAGACCTAAATGTAAAAGCTAAAACTATAAAACTTTTAGAAAAAAAATTAGGTCTAAACTCTTAGTGACTTTGGATTAGGAAAGAAAGCACAATCCATAGAAGACAACATTGATAAACTGCGCTTCATTAAAATTAAAATTTTTTGCATGTCAAAAACATGAATAAAAAATTGAAAAGACAAACCACAATCTTAGAGAAAATAGATATAGAATATATAAAGAACTCTTACAACTCAATAAGACAATTCAATTTTTAAAATGGGCAAAATATTGGAATAAACATTTTACCAAAGGCATGAACAGCTACTATCACAGACAGTCAACACCATTAGTCATTTGAGCAACATAAATTAAAGCCACAATGAGATACAACTTCACACCCATTAAAATGGCTATAATAAAAAAGACAGATAATAAAAAGACAATAACAAGTATTAGTGGAGATGTGGAGAAACTGGTACCCTTGCCATCATACATTGCTAGTGAGAATGTAAAAGCAGTACTATGGAAGACAGTGTGGTAATTTCTTGAGAAGTTATACATAACTTTACCATATGACTCAGAAATTCCACTCTTAGGTATATACTTGAGAAATGAAGACATATATCCACCCAAAGACTTGTATGCAAATATTCTTAACAGCATCATTCATAATAACCAAAAACTGGAAACAATTCAAATGTCTATCAATTAGTGAATGGATAAATATGGTATATCCATACAATGAAATTCATTTAGCAGTAAAAAGGAATAACTCTTGACAGTTGCTATAGCATTGACAAACCTTAAATGCAAAACATTATGCTAGGTTAAAGAAGCCAGATGCAAAAGACCACATACTGTATGATTTCATAATATAAAATGTCCAGTTAAAAGGCAGATCTACAGAGACAGAAAGTAGACCAGTGGTTACCAGTGGCTGGGATGGAAATGGAGATTGACTGCAAATCAATACATGGGATCTTTGTGTATTGTGGGATGGTTGTACAGTTTTATAAACTTACTAAAAAATCATTAAATCATACACTTAAGAGTGGGAATATTTTATGTAAATCATACCTCAGTAAAAGTTTCTTTTAAAAGTTAAGGAAATTGCAAGAAATTGTTATGTCCTTATGATATAAAGATAACTGCTATTAACTTTTTGTATATATTTTTGCTGTGTATCCAACAAAAAGTGACTTCTGCTATAGTTTTTAAAGTGCTTGGTTCACATGCATTATTGATGTATTTGCATATTAAACTTTTTTTTATAACCACAACAAAAATACACGTCTTATTTCATAGAACCATGAAGGATAACACTGGAAGACTTGCCTTCATTTTACCCTCCCTTTTGGGTTTCACTTTCCTTGTGCCTAAAATGAGAAGGTATAATTAGATGTTTCATTGGCTCTTCACTGCCCTGTTTTAATTGCCCTTATTATTTTTTTTCTGTTCCTTTAGAAATGATTACTGCAATCTGCTAACAAAAATACGTAAAAACAACTAAAGCTTTAAGCTAAATTTGGGCTAGGTGCCTGGATTTTTCTCATTTAATTATCCTAGAAATCCTGTATTATCCTTCTTTTAGAGGCAAGAAAATTGAGATTTAGTAGGGTTAAGAAATTTGTCTTAGAAAGTAGATTCAAGGTTACCAGGTAATATGGTTTGCTGTGTCCCCACCTGAATCTCATCTTGAACTGTAGCTCCCATAATCCCCACATGCTGTGGGAGGGACTTGGTGGGAGGTAATTGAATCATGGGGGTGGGCTTTTTCCCCTGCTGTTCTTGTGATAGTGAATAAGTCTCATGAAATCTGATGGTTTTATAAAGGGCAGTTCCCCTACACAAGCTCTCTTGCCTGCTGCCATGTAAGACATGCCTTTGCTCCTTCGCCTTCTACCATGTGAGGCCTTCCCATCCATGTGGAACTGTGAGTCCATTAAACTTCTTTTTCTTTATAAATTACCCATTCTCGAGTATGTCTTTATTAGCAGTGTGAGAACCGACTAATACACCAGAAGTTGGGGGAGGAAAGGGAGCACTGGGGAGTTATTGCTTAATGGTTACAGAGTTTCTGTTTGGAATGGTGAAAAATCTAGAAATAGGTAGTGGCAATATGTTGCACAACATTGCTGATGTAATTATTAATGACATCAGATTGTACATTTAAATGGTTAAAATAGCAAATTTTATGTTAGATATATTTTACAATAAAAATAAAAGAAACTTGTTAGGTCAACCAAGAAGTAAGGGTGCAGGCTCACTCACTATCTGAACCATTCTGAGCATTATTTGCATAATGACAGTTCCTTTGCAATCCAATGAAATAAAGATGGATATTTCAGTTATCTGGCAAACAAAGAGAAGCCCAGATTTTATCAAATTATAGTCACTTAGAGCTCCTTATTTTTTTAATTTTTTCTGGTCCTGTTTTAGTTGTTCCAGAAAATATGTCTGCAATTAATTTTGATACATCCACAATGTAATTTCTTAAGTCTAAAATTTTGATCAAGTTGAAATCCACTGTGCCAGGAAGAATTAAGAAATCAAGGATGTAAACTAGCTGTTATTTCAGAAGGTTTTTACCACTACCTTATTTGATGCTCCCCGGGTAAGGGGTTTTAAATATCCTTTACTTTTACAGTATTGACAGACTAAACCACTATCTATAGTCCAGCTGATACTATTGCTGAAGGCTTTTGGGCCTATATTTGCCCAAAAATCACTTAAGAAGGGTCAGGTCAGATTTTAGTGTGACAGAATGAGGTCCAGTGACTGAGGCAGTCTTTAAGCTTAATGATCTCAGAGGCTGAACTGGACTAGGTCTTAGAGATAACATCACAGTAATACTATAAGGTTGTCACATAAGTCTATGGTTTGTTTTCTCAAAATCAGTTGGAATAAAATACGACTCTCTAAGCAAGCTCTTCATCTTTCTATAACATCAAGAATGTAAAGATTAGCTGATCCAAAAGAAATACTCTCTGAATGAGAGACTGAAGACCACCAGTTACTGTAAAAGCCAACGTTGCTCTTCTGTACATAGGAAGAAACTGAACTGTCATCAGCGGGTAAAAATGAAGGCTAAACAAAGAATTTTCACTTAAAGAACATCTTTATTTGAACTTTAATATACAATATTACCTTTAATTTATAAAAATCACATACTGGAGGACATGACTGGAAACCAGTTTAGGAGCAGCCAGTGGGTACCAATTTAGGAGATTATACTTACCCCACTTATTAGTTTAAGAAAAAATTCTATCAATGAATTTGAGACCAGTGATATTGAAGGATGGCATTTCAACTTCCAAATCCAGTAATTAAAATTGAAGATACTTTAATTCAGCAAAAACTTCTAAATTTTCTTTAAAAATATTTTTTCCCAATGAAGAACTGAGCTTATCTTTATTATGTTTTCTGGTATACATCTTACAGAATTTTGTAGAAATAAAACAGCCACAAGACATTTGCAATTATTTAAAATCCTCTGCATATTAATATGTATGTGTATAGGTGTGTGTGTTTGATCCCCACACTTACATTCACACCGAGCTGAAGCAACCTGACAGCATGTTGGACCTGGAAAGGCAGTTCATTTATAATGTGGAAGAGAGACAGTAAGTCTCTGCTCCCTCTATCATCCTGAATACAGGCTTCCCCTCCTCTAAAATTTCCCCAAATAGTGAAATATTTGATAAAATTCTTAAAGAAAAATCTATTATCTGTTAGCATGATTGGAGCACTGCAATGTATATGCTAGTAATATGGTGTGTAATTTCACAAGCAATTTTATGAGTTCTGCAATTGCTAGGCTCAAACCAAGTTTGAAATGGATTAGCTGTTAAATAGTGGAAGTTTAAGGATGAGGTATGCTTTAGTTGAAAATGATGCATATAGACATTCTGAAATAATGCTACTTACTTGTAAAGGATTGAGAGTTATGCAAGAGAAAGGGATTCTCCTTTTGGATATATCTTTTCTCTGCACTCCTCAGACTCAGGCTATTCTAGAGGTAACAGGGGCAGTACCGTTCTGCAGTCTAAAAAAGGAATAGTGGCTGCCAAATAGCAGATGAGTCACATAACCCATTTTCTGTTGCTTAGAATTCTTCAAAAGTTTGCTTTCTGCAGCACAAAGATCAGACATTCTATCATATTCTTGCTGTAGAGCTCTAAGAGTACCCAAGTGGGTGAATTTCTGCAGCTCTAGCAATCCAGAATCCTGGTTCAAGGGTCAATGAGCAGGAGAACTTGGAGAGTATATTATTTTGACAATACACAGACCTTCTTTTTACATAGAGAATCTGAAATTATGGCATTAAATGACAAGGCAAAGAAAATGGCTGATAGCATACCCATCTTCCCTTACCCTATTCTGTCTCTTTCATTATAGTCAATCGTCCTGAAACCTGAACAGACTCCAGGAAGAGTGTATCTGCTTTCAAGACAACAAAATATTATAGCTTTAGGTTATACAGATACACACAACCATATATACGCACATCTTTTTGATTTAAAAATGAATTATGTAAATCAAAACAGAAAAGACGCAGATCAAAGGTTAGAGGGTCTAACACAAAATAAACTTGGGATCAGGGTCACTAACTATGACCCATGGACCAAATCCAGCCCTCCATCTGCTTTTGTAAATAAAGTTTTCCTGGAACATAGCTACGCCCATTCTTTACATAGTATCTCTATCTGTTTTCGATACTTCAACAGCAGAAATGAGTAATAAGAGAGACTGTATAGCTCTCATAGCCTAAAATATTATCTGGAAGCTGGCTGAACAGTTATAGATCAAAAAGAGCATGTCCATCCTGATCTGAATGAGCTAAAGTAACAGAAAATCATCTTTATCAGTGTTCTTGAGCCAGGATAAATGGATTAAAATATCTCCATATCATATATAGTTACTCAAATATTCTGCTTATTTGTGCAGCCGAAACCAGTTTTCAACTGTGTTTGTTAACAAAGAGTATTAAAAATTATCTGTGTATAATTGTATTTATATACATATATAGATCTTGATCTCTCATATATCTCATATATCTCTCATATATATATATATATATATATATATATAGAGAGAGAGAGAGAGAGAGAGAGAGAGAGAGAGAGAGAGGAAAAGATAGGACCTAGCCAATTTGAGTATAAGGAAACCTAAAGAAAAATAACTCAAAATACTATTACTAGGAACTGTTATTTGGAACTTTGAATATTTTAGTATATTTTTCTTTATATTTAACAGCATGGGACTATTAATAGGGCCCATACCAGAGCAGACACAATTTACAACTGCAAGTTTTACCCATGAATTATGTGACAAAATCTTTTTGAATATAAAATAACCAGCATTTCTATAAAACACTGCTTTTTAATTATGCAATTAAAGTGATATAGCAAAATAAGAACGTTTTTATTTCTAAAGTAAATATTTTAGTCAAAGTTGCATCAGAAATCAAGTATTTCTTTGACATTTTCAAGAGGTTTTAGTTATTAACTACAATTATAGTTGTATTATACAGTAACACATTGTTTTAAAATATATTATAAACCTTTTCTTTTTCCTCTTTAATTTATATGAAATATAAAATTAAGAATTTTGTAACACGATTCATATTGGAAACATTTAAAATGTTGTGAGCTACTCTCATACAGAAAATGCTGTGGAATCACATAAAACATTCTAATGATTGAAAGTGCCAGGCACAATGCTTGGCACATGTTAGATACTTCATAAATGTTCGTTCACACATTCTCTCATTTACTCATGCACTCATTCAAAAAACTCCAGGCTTAAGGAGAAACTGCATTATAAATGAGAATGGCAAACACAATCTTTTATCAACAAATTTGGAGTTTTGACAAAGACTTTGGCAATGGAGAGTGGAGAAGATGAGAGGATGATGATTAATATTTCAAACTGCTTGGTTAAAATCTAGCAAGTATAGCCCTGAGTTGCTCTATATGACATCATAGAGGATCAGGGTCAATACTCCATAAAAAGAATGCATTTCCCTTCGATACCCAGGTTTTATTTTACATATAAACACCTGCTTAAAGTCAGGAATACGCTGATGTTAGAGAGATACAAAATGTGCAACCCACAAGAAAGTAAGAACCACCTGACTGGGGACTTATTTTTCTGAGTTGAGACTTCTTTTTGGTTAGGGCCCCATTCCCTTGGTTTTAACAACTTAATACTGGTTGAATAATAATAATAATAATAATCTGGTTTAACATAAAAAGTGTGATTCTAAAATGAAGAGAAATAAATGTAGAAGGAAGAACAGTGTTCAAAATTCCTATTTTTTTCGATTATGCACCAACTGATGTATCTATTCTGCACATTTGTGCCAAAGGCACAAGGTAAGGTGTCAGCTCTTTGAAGAGGCACCTGAAAAGGACCATTTCTGGGCTTTTTGCAGAAGATCTTATAAATGCAATGAATATTTAACCTGAGTATTAAGGTCTACAAAATGCAAAGAGCTGTAAAAGACAGAAGAAAGTAAAGAATATTCTTGGAAGCTAAGCATTATATGGGATAAGAATTGATCTTGAAGGAAATAATTTAAAAATCTATAACAAAAATAAAACATGACACTGGCAAGTCATTTGTAGCTGACTTTAATTGCCTTTGGTATTCAGGAGAATAAAAAAATGGAAGTACTTTTATAAGCTCTAGTCTTTCCATCACATAGAAGGTAAGGAGTGGTGAAGAAGACCCTTCCATTGTCCCTGTCAAATTCTTTGTTTGTACCAGAACTGGCTCTGCTTGTATACTTCCCTGCCTTCTCTTAAGCTTCAGTCATCTGGGTAATACAAATAGAGCACTTGGAAGTAGGGGTTCTGTCTCCTCATCCCTTGAGAAGTTCCTGCAGAACCAAGAAGGTCCCTTTACTCTGCATTCTTCTAAATAAGGTAAAAGAGAATTCAGAGAGTTCATTGCCATCTGCACTGCTGCTCTGCATCTTTGCCAACTCAAGTTTTTCACTTTTTCTCAGTGATTCATAAGTGGGCTTGTGCTACTTTTACGAGGAAGGCTAACATTTTTTAGAACCAAATACTTTCCCTTTTCCCTTCTACAGTTACAGTAATATATATACCTTTCTCATTTAGAAATTTAAATGTTCAAGTAGTAAAAGATATTACAATGTCAAAACATGTGCTATAATTTAACTCTCTTAAGGACTATTGTAACTGGCCCTGCATCCTTATTTTCTACTGAAATTTTTTTGCAGTGAAAAATTTTATACTGAAAAAATTTGCAGTGGTTATCATTTACGGATCAGTAGAACTGTCAAAATTAACGATTCGTGGTATAAGATGATCAACCTTAGAAAATACTATATTAGTTAATTAAGTCTTTCCCCAACTTAAAACCTAAGTTTAAAAGAAAAGCTTATCAAACAAGAAAATAAGCCTTCAGAATTCCAAGGTGGGCTTCTTGTACAAACTTTGTTTCAGGAAATCTTCAAATTCAGAGTAAATGTTATACTAATTATACTGTTTCTAAGTTTTATTAATGTCAATGGAAGATGCCTATATTAAATGAAAAGAGCAAAAGTATCTTGCACTGTCACATAAATTTAAGGACAGAAAATTTATAAGCACTAGATATTTATCTTACAGTTCCTGATAAAATTTAAGTTCTTTTTGTCAAAATATAAAGAACTAGTAGTTTATTTAAAAAGAAATATCAATGCAAAACCTACTGATAGTAAGATAAAGTTCCTTAGATGTATCCCAATTTTAGTGTAATATGATTAATTACAACACTCTTTTATCACTGAAAATTATTTTGAAACTATTCTGATTCTTTGGAATTCTATAAATATTCTTGGAGAAAATTAAAAAAACATAAAATATCTGTGAACAACTCACTCATCTGATGAGATTATAAATAAAAGATCCCCTGTCCCTATTCCAGATAGAATATTTTAGAAAGTTTCACTGTTTGTTCTGCTTTAGTAAGTTATAAAAGTAATTTATTTAGCTTATCAAGGCAAATTTAGAGCTGCCTTATAGTGATTTTTGCCAAGCCACATAAATAAAGTTGTAAGTTGAGTGACTCTACTAACTTTATTATGAAATTAAAGTGAATAAAATTTACTTGGTAGATGTGTTGGTCTGGAAAAATAATGTAGCAACAAAACCAAGGATTGCTCTTAGGTTTCAAGGCAACAAACTGCGGCATTTTCCCCACTTTCTGTCATGCTACCAACACTAGACTGAACTACATGCACAAAATCCCAAACCCAGGCTCATAAGTGGTGATTATGATAAATAGCAGTTTCGATGATTCCATAAGAAGAAAAAGACTTGAGTATTCTTTGTGAGATCATGCCCCCAGAGAAAATTAAACTTAACCAAGAAATTTCAATGAAATAGACTGGGATTTGAAATGGTTGCCAGTCTGGTCATCCAATGGGGAACTTGAAAATTCAGATAGGGATAGGTACTCCTGTTTCTTTTTTGAGTCTTCTTGTTACTGATATAATTATACTATTCTTTTGTTCTTGTTTATTTTAGTTCATTCCATTATTAAAATGGAGAAAAAGTGATAAGCAATATGTAAATATTTGATTTGAATGCTGCTCCACTGTAGGAGGAAACAAATACATAATTGGTTCCAAAGGCCATCTTGAACTCCTGCAAGGTGCTCTATATTCTTGACTTGCTTTCAGGAAGTCTAGCCTCCAGACTTCAGGACTCTAAAAACAATACAGTAGTAACAGGTATCATTTCTCATGTGACCACCTCATTAACGATCAAAGCACATCCAGGTCTCTGTCCTACACATATCAGAACATGTTTTGGTCAGGTATAAAATGGAATAATTTCAAAGTTGATGTATCTACAAGTTGAACAGTCTTAGGGGGAATAGTTTCACCCTGTCATGTTGACATAGAGGTCCAGGTTTTCAAAAGCCGCCCCTTCAAACTAATTTCTGTAGTGGTCCATGTAAACAAAACACAGGTGAGAATGGTCCTTCTGGAACTGCTTTCATCGAACAGCAGGATTACCTGAAAGTGTGGTGTTGGCTAAATGTAACACAGGCAGAGGGTGAGCCTCTGTATTAAACACCCAGTGGTCTAAAGGTAAAAGGTCATCACCGGAGAACAGCAGATACAAATATCTGAAAATAAAAAGGGGAGAAATGAGCTTCAGTTAGAATTCAACAAGAACATGAAGTGAGCTCACTTTTAATGGCACAGAAAACCAATAACGTATTTTGAGCAGCTTTGATGAAAAACATCAAAGAAATAAACCTCAGACACCCAAATGATCTAAACACAAAGACAAGAGGTTTCAGAATAGTGTATAAGAAATCCAGTAAGATGAACAACTAGACCTACTGAAATAAAACAGTTTAAAAAAAAATCCGGCCAGGTGTGGTGAAGAGAGCAGACACCTTTGTCTTGTTCCTAATCTTAAGAGCAACACATTCAGTTTTTCAATATGATGTTAGCTGTAGGTTTTTCATATATGCCCTTATCAGGGTAAGAAGTTTCCTTCTATTCCCAGTTTGCTGAGAGTTTTTATCAGAAATGGGTGTTGGATTTTGCCAAATAATTTTTCTGTCTACTGAGGTGGTCTATTTTAGTTCATTGATTTTCAAACATTAAATCAACCCTCCACACCTGGGATAAACCCATTTAGTCATAACATATTATCTATGTAATTTGTTGTTAGAGTTGATTTGTCAAAATCTTGTTTAGTTCTATCTATGTTCAGGAGGAATATTGGTTCTGATGAGGACTCTGCTGTCATTCATTTTTTTCCATAAGTTACTGGGGTACAGGTGGTATTTGGTTACATGAGTAAGTTCTTTAGCAGTGATTTGAGAGATTTTGGTGCACCCATAACCTAAGCAGTACATACTGCCTCATATTTGTAGTGTTTTATCCCTCGCCACCCTCCCACTCTTCCCCCAAACTCCCCAAAGTCCACTGTATCATTCTCACACCTTTGTGTCCTCATAGCTTAGCTCCCACATATCAGTGAGAACATACGATGCTTGGTTTTTCCATTCCTGATTTACTTCACCTAGAATAATAGTTTCCAATCTCATCCAGGTCACTGCAAATGCTGTTAATTGGTTCCTTTTTATAGCTGAGTAGTAGTCCATCGTATAAATATACCACAGTTTCTTTATCCACTCATTGATTAATGGGCATTTGGGTTGGTTCCACGCATTTGGGTTGCAATGGTGAACTGTGCTGCTATAAACATGCATGTGCACGAATCGTTTTTGTATAATGACTTATTTTCCTGTGGGTAGATACCCACTAGTGGGATTGCTGGATCAAATGGTAGTTCTACTTTTAGTGATTTAAGGAATCTCCACACTGTTTTCCATAGTGGTTGTGTAAGTTTACGTTCCCACTAGCAGTGCAGAAGTGTTCCCTGATCACTGCATCCACGCCCACATATAGTGTTTTTTGATTTTTTGATTATGGCCATTCTTGCAGGTGTAAGGTGGTGTCGCAATGTGGTTTTGATTTACATTTCCCTGATCATTAGTGATGTTGAGCATTTTCTCATGTTTGTGGACCACTTTTACATCTTCTTCTCCCACTCTGTGGGTTGTCTGTTCACTCTGCTGACTCTTCCTTTTGCCATGCAAAAGCTCTTTGGTTTAATTAAGTCCCAGCTATTTATCTTTGTTTTTGTTGCATTTGCTTTTGGGTTCTTGGTCATGAAATCCTTGCCTAAGCCAATGTCTAGAAGGGTTTTTCCAATGTTATCTTCTAGAATTTTTATAGTTTCAGGTCTGAAAGTCCTTAATCCATCTTATGTTGATTTTCGTGTAAGATGAAAGATGAGGATCCAGTTTCATTCTTCTACATGTGGCTAGCCAATTATCACAGCACCGTTTGTTGAAAAGGGTGTCTTTACCCCACTTTGTTTGTTTGCTTTGTCGAAGATCAGTTGGCTGTAACTATTTGGCTTTATTTCTGGGTTCTCTGTTCTGTTCCATTGGTCTGTGTGCCTATTTTTATACAAGTATCATGCTGTTTTGGTGACTATGGCCTGAGGTATAGTCTGAAATCAGGAAGTGTGATGCCTCCAGATTTGTTCTTTTTGCTTAGTCTTGCCTTGGCTATGTAGGCTCTTTTTTTGTTCCATATGAATTTTAGGATGTTTTTTCTAGTTCGGTGAAGAATGATGGTGGTATTTTGACAGGAAATGCATTGAATTTGTAGATTGCTTTTGGCAGTATGGTCATTTTCACAATATTCATTCTACCCATTCATGAGCATGGGATGTTTCCATCTGTTTGTGTCATCTATGACTTCTCTCAGCATGTTTTGTAGTCTTCCTTGTAAAGGTCTTTTGCCTCCTTGGTTAGGTATATTCCTAAGTGTTTTATTTTTATTTTTTGCAGTTATTGTAAAAGCGGCTGAGTTCTTGATTTGATTCTCCACTTGGTTGCTGTTGTTGTATAGAAGAGCTATTGATTTGTGTACATTAATTTTGTATCTGGAAACTTTGCTGAATTATTTTATCAGTTCTAGGAGCTCTCTAGAGGAGTCTTGAGGGTTTTCAAGGTAAATGATCATATCATCAGCAAACACTGACAGTTTGACTTCCTCTTTACTAATTTGGATGCCCTTTCTTTCTTTTGCCTGATTGCTCTGGCTAGGACTTCCAGTGCTAGTTGAAGAGGAGTGGTGAGAGTGGGCATCCTTGTCTTGTTCCAGTTCTCAGAGGGAATGCTTTCAACTGTTCCCCATTCACTATTATGTTTGCTGTGGGTTTGTCACAGTTGGTTTTATTACATTGAGGTATGTCCCTTGTATGCCGATTTTGCTGAGAGTTTTAATCATAAAACGGATGCTGGATTTTGCCAAATGCTTTTTCTGAATCTATTGAGATGATCATGTGATTTTTAGTTCTGTTTATGTGGGATATCACATTTATTGACTTGCATATGTTAAACCATCCCTGCATCCCTTGTATGAAACCCACTTGATTATGATGGATTATCTTTTTGATATGTTGTTGGATTCGGTTAGCTAGTATTTTGTAAAGGATTTTGGCATCTGGTTCATCAAGAATATCAGTCTGTAGTTTTCTTTTTTGGGTATGTCCTTTCCTGGTTTTGGTATTAGGGCGATGCTGGCTTCATAGAATGAATTAGGGAGGGTTACTTCTTTCTCTGTCTTGCGGAATAGTGTCAAAAGGATTGGTACCAATTCTTCTTAGAATGTCTGATAGAATTCTGCTGTGAATCCGTCTGTTCCTGGGCTTTTTTTTGTTGGTAATTGTTAAATTACCATTTCAATTTCGCTGCTTCTCTATTGGTCTGTTCAGGGTATCTATTTCTCCCTGATTTAAGCTAGGAGGGCTGTATTTTTCCATGAATTTATCCATCTCTTCTAGGTTTTCTAGTTTATGTGTGTAAAGGTGTTCACAGTAGCCTTGAATGATCTTTTGTATTTCAGTGGTGTCAGCTGTAATATCTCCTGTTTTGTTTCTTAATGAGGTTAATTGAATTTTCTTTCTTTTCTTGGTTAATCTTGCTAATGGTCTATCAATTTTATCTTTTCAAAGAACCAGCTTTTTGTTTCATTCATCTTTTGTATTTTTTTTGTTTCAATTTCATTTAGTTCTGCTCTGATCTTGGTTATTTCCTTTCTTCTGCTAGGTTTGAGTATGGTTTGTTCTTGTTTCTCTAGTTCTTTGAGGTGTGATCTTAGAATGTCAGTTAGTGCTCTTTCGGTCTTTCTGACGTAGGCATTTAGGGCTGTGAACTTTCCTCTTAGCACTGCCTTTGCTGTATCCCAGAGGTTTTGATAGGTTGTGTCACTACTGCTGTTCAATTCAAAGAATTTTTAAATTTTCATCTTGATTTCGTTTTTGACTCAATGCTCATTCAGGAACAGGTTATTTAATTTCTATGTATTTGCATGGTTTTGAAGGCTCCTTTTGGAGTTGCTTTCCAGTTTTATTCCACTGTGGTCTGAGAGAGGGCTTGACAGAATTTCAATATTCTTAAATTTATTAAGGCTTGTTTTATGGCTTATCATATGGTCTATCTTGGAGAAAGTTCCATGCACTCTTGAATAGAATGTGTATTCTGCGGTTATTGGATGGAATGTTCTGCATATATCTGTTAAGTCCATTTGTTCCAGGGTATAGTTTAAATCCATTGTTTCTTTGTTGACTTTCTGTCTTGTTGACCTGTCTAGTGCTGTCAGTGGAGTACTGAAGTCCTCCATTATTGTTGTGTTGCTGTCTATCTGATTTCTTAGGTCTATCAGTAATTGTTTTATAAATTTGGGAGCTCCAGTGTTAGGTGCATATATGTTTAGGACTGTGATATTTTCCTGTTGGACAAGACCTTTTATCATTATATAATGTCCCTCTGTCTCTTTTAATTGCTGTTGTTTTAAAGTTTAAAGCAACTATCATTCTTTTTAAAAACTTTTTCTTCTTTACTGTTTTTTTAAATCAATTTCACTTTCTTTCGCTAATATTTTTACAAAATGGTTTCACCTCATAAAAGATGTGGGCCATCCATAACATTTCATCATAAAAGAAAACATACACCATTTAAAATATACTACATCCCTTTCTGTTACCATGTTTTTATTAGTAAATATGTACTTATAAAAGGGATTTGAACAGTGATTTTCCAAGAATAATGTGAAAAGTAAAAATAGTTTTATCTTTTCTCCAGTATTCATTGCCAAAGTATATGCGCTGCTAAATAACAAGTTTTCTTTTATTCTTAGATAGTTCATGTTGGTACTTTTTGAGTTCTTTTAAATTATGCATTTTCACTGGGTAATCAGACGAGCTTCTTTATAATAGGTTTTTGTCTTTGTTTTATAGTAAACTCTTGCTTTTTCAGAATTTGGATCAATCTTCAGTGGCAAATATTTTTATTTTTATGAAATTCATGAACTGTCATGATATAAAGATCCTCTGTAAAATTACTTTAAGTCTTTCCATTTCCTATATCAGATGGTTTAAAATTCCATGGTTGATTCTTGCTGCCATTTTTATATTTGTTCCTGTTTACCTAATTTTTCTTTCTCCTCTGTTGCTTTAAAGATTTTTTTCTTTACCCCTGGTTTTGAGCAATCTGATTATAAGGTGTCTTGGTAAAGTTTTCTTCATTCATGTTTCTTGTGCTTGGAGTTTGTTTAGCTTCTTGGACCTGTGGGTAAATAGTTTACATCAAGTTTGGAAAGTTTTTTGCCATTATTTCTTCAAAAAAAGGGTTTTTTTGGGGGTCCACCTTCTTGTGTTCTCTTCTTTGGAGATTCTAAGTTCATGTATTTTAAGCCACTGTAAGTTGTCTCATAGCTCATCACTGACAACTTTCTATTTTTATAAGATTCTTATTTTTTGCTCTTGTTTCATTTTGGATAGTTTCATTGCTAAGTCTTCAAGTTCACTAATTTTTACTTCTGCAATGTCTAACATGCTAATAATCTCATCTGGTATATTTTTCAACTGAAACATTACAGTTTTTGTTTAGAGAAATTTGATTTGGGTTTTTATATCTTCTAGGTCTCAACTTTTTGAATAGAGGGAACATAGTTATCATAAATATTTTAACTGTCATTGTCTACTAATTCTAACATCTTTATCAGTTCTAAGTTGGTTTTATTTTCATAATTATTGATCACATTGTACTGCCTCTTGGCATGCATGGTAATCTTTGACTAAGATGCTAGACATTACAGATTTTACTTTGTTGGGTGGTAGTTATTTTTATATTCCTTTATATAAACCTTGAGTTTTGTTCAGGGATGTAGTTAGATCACTTAGAAACAGTCTGATCCTTTCAGGTCTTGCTTTCATTATTTGCTACATAGGTCCAAAGCAGCAGGTTATTCCCCACTATTGAGGCAGGACCTTCCTGAGTACTCACTCTACCCAGTGCCACTTGAATATGAATTTTTACAGTCTGGTTGCTGGTAACAGGCACTGTTCCTGCAACCCTATGTGGCCCTGTGTGAGTGCCAGAAACTGCTGCCTTTAATCCTCTAGGATGATTCTTTCCCTCACCTCAGGTAGGTTCTTCACATGCATGTGATGATCAGCACTCTGCTGAACACTCCAGTGCATTCCCTTGGTTATTTCTCTCTGCAGCTCTCTTCTCTCTGGTACTGTCCTGTGAATTCTAGCTACCTTAGTTTCCCCACACTCACAGCTTCATCTCCTCAGGGAGCACGCTGGGCTTTGTCTCAAGTCCCCTCCCTGTATCATGTCCTGGAAACTCTATCAAGACAGCTGGGGCAATTACAGGGCTTACTTCATTTGTTTCCTGTTTCTCAGAGATTACTGTCCTTCATTGCCTCCTGTCTGGTGTTTCAAAACCATTATTTCACATATATTTTGTCATTTATTTCAGGCAGAAGGGTAAATCTGGTTCCATCTTTAGAGTAAGCAGAAGTTCCACTCATCCATTGTGAGAGACTGTGTCAAACAATTTGCTGAATGCCATGTAATTATGTTCATGGAATCCCCTACTCTCAAGTCTATTATTAATCCAATCCAAAAAGAACATTAGATGGTCCAGCAAGAACTTGTTCTTAGAAATCCTTTCTGATTCTTCATGATGACTAGTTCCTTTCTGTCTTCATACCATGACTTCCTAGAATTTTGTGAAAATGGACATTAAATACATCTATATTTTCTTCAATCCAACTGCATTTGTAGTAGCAATTTAAAATAATCAGTTACTTTTCTTCCTTTGGGGTTCTAGTTTCATCTTAGCCATATTTGTTTACCTGGAATATAATCTGTTATTTTAAATTACTGCAAGAATCCAAATAAATTATATATCAAGATACTATTTCAAATGTGATTTTGCAATTAATATTAATATTTTAGGAATAATGGAGGGAAGCAGTGGGATAGGAAAAAGATAATTTTAAAGAAGGGAAAAGTTGGATTGAAGGGGTTAGAGGAGAGGAGGTTGGAGTTAAAGTATGAGTGCTTTGCATTTTATCTTATAATTCCCTTTTTAGCATGCCATTGCTTTCCTTATATTTTTTTTATTGTGGTAATAAACACATGACATAAAGTTTACCATCTTCACCATTTTTCAGCGTATAGTTCAGTAGTATTAAGTATATTCACACTGTTCTTTGCAAAACTAAAACTCATTTCCATTCCCCTCCCCAGGTCCCTGGTAACCAACATTCTACTTTGTTTCCATAAATGTGACTACTTTAGAGACCTCATAGAAGTGGAATCACCCCATATTTGTCTTTTTATGGCTGACTTATTTCACTTAGCATAATGTCCTCAAGGGTCATCCATGCTGCTTCCCTGATTTTGATTCTAGAGCTCTTATTTCCTACTACTTCTCCTAGTGAATGTACTTTAGTCGGTCTAGTTTCTTTAGTGTTTTTTTAAAGGTATTTTTTCAGGCTGAATCCTTCTTTTCACAAAGCTACTTTCTGTTTTACCCCACCTATTAACATCTTACTAATTCAGCATCATTTTAGTCTTTCTTCATGACTACTCTGGCCTGCACCAAAATTCCCTTCTCTGAATTTCTAAAACATTTATTTTCTATTTAGCACTGAATACAGTTGTCCCTCAGTATCTATGGGGGATTGGTTCCAGGACCTCTCGCAGATACAAAAATCCTTGAATGCTCAAATCCTTGATATAAAATGGTATAGTATATTCATATAACCAATGCATATGCTCCCACATACTTTAAATCTATGTAAATAGTTGTTATATTGCCTAGGGAATAATGACAAGAAAAAGGTATATACATGCTCAAAACAGATGTAATTTTTAAAAAACTATATCTTCAATCCATGTTTGGTTGAATCCATGAACCCATTGACATGGAGGGCCAACTGCATATATACTTTGTACTTTTATTAAATTTGTCCATGCCTAAAGGTAAGAGATTTCTAAACCAGACTCCAAGCTATTTATGGGTAGAGTATACATTTCATATACTTTAATTCTCAAATACAACTCTGAGAAAGCAGGTACTTATAAGTACATATTGATTTGACTTAGCTTGTCTCCAGGAGTAAGTGAGCAGAAAACAGCAGAATAGGGGACTTGATGCTACTCTTTTCATCCAGCTGGAAAAACAGTTCTCTCATGGTAGGAGGCTAACTTCAAGATCCAGTTGCAGACAAGATAAAAGATAAACAAAGGAAATAGTGGCTTTGTTTTTCAGTCTTCTCTAACCGTTTTTTCCCCTCATCTGAGAATCCTCACCCACAATGATCCCACTGATTCTCTCTCTCCAAAATATATTACTTAGTCACTTGTGCTCAGAAATTTAAAAGTCATACTACTATTGATGTTTTATGGACAAAGCCACTAACAGAGTTGTCTCTGAACTTACTTCAAAACCTTGCTCAGGGAATTTGCTTTAATAGTCTGATAGCTAGCTAACTGTGCATTCATTTGCTTATACTGAGAATAACTTCATAAGCAAATGAAGATAACAACAGCAGTAAAAAAGAGAATTAAAACTATGAGAGGATACGACAATAACATCAGTACCAATACCTATTCTGGATAATTTACTAGTTTTCCCCTCCCTTTGGCCCCCAGTATTTTATAAAACTTTCTTTTTCTTCTTTTTTTTTTTTTTGAGATGGAGTCTTGCTGTGTCCCCCAGCTGGAGTGCAGTGGCATGATCTTGGTTCACTGCAACCTCTGCCTCCCGGGTTCAAGTGATTCTCCTGTCTCAGCCTCCTAAGTAGCTGAGATTACAGCCATGCACCACCATGCCCGGCTAATTTTTGTATTTTTAGTAGAGACGGGGTTTCACCATGTTGGCCAGGCTGGTCTCGAACTCCTGAACTCAGGTGATCCACCCGCCTTGGCCTCCCAAAGTGCTGGGATTACAGGCATGAGCCACTGTGCCCAGCCTGTAAAACTTCCAAACATAGAAATGTTGGAAGAATTTTACAGTGAAGTGCACATATACTTACCTCCTAGAGGTAAGCTGGTATCACAAATTGGTATCAAGTTGGTATCACAAATCTATTACTCTATTCATTTATTACTAGCTTTCTTTACAATACTACAATATGTTCCCTTAGAAAAAGTAGCTAAGTTAGCAAACCAAACTAAATATCAAGAATAACTTGCTTAGTAAAATTGTTTGCAAAGGAAGAACTAGAAGACAATGAAATTTTTTAAAAAGCCAGACAAACTTAGGGCAATAAACTGCAGGCAACAATATTTACCTGAGTTTTGAGAGAAAAACTGTTGCCACAAATTTTAGCTCCTACATTTCTGCTTTTAGAAGCACCAGATTAAAAACATTTAGAATTTTTATTTAATAAATAGCAAATTATTTTATAATATTTATTTAATAATAGTAAATTAGATGAAATTACTTTTAAGGGATGAATTTGAAAATTACTAGAAAGAAAAAATTAAGAGCAAGATTAAGTGTAGCCAAATGGTAAACAATTCTTTTTTTCTGATTCCTTTCAAAAACACATGATTAACGGACCATCAAAAAGTGAATGGACAAATAAAATGTGGTATATCCAAACAAGAGCATAATACTCATCAATAGAAAGGAATGAACTATTGATAAATGCAACATGGATTAACCTAAAAAATATTATGTAAAAAAAACCAAACATAAACGTTATTGTGGTGAAAGCCACGTAACATAAAATTTACCACCTTAACCATTTTAAAGTGTACAGTTCAGTAGTGTTGAGTATATTCACATTGTTTACCTTGTAAAACTCAAACTCTATACCCCTTAAACAATGATTATCCTTTACCTCCTCCCTAATACTGCATGATTCAAATTATATGAAATTTCACAAGCAGCAACCTATAGTGACAGAAAGCAGATTAGAGTTTGGGGGTGGGTAGAACTGACTGCCAAATTAGAATGGAAATATTCCATGCATCAAGTAAGGCTGATGTTTACCCAGGCTTAAACATTTGCCAAAATGCAATAAACTGTACACTTAACATATTTCAATAAAGCTGATTTTAAAAGTTTTTTTAAAAAGACTAATGAACAAGGATGGAGAAGAATAGCCTTATTGTGTATTGCTACATTAGTAAAATTTGGGTTGTAGCTCCCTCTACTGTAGCAAAAGAAATTGGCAAGCATATTTCAAAGATTAAATTTTTGAAACTGGAAAAATGCTTATATTAAATAGTAGAAGTGAAATTCACTTTGTGTGTTCCTACGTGTGTGTGTGTGTGTGTGTGTGTGTGTGTGTGTATCCCAGTGCCTAATATTTAGATTGCATTGTATTAGGACATAGGAAGCACTTAAAAATGTAAAGACCACGGTTCTGGTCTTCCAGTATACCTATTTGAAGAGACTGAACTACATAAATACAGCAGTTAAGCAAAGACTTGCCCACCTGACTTTATGCTAGGTTCTCTGCCAGTATAGTTAATTTCTTAATCCCTAATTGTCTCCATAAGTGTTTTACTGGGTCACAGATGTCAGTGGTTATCAAAGTGTGATTCCCCCAGACCAGCAGCATCAGCATCACCTGGGAACTTGTTAAAAACGCAAATTCTTAGGCCCCACTCTAGACCTATTTATCAGAAACTCAACAGAGCCCAGCATCCCATGTTTTAAGAGGCCTTCCAGGTGATTCTGATGTACACTCAGGTTTGAGAACCACTTTTCTAGGTTACCAACTTTGTGTAACTTCTAACAACAATTAGTTGGTACTGTTTCTGCTTTTCTCCTTTATGTGGGCATCTGGACCTTTGACTCTCTACTGAAAACAAATCCGCAGCCCTGACATCCTCAGCTTTCACATTTTGCCTTGGGTCCCTTCTTCTTGCTTTATCAATTCTTTGACTCATTATCAGACACCTCCTAAAACTAAGTGAATTCTGAGATCAAGCTCTAAGCCCCAACCAGGAAATAAAGTAGGTCTATTATTCTCTTCTCTTTCCCCCTCCTACTCTTATTATATACAAGATCTTATAAAATTGCTGGGGTTTTTTAGCTGTCTCCTTTGAAATGAAATGATTCAATCCTTTATTCAGCAAACATTTAATACTGAAATACATAGTATATGAGTGGCCCTACCGTAGATACTGCGGATAAAACAATAACCCAAATATACAAAAATACTGTAAACTCTTCATGTAGTTTATATTCTAATTGGGGAATGCTTAAGAAAATTATGTGCTATGTTGGAAGATAGGTGCTATGAAGAAAAGTAAAGCAGGGAAAAGTAAGAGGGAGTAAGGGAACAATTTGAAATTGTATACAGGATGATCAGGTAATGCCTTAAACACAACTGATAAAATGATATAATTAAAAACTAAAGAGGGATCAGAGTAAAGATGCAAATAGCCAAGTTCTTTTCTTGCCTAACAGACTAAAAATTTATCAACAAATTCAATACATATTTACTGAGTGCCTCATGTGCTAGGTGCTGGGGAGATCATAGTAGTTAAAAGGAAAAAGTCCCTACGGCTATGAGGCTTACATTCTACTGGAAGATAGATTAAAAAAAAAAATCCATCTAGGCTGAGCATGATGACTCATACCTGTAGTCCCAGCACTTTGGGAGGCTAAGGTAGAAGGATTGCTTGAGCCTAGGAGTTCAAGACCAACCAGGGCAATTAGCAAGACCCGCATCTCTACCAAACAAGAACACCACACACCTATGTCAGATGGTGATATGGATTGGCTCTGTGTCCCACCCAAATCTCATCTCGAATTGTAATCCCCATAATCCCCATATGTAGAGGGAGGGATGTGGTGGGAGGTGACTGGATCATGGGGGTGGTTTCCCCCATATTGTTCTCCTGATAATGAGTGAGTTCTCATGAGATCTGATGGTTTTATAATGTTTGACAGTTCCTCTTTCACATGCTCTCTTTCCTGCCACCACGTAAGATGTGCCCACCTCCCCTTCTGCCACGATTTAAGCTTCCTGAGGCTTCCCCAGTTATGCAGAACTGTGAGTCAATTAAACCTCTTTTCTTCATAAATTACCCAGTCTTGGGCAGTTCTTTATAGCAGTGTGAGAATGGACTAATACAGATGATGTTAGTGTTATGAAGAAAAATAAAGGAGGGCAAGGACAGAGAATAATGAAGGGTTTGGATAATACACATAGGGCATATTTTTACAGGCAGGCACTCAAAACAGCATAATTATAAGTTAGGGGGAGAGTGAATGAAATTTTTAGGATGTAAGTTATTTTATGTCAGGATTATTTTACATTCATTGATGCAGCCCTAGCATACAAAACAGCTGGCACACATCAGGCACTTAACAACAAACATTTGTTGGATAAATCATTTCATATATTACATTTGTATTGTTTATATATTTTAATCACTATTTACTTAGTAGAAAAAGAGCTCACATCTTGATAAAGAACAAAGAGGTGGAATTAAGGATTCCAGAAAGCACTAGTTTAAAAGGATGAGCAAACACTGAAACTGTCATTCCATTTACTTCCTAAGAATCTGATTGTTTGACTTTTCATCTGTGTTCTTAACTTACAGAAAACAAGTTTTAAGTGATTTACTCTGTTGTCTAAGATTTACTTAAAACAAAAGGTTTGTTCATTCAAATCTTACTACACATTATCAGGTAGTGCCTAAATGTCTCCATACTTCTCAGAATACCCATCTGATTTTAACCATTTCTAATTAATTTTCTGAAACTCTCTGAGAAGTTTTCTGAAAAGTTCGCTCTCTCAGCTTATTTTGCTTAATTATAGTTATGTCAAATGCACATGCCACTGCCCTAGTCATCCATTTTACTTCTAGGAATCTAACCAACATTTATCTTCACACAGGGAGCAGAGATATATGTAAAAGGACATTCACTGAAGCACTGTTTATAAGAGCAAAAAAACAGAACCAAGTTCTATATCTAACAATAGGGTACTGATTAAACAAATTATAAAACATTCCTCAGTGGATTTATATATGCCAATATGGAAACCTTTCCTAGATAAAAAGGTGGAAATGCAAGTTTCAGAATAATAGGTATATATAATCTTATATATGGAGAAAAAAGGCTAAAGGATATATATTATATATATTTTTATATGTTTGCATATACCCAGAAAATTTCCAGAAGGCTATATCAAGAACTATTTAATAATTATTCTCTTTGGGAAGTGAGATTGGATGTGAGGCACAAAGAAACTCATTTTTTTTTTTTGTCATTTCTTCAGTTCTGCACTATTTAACTCGTTTTGCAATATCCACATGCTATTTTTATAATTCAAAAAAAGCTGTATTAAAAACAACTTGATTTTTTAGGAGCTACACATTATAGTGTTTAAACAACTGATTTTAATATGACAAGTGCTATGCTGTTATGTATATATAGCTCAACAAACACATTGATTGCATGCATGCTTGTTCTAACTCAAACACTAAACTAAAGCACTGAGAATATTAATATTTCACATAGACTATCAGGACAAATGAAGTACTGATAATACACACTTAAGGATATTTTAAGAATATACTTCCAAGTCGGGGCAGGGGCCACAGGTGGACCTTGCTTCCTTAACAACAACGAAAAAGAATATACTTCCAGTGTACTCTCACTTAGGGTGTTTGAAAGTGACTAGATTCTTACATCCTTGCCAACACCAGAACAAAAACTTTTAAATCTTAAGCAGTGTGAAAGTAAATAAAACATAGCATCTGATCTATTATTTCATTTATTTCTTACAAGTGGATCAAGCATTCTTCATGTGTTTACAGCCATTTCTTTTCTAAGAACTGCTACTACCTTTTTTAGTAGGCTTAGTATTTTTTCTTAATAATTTCTAATTTTAAGAAATGTTTTCCCAGTGTGCCATCTGTCTTTTACTTTACTTAGTGCTCTTTTTTTTGTACAGATGTTTTTTATTTTTATGTAATTGAATTCTCAATCTTTTCTTCAATGATCTTTGGGTTTTGTATCATGCCATCTTCATCCCTAGGGTTGAAAAAAACTTTCCAATTGTTTCATGATTTTATTTCTTTTTTTAATATTTAAAGCTTTGCTCTATAGAAACTTAGTTTTGGTACTTAGCAGTGATCCAGCCTATTTTTTTCAAAATAGAGTATTTTTAAAGATGTTTTTAAATATTTACAGAGACAAAAACAAAAAGTATTTTTAAAAACTAAAATAACTTCAATTAAGCTAAACTACAGTTCACATTTTGATATTGTTGAAATACTATTAACATGTTCATCTATGTGTTACGTATGCACATGTGGACTTAATAGCCCACTTAATATTATACTGTGAAAAGTCTATAAAAATGCAATTGTTTTGGCTTCATGATACTATTGTGGATGTGCCATAATTTACTTAACCATTCAGCTATTATTGAACAAATAATGACTTATTTTTATAACAGCAATAAACATCTCTGTACATAAATCTTTGTCCATAACTCTGATTATTTAAGATTACTTATTCTTAAGTATATAAGTATATATAAGAATATAAGACATATTCTTATATAGCTTTCCAGAATTTTACTATATTCAAAGTTTGAATTTCAAGAGATACGGAGGAAAAAAGCACACAAGCAAGAGACACAGACATAATTTCTGCCCCAGAGACTCTGATACCAGTGAAAGTAGACATACTGTGGTGATAAATTTGATCTTAATTTTATGCTATTTCTCTTTCCTTTAATAACAAATTTGTTAAGACTATGTTTCCAACTTGTGATTTCTGAGCTGCCTAATGCCTGATATATATGAACTCAGAAAAAAATGGTTGAAATGTATCCTCAAAATGTATACTTTTCTCAGTTTATCAGATCTTTAAATAAATGTGCAACAGAATTGAGGTAAGGTGCAATGAAAATCTAATTCAAAGAAAGATCTAGGTGAATGGGTGTAGACACTAAGGTACATATATAAAATAATACACACCTTCAAAGTTTTTGATAAGAGGCTTATGACAGTAAATGGTATAAAGTGATAGAACCATAGAGAATCCACGTGGGAGATATTCATTCAGCAATTCAAGTGCTGCTACTAGAGAACCGCTCCTAGGAGTCTTGGTGTTCTATCTGCTAATTTCCTCGCAATTCTTTCAGCTTAAGAGACTTTTGACCAACTGCTATTTCACTGAATCCAATGAATAAGACAATCCTTGGAGGGACAAAAGCCATTATCAAAGAACATATTTCTCTTTCTTGCAGCTGGAGAGGGGACAGTAGTACCATTTAGCTCTTCTTACAAAACAATCAAGACTCCAACCAAGTGTCTTTAAACAAGTTCATATGTTAACTAAAAGCTATTCATGGCTTTTCTTTCTTACATGACTCCTCCCCTTATTTAAAAAGCAAGCTGACTTGTATTTATTAGTAATAATGCACCTAAAATCTTCAGCAACTAATTCTTGTCTCAAAATACTCAGAAATAAACAGTCTATACATTTAATCTTGAAGAAATCTCTCAGAGCCTCTGTCCTCCTCAATCTCAATACAGTATCCCTTTATCTTCCTTTCACTTCTTTCCTGTATTTATGTCTTCTTTTTTGGTTTATATCCAGTTTTCATGGAGCATATGTTCCAAAAACTTACTGAGAAAGAGGATTGGAAGTGGATTTTTGATACCTTACATGGCTAAAAACCCAGAATTCTAAGTTGGAATTAATTTTCTCTCATGAATCAACTGCTCCAATGCTTCTAGCTTTCATGACTGTTCTTGAGAGGTCTGAAGGCACTCTGAATCCAGATCTACGAGACTTTATTCTATTCTCTCTCCCTGTGGAAGCTGAGATCTTTCCTTTACCCCAGTGGTTTTGAAATTCCAAGGTGCTGTGCCTTGTTGTGGGTCTGTTTTCATCTTCTATGCTGGGATCTTGATGGTGTCTTTCAAGCTGGAAACATATCCTTCTATTTTTGGATATTTTCTTAACCTTGTTATATTCATATTTTAAACTTTAAAAGTCAAAGTATAACACACATACACAAATATGCCAAATCTTACATGTTTATCGTTCAATAAACATTTCTAAGTCAATACTGTTTATTAATATTTAAAAGTAAGGCACTAACATGCTGATTAGAAACTGTAGTCAGGTTGGCACTGGAAACTTTAATATTATCTCTGATTCTTCCTTCTTACTGAATCTCCTCATATCTAATTAGATATTCAGGTTTGTCAATTCTACCTTTAGAGCTCTCATCTCATTCTTAATATCCCATGGTCTACTTTATAGCTATTACCCTGAATACCAGTTCATCCTATTTTACCCACCTTGCCTTCAAGTCTGGTTCAAATGCTACTACTTCCAGGAAGTATTCCCTTGTTTTTCAGGTTAAGCAAACTCTTTCTTCTCTAAAAGACTTCTGCATTTTGTTAATATTTCTCTTATGCACTTAATGTATTTAAAATTTGTTGTATATATTGCTTGTGTTTTATTTCCTGTACTAGAGTATAAGAGTTTTAGAACCTTTGAAGGAATCTATCTCTGACCTTCCTCATTACATAGTTTTTGTTATGCCATCAGTATATATGCTAGATAAATATTAATCCATGAAGTAAGGTCTATTGAGGGAAACAAAAAAAGTAGGAGACATGGCCTCTTCTGGGGAAAAAAGTATGCCTATAGCAATAACTACTCCATGGTATAGCACCTATGACACATGTAAAAGGTAAAATGAGCCTCAACTTACGTCAAGAATACAGGTTTTTTCATTTAACTTTGCCACTGCCGTGACAATCAGTTTCCATCTCTGGTAGCTAAAACACATTGATTGTTGCCTTTTAATGAATCCGCAGTAAATTCCCACCAATTGGGAGAATACATAATCTTAAACTGACAGCTTCTGACAAAGCCTATTTAAATTAACTGATATTTGAGAAATATTTAAGAGACCATACTTATCTTCATTCCTCTATAAAGTTTTAAGCTCTATTTTTACAATAAAACTACAGCTACATTAATTTAGATCTTCACAGAAATGACTTTATTCAATTGTATTTTAATATTATGCCATCAGTTTTTATAAAGAGTAAATCAGATTGAGTGTTTTTGTATCTTCCCTAAGATCACTGTTTCAAACAAAATAAATATTTTCAAAATATTTACCATTACCATTATGTATTAGGTTGAACTATACTAAATTGCCAATATTCAAATTACCCTTTTTAAAAGGGTAATTTCATATGGTTCACTTAATAGTTCAATATTTTTATAGAGTTATCCAATTTAAGTCATTTTATAATTTAGCAACATAAAAAATTCTGTCTCATTTGTCAAAGTAATATGCTCCCTCAACTCCCAAAAATGATAATGACACTGTGCAGAATGATTCCTTTTTGCTTTAGCTGCCAGGAAGTGCAATGCTGAATGTACTGCCAGGAAGTGCAATGCTGAATGTACTGCTCAACTGTGACAATTTTCTTAGCCTAGGTGATGTTATAATTATTTGTATGTTTCTTTTTGTTTGACCTTTTTCACTTTTATTGCTCCAGATATATGTTTTTCTAAAAGCAAAAATTGTAGCAAATATATCTATCTATATATATATAGATAGATATACATAAATAACTGGTTACCTAGCATACTGTTGTGTTGAGAAGAGTTCTGACTGAACTTGGCAAGGAAAAGTACCAAGATTAACTGGTGATATTCCATATAGGTACTAGAAGGGGATGAGGCAGCATACCATCTATTTCCAGCCCTATGCCATGCATGTACTAAAGTGCTCCAAGTTGTAATGATGAGAGATTTGAGAATTAATTATGAAAGCCAGTCTGCAAAGAGGTGAAATTTGAACTGAAATTAGAAATGAGAGAGAGGCATTAATTGATAGAAAGGATAAAGGCATTCCTGCCAGAAGCAATGAAATATAAAATAGACAAATGCAAGAGAAGAAACTTTATATATACGTAAATATTTGAATGTACATTAGGTTGGTTTAAGAATAGAATCTAGGATTAAAAGAATATTCACAGTCTCAAAATTATCACTCCACAGATAAGTTATTAATTACAAAAAGAAAAAAGATTGTTTACATGACAATAATCAAATATAACCTATGCTCAAATTTAAAATCACCAATAATGGGCTAAACTATTATGTGTCTCTTTAAGGGATGCAATGATAAGAACACAGATCCATATAATGTTCATGCTGAAAATGTTTAACCTAAATCTGATCATGTGGAACAATTAGAAAAAAATCTAAAATGGGGAACATTCCTCAAAGCAACTAGCCTGAAAACTTTAAAAATGTCAATTTCATAAAAGATAAAAGAAAAACAGGAAAACTCTGTGCTAGATTAAAGGAGACTAAAGAGACGATGACAACCAAACGTAACAAATGATCCCATACTGGATCCTGAATTGGCATTAAACAAAAATAAAGTACATTATTGGAACAATTGGAGAAATTTGAAAATGGGATTACATATTAGACAACATTATTATATGAATATTAAGGTTCGCAAGTGTGAGAACTGAATGGTGATTATGTAAGATGATGACCTTTTCTTGAAACCTACTGTTGAAATATATTGCTGGTCACCATCAACTTGTCCAGCAAAATAAAAAGCTAAAAAAAAAGTAAAACTATGTGTATATGTGAGTGTACACAGAAAGAAAGAGAAGGAAATGTGGCAAAACTAGGTGAAAAGACACAAATAATCATTGTCCTATCTTACAGTTTTTCTGAAGTTTAAAAAAAAAAAAAAAACAGGAGAGATACTACACAATCTGGGCCAAATTCCATAGTTTACAGACATGTAAACCAAAAGCAAAAAATTTTATTTTGACATGTTCATTCAGCTAGATGTAGCTAGTGTACAACTAAAGTTCCCGTCACTTTATTTTCTAGTCTAGTGCTCTTTCAACTTCTACAGTCTCAAGCCTAATCACAAAGGATAAGTCAGAATAAGAAACATCTAGATGTAGGAAACTGAGTACCAGGCAGATGTTCTAAACCATCCCAGCAGTAATAAGGGGCTGGATTAGGGTAAATTGTAGAAATGGAAAGGAGGGAGCAAAATAAAAAAATGTAACAGAAAGAAGCATAAAGAATTGGTGATATATTAAAAGGAGGAAGCAGATGATTCTATAATGTATAAGCTAAAAAGATAGGAAAACAACAGTACTGGGGTAATAAAAGAAAAATTAGAATAAGATAGACATTTAGAAACTTAGTTTGAGAACGGTACATTTTAATTGTAATATATGAGAATGTAAACTACAAGTATACTAGAATGTAAAATCCAGAAGGCAGGAATTTTTGTCCTGCTTGCCTACTGAAACATCCTCAAGTGGCTTGAACAGTGCCTGGTAATACACATTTGTTGAAAAAATAAAATGTTTACAAGGCTTTCATGTACAGATATGCAAGAAATACAAATAATAAATTTAAGAGCGAGTATGAAGAGATATTTATTTGGTCAGTCTTTAGGGAAGTGGACATATTTACAATCTCCATCTCTTCCAGGTCTGTTTACAGAGACCTCTACCTGGGGTTTGGAGTATAAGACGAAAATAAAGTTGTCTACTCTTTTCCATTGTTCCTTTTATGTGTATCTTTACAGTAAGGCTCATCGGGTGGATGAGTGGCTATGGTCATTTAGTACTATCAAAACTGCATGATCATTCCTAACAGATTTCATTAGCTACAGTAGGGAGCTCAGGTATGAGTCCAGGACCAGCATTATCAGTAACACATGGGAGCTTGTTAGAAATGCAAATTTTTAAGCTAAACTCCAGATCTACTGAAACTTCGTGAGTGTGGACCTAGTTACCTGTGTATTACGAAGCCTTCCAGGTGATTTTAATGCACATTAAAGAGCAAAGAACAAAAAATTTTAACAGGTACTAAGTACTTTTTTGATAAAATACCTACCTTATAGTCTAAGTCATTCTTTTTGAGATGTAGCTAAAAATTTACACACCCAATTACATAAAAAGATATTTACAACAAAATTTAGTGTAACCTGTCACATAGTTGTAATTCATCATCTAGTGATCACACAGCAAAACCAGTCTAGTATAAAAATATTTTTTAAAGCTATATACTTACTTTAATGTTTCAGCAAGAAAAAAGCTCTGCTGTACATCATCATGTGTAGGAGTAGAGGAATATACATCTTTGACTCCAGAAAACCCACCATTAACTCGGCAATACTTTTCAATGGCCTATGAAAGAGATCAGACAAAATAAGCAATTCCGTAGAATTTCAAGTTTTGAAGGACAACAAAACTTTGAAGGACAATAGTCAAAAGCTCATAAAGATTTGTATGAAAATTTGATGGCTTAAGAATAATATATTATCAAAAGGAAATATTCTCATACTGGAAAAATTAACTCATACGAGAAACAGGATGTTTCCTATAGAACTTCTCTGTCTCCAAAACTCTTTAATCTTTTTAAGACATCTTATATTTTCCTAACTTAGAAATCAAATTTAGGCTATTTTTTCTAAATGAGGGGTCTGTCTGGCAAAATAAAGGTCCATTAGTTCTAACAAATCAAGATGGAGGTCAGTTTCAATTAACAATTTTTAATGCAATTTTATCACTTCCAAGGACAAACAATAACCCACAACATGCTAAAAAATATTACTTAGGAGCACTCTATAGTAATAGCGGTAAGAGATAATATTTACTAAATACATACCATATGCCAGACATTGCATTATCATAATCCTATGAGTTAGCCATTACAGGTGGTACCAACTGGCAGAAAGAGCCCACCTACTACAATAATAATTACAATATAAAGAGTTAACAATTATAAGGTATTTACTATGTGCTGAATGCTGTTCTAAGAGCTTTAAATACAGTCACATTTGAATTTCAGAACTCTATGAGGTTAACAGCCTCACTTTTCAGATGGGAAAACTGAGGCACAGAGTAATTTGCTCTACATTATTAACTACTGTGCTTTACTGCTTGACTGAGAGTTAAAATTCTTACTCTTTTTGCATCTTTGGGCATGCCTAAATAAAATATACTGAATCAAATGGAATCTATTCACAACCTTATTTTTTAATTCAAAGCAACCAAACAGTCTGCTTATGCAGGTACAGCACAGTCCAGAATTCAACCAATCATGAAAAGTGGAAAGCACATGTGGTAGTTTTGTTTTTCTATTCTACCTAACCCTGCAAGGTCATCCAATGAAGGCATGGTTACTTAACTAACCATCGCTGTCTGCCATGGCTTGTTGTTCCTAGTCTTGCTACTTTTCTTACTCTTCTGGGCTTCTCCTTCCTATGAAAAGCTAATTAACATTAAAAAGGTGTTTATTTAATCAATCTGCTCATTTTATAGCTCCATTTTGATTATAACTAAATTTAAGGGGTTTGGTGCTTTTCTCTAATATATTCTAAAGAAATTTTGGATACAAGAGTTTTTAAGTACTTTTCTTCACAATAATCATGTGTCTTCACCACCACATGAACTATCAAAATGGTTTAAGAATAATAAGAAAGTAGTGGGGAGGCATGACTAATCTTTAAGACATTTAAAGTCATGAGGGCAAGTTTGGAAGTTTGAATATGTAAACAGAATAGCTAAGGCTACAGAAGACACGCTATACTGCTATTCTGCCTCACCCAGCCTTCCCTTTGCTTTCTTCGCACCCAAGAGGAGAGGCCAATGGTGATGCATGAGCAAATACTATTTAAGATATGACACCGCCTCTTTTGCCTCCATTCCTCCCTCTTCTCATCACTTCCACTGCACACTTCTGAAACTTGAATTTAGAGTATAACTACTCTAGTTCTTGTTCTTGACCGATTATACATTGAGTTTGTGTTTGTGCATATAGGCTACAAAAGCAAAATTCTACCTCCTATAATTCAAATTTAGACAGACATGGGCTAAAGTTTGACCCTGTCACACCTCTCCTTAACAGACAAAAGTAGGGCCATACTTGAAGAAAGCACACAGGAAAAAAGGACATTAGGAAAAGGATGAATTATCCTAAAGTATTCCTCAATGACAAAAAGTGCTTCTGCCACCACTTTCCACTCCTCACGTGATTCAGACATATCCCCCTCATTCCTGTAAATAAGGAGCATTAAATATCAGGGGACATTCAAGTGAAACAGATTCATTATATGATTATTTTACCTATTTCCCTTACATGAAAGAGTGCTTAATTTACGGAAGCATTAGTAAGCCACTGCTAACAATAGAAGTGTGTGTGTATTCTATTCCCAAACCACTGTGGCAATAGTTTGGCTGTCTTCTCAACTGTGGCAGCACCCTCCTACACAGAGAATTTCACTAGTAGCTGTGCTCCCAATTCTGGAGCCAAGGGGCCAAGGAAAAGCAGCATCAATAAATGCTGCATCTGTTCCTGTCCTGTGTAACCACTTGTTTCCATTAATATGCTCTTATTGTTAAAGTCCAGCAGGACTATCTAGGTCTGAATGACAGGTGAAAAATAAGTGTACTCCCCTTAGTTCAAGATCTCACATTATTCCTAGGTTATGGCTGTGGTCTCCCAAACCCACCAATTTGTGGATTACAATCAGATCCTTTTGCTTTGTTACTCCCCACTGAAAAAAGCCTTCAGGAGTTCCTTCCCCCTTATAAAACATTTAGCAGTTCTGTAAGGAATTCTCAAAAGTCAAGGAGCTTTTGCAGGTAGAAGATGCTAAGGAAAAAAGAAAAGTAAGATCTGAAGGGCTTTTTGGATAAGCAAAGAACTTTCTGTTACCATTTCCCATATGACAGCACTTAACGCAGTAGCTGACAGAAGTAACTAAGAGAGTGTGTATTACGGGGAGGGAGTTGTGCACACGTCTTATTTCCTGAACAACTAAGAACCTTTGATTTGGTGTGTAAGGCTGTCTACATAATGGCTCCAATCTTCTCTCCCACTTTGCCACTGTGAAACGTTCGCTTTACATAAACTGGTATACATCTTGCCTTAAAATATATCTCATACATTCCTGTCTGGGCAATTTACCAGCACTACTGACCTCATTTGGGATGTCCTTAGTCATTCTATCTAGATTGTAAGCTTAAGTTAAACAATTTGAATACGAATAGTCACCATAATTAGTGCTATTTATCACAATTAGTAAATCTCAAAGAATAAAACAACCCCTTACCCTGGGAATAAGCTATACTTTCATAAAAGACTAATAGTTTTTTCCTCCCTAGGTACTGATAGCTATGGATTCCCTGAAAGACTTTAAGAGTAAACCACTTGCTTCCTTTACTTAACTAACCATTAAAAATTCCTCCTTTGAAATATATATATTTATATATTTTTAATATATTTTAATATATATTTAATATATATCGTAAGATTTATTTCTACTGCCCAGAAACTTAAATTGACTAAGAGTTTCTTCATCAGATAAATAAAAACTGCCCTACAGATACTAAAAATGAGGTAACATGGGTGAGGGTATGTGGCATCATAGGAGGGCATGAGTTAACACTCTTGCAGATAAAATGGAATATTGGCTTATTTACCAGTGCTGCTTCCCAGCCCCACTGCCTGTATCTTGGATCGTGAGTGAATCGCCATAGGTACCAATAGGTTTCAATTACTTCTGGACGGAGGATATAATACTTTTCAGCCTGCCGGACAGCCACAGCCTCCACTGCACCATCAAACTTGAATGATTCAGGACCTAGCTTTAATGCTGTAACATGACAAAAGAAATAACTGAGCAAAATAAACCATTTATGTTTGTTTGCAAGGACTTCTTTCTTCCCTGAAAGAACAGAATATGAAGTAATTTTTGTTGTTTATTTTTATTGTTGCTGTTTGCACTCAGTGCAAAATGAGTCATTTTAAAAGATCCACATTTGGTTTTCTTAAAATAGACTTATAAACATTCCTGTTATTCTAACATAAAATGTTTCTCAGAATAATGTGTATCAACATACTGCTAAATCTAATTCTACCAAAAAGAGTCTAGTAATCTTTTGGAAACAAATGCAAACTAGACATTTGCACATCATACAGTCCATTGTGGTCTAAAATAAAAGTATATAGATAATGACACTGTGTGGATGTTTTTTTTAAAGGCAAGGTAATTTTAAAGACATTTTGCCATAATACACACATATAAGGAAACATTTTAGAGCTTAGATTATGAATTGATTTAGTTGTAGATAATTACAGTATATATTTAGCTGGAATAACTACTAAGGAAAAATGAATGGATATTTTAAAATATGGTGGCCAAAAATTATAGCACAGCTATAAGAAAACACAGCAGAGGATATAATAACCTGCTGGAAAGTTAGCAAAACTAGGATTGTACTTTTTAATTAAAGGATCTAAATTGAGATTAAAGACAAGTAAAAACAACAGAAGACTTGAAAATACAGGACACAAATCAAATAATCATTTTTTGGTTTACCATAACAAAGAGGGTCATGGGTTCATCAACTTGCAATGTGAAAATGACAATCAGAACAAGAATCAGCATCAGCAATGTCATTATGAAACATTAAAATCAGAAATATAAGGAAATCCTTTCAAACTCTGGTACACTATGAATTTCTGAAAGGCAGGGAATGTATCTTGTTCATACTTTAACCTATAAGCATCTAGCATAATACTTGGCATATAATGGCTGTTCCCTGTTTCATGGAGTAAATATTTAATTATAGTAACTATGATATACCATATTTTAGAATGTATGCTATATGAAATTCAATTATTTTAGGTCTATTATTTGATTTTTGGTCAAAATCTGCAAAATAACAATCCTTATTCTCATGGATCCTAATATAAAATTGAATATCCATCCTGGTCCTCAATGTTTTACTAATTTTAGCTATATTTTAAGGCATAATTGGCATTCTGTATCAACACGATAATTTAATTTAGCCTCTATTTTGAACTCAGATCGCTGCCATTATATGTATTATACAACAACACTTAAACTACCCTAAAATAACACTACTTCACCGTCCTCTTGACTTATATTCTTTCAAGAAATGGAACCCTTATTTAGTTAATGAGAACTGAAGAATCAATTTTGCCATAAGTTTAATTCCTTACTGTATAAAAATAACTTGACAGATTTATGAACTAGCATAAATTTTAGGTCAATCATATTTGTTTCATGGTATCTGATGATAAATTAACCCTAAAACAGAAATTGTTATTTAATAAAATCAACAATTCAACTTCCGAAATCAAATAGAAATTTCTAGTTTTTTGGCTTTCAGGGAGCTCATTATCTATTACTTCATATAGAAACTCATGTTTTTAAAGCCAGAGAAAACCTTGGAAGGTCTAGTCCAGTGTTTTTCAGCCCCCTTTTCATTACTGCACCCCTAAGAAACCTTTTGTCTTTTTTAAAAAAGCCTAATTGCCTTCTCCCTCCATAAAATTTTAATACCAAATATATACTGTGTATCTATTTATGACTATATGTATATCTGTGCTTTATACATAAAAAGAGTAAAAATTTTCTCAGCCCCAACCAAAACAATTTTTGTCACCATTTAGGAATCATCTCCTTTTCCAAGTAAGGACACTGAAGTTCAGAAAATATTTGCCCAGTGCAATGTCAGAGGATCTTTTTAGTTAAAGCCATAAACAATTCCAAAAACTACTGGTGAACTAATTGAAAAACTACTAGTTAGCCAGATACCAATAAAGATAAATATTGTTATCTTTTGGTTATTCTTCTTATCACAAGAGGATAGGCAAGGCAATATAACTGAAGTCAGTCAATTTTATGTTCTTTTAAGTAACTGTTTTTATAGAAGCTGAAATGGCAAAAATAGATTCTTATATTAAAAGTTATTCCATATATTCCCAAATACCCCACGATTCTTGTCTTTAAAACAATTACTTCAAAATCTTTAACAGAAACAGCAGCAGAATTCAGAATTTAAAAAATAATGCAGAGACACATTTCCAGAATTAAAATTCAAGTTCTTAAGAAAATGATTTGCCTTGTTGGTGTAAACTATTTGGAAGTAAAAAGTGCCTATATATTCTCCTTCTTATTGCTGAACACATTTTTAACTTAGAGATTATTTTAGACTATATAATTAGCCTTATTAATATTCTTACCAGTTCTGTCATATGACTCATGACAAGTACGTGCAATTTCTGCCCCTAGCTCTAAATAATGACCAGCTTTATCTGCTCTGGAACCATCTGCTCCTAGTGCAAACATTCCCCCAGCAAAGCAGGCCAAATGCCCCATCTTTTTTTCCAAGTGCCCATTCTTCCATTCTCCAATAAAGGTAAGACCTCCACGAGACTTCTTAATAAGATGTTTTTCTATAGCCTACAGGAAAGAAAAGATATTCAAAATTTTAGATGCAAACTATTAGTGTTCAAACTTACTATATCCTTCTGGCCATTATAAAACCTGGGTAATATGATAGTCTATAAAGTAGTAACTTTCCCAAACTGAGACTTAATTAACAGCAAGTGTCGGAGTGGGTGATCAAATTGCATATAATCTGGAACCAATATCTGAATCACTACCATAATAAGACAGAGTGGAAGAGGAGAGACTTGGCCTAAAGATTACCTTCTACATAATATTATCTTTAGTCCCTTACTTCTCAAATTTAGGCATTTGTTTTGGATGCTTTGTCATGGATAAGAGAAGCCATATTATAAACACTGTCTACCCTACTGGAACATACATTTTTCTCAAAAGATGTAGGAATGGTGAGAGAAATAGTCTATATTAAACTTGAGTATATCAGAGTATAACAATCACATTTCAGTTTTAAAATGAGATTTTCAAGAGCTTTGCTCCTTTGGAATATGTTCTTAGACTTTGCTGAGATGAGCTATTTTCTACCTTTAGAGGTATTTCTATGGAAAAGTATAAGCAATGGCCATTAACTCAGTTTTCTTTAGTAGAAACTATTATACATGATTAGTGGTTAACTTTTCTTTCTGAAAAAAGAGTATTTTTACTGTCAGTTGTTCTCTGACAAGTTTAGTAACAATCAGCCTTGGAAAATTTTACTCTGTATTCTCCATAATAATAATGTGAGTTTAACAGAACTGGAGTGACTATGTCTTACTCATCACCTGTATTCCAGAAGGCATATAATGTAGTGTGCACTCAATACATGTTTAATTATTAAGTAATTTCATAAATGAATGGTGCTCTTAGATAATTGTATTTGATGTTGGGGAATGAGAGGTGGCTGATAACCAAAATGATAATTATCTTTGGATTATAAGTTTTTGTCATTGTTTTAACCATAGCACTCTGAAGCACAAAAAGATTAGTTTTTTGAGTATGGGGTGGTATTTTTCATCTTTTTGAACCTCATGATAGTACCATGTTTTCCACATATAAGGTATTCCAAAAATGCCTAAAGATGGTATCCATATGTTTGTCATTTCTGTTCATTGTAACCTAAATCTTACCATATTACAATTAAAAGATATCCAAGCATATCCACCTGGACTTACTAGAACTAAAGTAAAAGGCAGTCAGTTAGGGCTTTTTACCAATAATTTTAAAAGAAAGTAGAAACAAAGAATATGGGTATCTGTAAGGATAGGGGAAGGTAGGAGGGGTATGGAATAATTTAAGTAAAATAGCTCAGAAAGACAAAGTTTAAAAATAATGTATTTCAAATTACAATGAGTCTTAAGTGGTCATTCCTATCTCTTTCATACATTCCATATGTCATTTATTTTATAATACGCTAATAGAATAGTTTTTGAAAATAATTAACACTGCAAAGACTGCATACTTGAGATCATGTCTCAAAGTGAAAGCTGATCAACTGTTATTAAAAAACATTTATTAGGTACCTATTCTTGATTTAATAAACTAATAAAACTAATAAAAACAGGGAAAAGAAAGCAAGTACAGAAATATTTACAAGATACATAACATATAGCAGATGATTCATGAAAAATAGTGTGAATTTATAAGGTTAACTTTCAAAGCAGTTATCATGCCTTTCAAAGCATGTATGATTAAAAAAAACAATGACAAATACAATTTTTTTCCTTTGGAAAAAATTAAGCAAAAGTCAAAATAGTTTTAAAGAAAATTACAAGAAAACAGACAAAATTAATTTATTACATGGTATATGATATATCACATGTTCTCAAATATAATATTAAATATATTCATGCATTTATCAAATACTACGGAATACTTATTATGTTTCAAGTATTGTGCTAGGTGCTGAGATAATGATAAATAAATTAGTCTCTGCCCTCAAAGGAGGCCACAGTCTAGTGGGAATTACTAAGAGCTATTTTCAACAATATGGTTCTAAGAATATTAAATTCTTCCCAGATAATAACCCATCTTGGATCATACAACTTTCTACGTTTAAATTTTAATAAAAGAGAATAAAGTTCTCCTACTAAAATTTATATTCTTGGTTGTACCTTTAGTTCAATTTATTATTTAACACAATATCTCAATAAACACTTGTTGAGTACCTATAATGGGCAAAACACTGTGAGCCACATATTAAGTTCAACTCCTGTGCATTTTTTAAAAACAATTGTAACAAATTATGTGCCTGAACAGTAGGGATATAAAATGGATAAGATTCTTGGTTTAATGAAAAAAACAAACCAAACAGAAATTATAACTCTGACAACTAATTACTGACTACATCAGCAGAGTTGTTATATACAAAATATACAACTTTTAAAAAATAACTAAAATTGTTAAGTGGGTATCAGTTTATAATAGAGCAGGAAGCTAATAACCTGCTAAACACACTTAACACACTTCTGACTTACTTTTCTATTTCACAGTTTTTTCTTAGAAATACTCCATATAAATTCTTCCTAGAATGAATCTTGTTCCAATTATAAACTGTCACAATATCATGGTATGAAGTCATTTAAATATGAAACAATATAATACAGTGGTTAAAAACACTGGCTCGGCAGCCAGACTGTTCAGTTCCACGCCCCATCAATTACCAGCAATGCAACCTTCAGCAAGTTACTTTAACTTCATTGTTCCTTAAGGTCCTCATGTGTAAAATGGTGATAATGATTAAATGATCTCATATATGTAAGAAGGGTTAGAACAGTGCCTGGCATGTAGAAAATACTATATAAGTGTGTTGTCATTATTTAAGTATTTACCCATAAGGCTCTCAATGTGTAGATTCAAGGGTTCATTTGAAAGAAAAATGTTTATGAAAATGTATATAAAGTCAGAAGTTTTTCCAGTCTCTGTAAACATTAACTAAAAGTAAATAAAATCAATTTTCATGAATACACTAAAATAAATTCTTATTTTATTTTATTTATTGTTGACACGGAGTCTCGCTCTGTCACCCAGGCTGGAGTACAATGATGAGATCTCAGCTCACTGCAACCTCTGCCTTCCAGGTTCAAGCGATTCTACTGCCGCAGCCTCCCAAGTAGCTGGGACTACAGGCATGCACCACCATGCCCAGCTAATTTTTGTATTTTTAGTAGAGATGGGTTTTCACCATGTTGGCCAGGCTGGTCTTGAACTCCTGACCTCAAGTGATCTGCCTACCACAGCCTCCCAAAGTGCTGAGATTACAGGCGTGAGCCACTGCACCTGGACTACAATAAATTCTTTCTTCAAAAATTTCTTTAAAAATGTCACAAATAAAAGAAGACTTAATATGAGGCTTTTCTATTAAAATAGTAACAAACTCTACAGTGAATGCATATAATAAAATGTTTGTATGTATTTACTGAATGTCTATAATAAAATGGTTATAAGATATTCATCTAGTCACTACAAAATACACTGTACATTCAATCCATTAAGTAGAAAAATGTTCTGGAAATAATCACCTCAATAGCATCATCATACATCTTTCTTGCCTCATGGTCTGTTTTATCTGACATCAACCATGCTTTCAGTAAGTATTCATAAAAACTGTCTCCCAGGCCACCGACAGATGTATGATCTGTAACAAAGGAGAAAACAGAAGGATAGAGGTAAAGGCAAGGGAAGACAAGACAAATAAAGTAACATTTTCAATTATAATGACTATGTTAGAGGTCAATAATTTTAAAATTACATTGACAACCCTATTTCCAACATACTTCAAATTTAGTCCCAGAAGTAATCACACATAATCACTTTCCTCTATATGTGTATCCAATTTGCTAGAAAATCTTTTTTCTCTGGATGTGGTGCTTCACATACTTAGTAGTCTTTTTCTTGAATTACAGTTTGTTCACTGTCATAGAGCCAAACTTTTCCAGAATTGATAATTACCTTTTATATATTAATAGCTTTAAATAAATAAGTTATGTCTAAATATGAAAGCTCAACTTAAAGCTGATGTTAAGCAAAAAGAGCTCACTCTTAGACATGTTCCTATACAATGGTTAATGGTAATTCCTAAGCCAAAGATAATAAATTAAAATACATCTACAAAAAGAAAAAAAGCCCAAGAATTCCTTTATAATATCACCTTGTATAACATAAGTAGCTGTTGACTTGCTCCCCTTGATTACTATTCATACAAATTTTAGTACACACAGGCATACCTCAGAGATACTGCAAGTTTGTTTCCAGACTACTGCAATGTAGCAAATATTGCAACAAAGTGAGTCACACAAACTTTTTGGTTTCCCAGTAGTTATAAAAGTTGTGTTGACAGCACTATATTTAAATAAACAATGTTCAAATCTTAATTTTAAAAATACTTTATTGCTAAAAATGCAAATGATCTGAGGCTTTCAGCAAGTCATACTCTTTTTTGATGGTGGAGGGTCTTGCCTTGATGATAATGGTTGCTGACTGATCAGGGTGGTGGCTGCTGAAGGCTGGGGTGGCTGGGGCAATTTCTTAAAATGAGACAACAATAAAGTCTGCTGTATTGATTGATTCTTCCTGTTTGATTTCTCTGCAGGACGAAAGATCTCTCTGTAGCTTGTGGTGCTGTTTGATAGCATTTTGTCCACAGTAAAAATTCTTTCAAACTTGGAGGCCACTCTCATATCCTGACACTGCTGCATCAACTAAATTTACGTAGTATTCTAAATCCTTATTGTCATTTCGACAATGTTCACAGCTTCTTCACCAGGAGTAGATTCCATCTCAAGAAACCATCTTCTTTGCTCATCTGTTAAGAAGCAACTCCTCATCCATTCAAGTCTTATCATAAGACTGCAGTAACTCAGTCCTATCTTCAGGCCCCACTTCTAATTCTGGTTCTCTTGCTATTTCCACCACATCTACAGTTACTTCCTCCACTTGAGTTTGAACCCCTCAAAATCACCCATGAGGACTGGAATCAAATTCTTCCAAACTCCTGTTAATGTTCATACTTTGACCTCCTCCCATGAATCACAAATGTTCTTAATGGTATCTAGAATAGTGACTCCTTTCCCGAAGGTTTTCCATTTACTTTGCTGAGATCTGACAGAGGAATCACTATATATGGCAGCTATAGCCTTACAAAATGCAATCCTTAAATAAGACTTGAGAGTCTGAATCACTCTTTGACCCATGGGCTACAGAATGGATGTTGTTAGCAGGCATGAAACCAACATTAATCTCCTTGGGCATCTTCACTGCAGAAAATGGTGATCAGGTGCATTGTCAATGAGCAGTAATATTTTGAAAGAGATCTTTTTTGCTTAGCAGTTCTCAACAGTGTGCTTAAAATATTCAGTAAACTCTGCCATCAACAGATGTGCTCTCAACTGAACTTTGTTGTTCCATTTACAGACCACACAGGGAGTAGATGTAACAAAATTCTTAGAGGCCCTAGGATTTTCAGAATGGTAAATGAGCACTGACTTCAAATTAAAATCAACAGCTGCATTAGCCCCCAACAAGAGTCAGCCCGTCCTTGAAAGCCAAGCATTGACTTCTCTTCATCTATGAGATGGCATCTTCTTCCAGTAGAAACCTGTTCCATCTACATTGAAAATCTGTTGTTTAGTGTAGCTGCCTTCATCAATTAACTTAGTTAGATCTTCTGGAAAAAAAAAATCTTCTGGATCACTTGCTGCAGTTTTTCCATCAGCATTTGCTGCTTCACCTGTCACCTTTATGTTTTGGAGGCAGCTTCCTTCTTTAAACCTCATAAACCAACCTCTGTAAGCCTCAAACTCTTCTCCTACAGCTTCCTCACCTCTCTTAGCATTCACAGAATTGAAGAGAGCTAGAGCCTTGCTCTGGATGATGCTTTGGCTTCAGGGAATGTTGTAGCTGGTTTGGTCTGAATGGTACCCAGACCATTCAGACTTTTCCCATGCCTGCAATATGGCTATTTTGTTTTCTCATTATTCATGTGTTCACTGGCATAGCATTTTTAATTTCCTTCAAGAACTTTTCCTTTCCTTTCACAATCTGCCTAACTGGTGCAAGAGGCTTAGCCTTTGGCCTCTCTTGGCTTTTGACATGCCTTCCTCACTAAGCTTAATTACATCTAGCTTTTGATGTAAAGTGAGAGACATATGACTCTTTTACTTGGAATATTTAGAGGCCATTGAAAGATTAATATTGATGCATACTAGGTGTACATTATAGGGTTATTAACTGGCCTTATATTAATATTGTTGTCTTTCAAAGAATAGGGAGACCAAAGGAGAGAGACAGGGAAATGGCTAGTTGGTAGAGCAGTCAGAACACACACAACATAATTTATTAAGTTTGTCATTTTCTATGGGTGCTGTTCATGCTGCCCAAAACAAACACAATAATAATATCAAAGATCACTGATTACGGATCACTATAACATACATAATACTAAGGAAAAAATTTGAAATATTGCAAGAATTACCAAAATGTGACCCAGAGACACAAAGCGAACACATGCTGTCAAAAAAATGATGCTGACGGATTTGCTCAGCACAGGGTAATCACAAATCTGCAATTTGCAAACACACACACACACACCAAACCCTGCAATATCTGTGAAGTGCAGTAAAGCAAAGCATATAGCTAAGCATATAAACATATGGGTATGCCTATATTTGTTTGTCCTAGATATATTCTTACTTCATCCCACCTATACTTTTAAACCTATCCAATTTGACACTACAGCTCCCAAGGCAACCACACTCCTTTATCCTGGATTTTCTACAAACCCTGCCCTATATCCTTGAACTCTGCTTCAAAACTGACATCCTCCTCTCTGCATTAAAAAAAAAAAAAGTACATTTCTTATAACCCTCATTCACTCATACAGTAATATCCCTGGTTTTTAAATTGGTGAGGAAAAGACAGATTATTCAGTGATTTATGGCAAAAACTGGCTATCCATTATGGGAAAGAAAAAGCATATTAATATTCATATATTTAGCTCACAAAACACACTTGTGGATGATTAATCATTTAAAAGTAAAATGCAAAAGAATAAGTTTCCAGAACAAAATATAAGAACATATCTGGTCTTCCCAAGTAAATGATCTTAAGCGAAATACAAAATGAAGGAGTCATAAAGGAAAAATGGATAGCTTCGTACGTTAAAGCTAAAAGACAAATAAATCTAAAAGACTAGAAATTGGAGAAGAAATGTGCAACATACGTAACAAGAAAAGGATTACTCTCATAAACGACGACTCCTGACAAATAAGGAAAATTAAAATAGGGTACACACAACAAAAAAAGAAACATCAATTTATAATTAACATAAGAAAGGATGCCCAATTTCACTAGTGATCAGAAAAAGGCAAATTAAAACAGTGAGATTCCATTTTTGTCCATTAGATCAGTGAACATTTTAAAAGACTGATAATATCCAATGTTGGCAAGATTATGGTTCCCAGTTGTTGAAACTGAAGGACAATTTTGCAGAAGCTAACAAAATTTAACCTAGGAATTGTACTTCTGGAATTATCCTATAACAATATTTGCAGAAATATACAAATATAAATGTAAAAGAACTTAATCAGAATTATTTTCATTAATAAAAAACTAAAGATAACCTGAAATGTTTAGGGAGGAGGCTAAGTTACGATATAAACGTACTATGGAGGACTGCACAATCATTAAAGAGAATCAGGGTGAATCTATAATCCAACACTGCAAGATATCTATTATATGCTGTTGAGTGGGCAGAAGGAGCAAATTTCAGAATTATCTATATAGTTTGATACTTCTCAAAATGTGTTTTTAAAGAATGTTGGTGTATACATAGAAAAGATTTGATCTCAAACTCCTGGGCTAAGCGATGCTCTAAGGAAGGAGCCCTTCAATTTTAACTTTAGACACTTACAATTATCTAAATACATGTAACTTATATAATTAAAAATCATCTTTCGTTGTAGAAAGTAATAAATGGGGGAAAAGAGCTATCATTCACCTTAAGCAGTATGTCTGCTAATATTCCCATAATTCACTTTTACCTCATCTCAAATGCTATTACTTCTCACTTTTTTTAATTTAATGCTAAGTGTATAATTTTGATGTTTACACATGTATATACCAACAAAGCCACAACCAAGATAAAACTATAGTACATTTCTGGCATCATAAAAGTTTTCCTCATGTGGCCTTCACAGTCAATACCTAATGACACCATTTTTTTCTAATTTCTATTATCACCATAAATTTGTTTTGCCAGGTTTTGAACACTATATAAAATGGCCATTTGCAGCCGGGTATGGTGGCTCACGCCTGCAATCCCAGCACTTTGGGAGGCCGAGGTGATCAGATCACTTGAGGTCAGGAGTTCCATACCAGCCTGGCCAACATGGTGAAACTCCATCTCTACTAAAAATACAAAAATTAGCCAGGCATGGTGGTGCACCCCTGTAATCCCAGCTACTTGGGAGGCTGAGGCATGAGAATACCTTGAACCCAGGAGGCAGAAGTTGCAACACTGCACTCCAGCCTGGGCAATAACGTGAGACTCTGTCTCAAGAAAAAAAAAAAAAGCCATTTGCTTTCAACTAAGATTAATGATATTCTTTATTTTCCATCTAAATATCTAAAAGGACACCTCTGCTTTATGAAAGCTTCCTGAATGTCAAACATTAAGTGGCTGGGTATTACAGAAGTCACTTGGAGGAGTAGAAGACAGGGCAATAATAAGATGTCTTATTCTACATTTCAGATAGAACAAGAAATTCACAATTAAATTTTGAATAGCTTTCCATACTCATCATACTTACATTAATAATTTTATAAGGATGGTAATGTATGATGGATTTATACAATAGATTATAGTTAGAAGCTAAATTAATTCTAACAAATTGACACATTTTATAATCACAAAAAAATCATAAAAGTTAACACATAACTTGTAAAATATTAAAACAATACAGAAATGAATAGAGTAGATAGGGAGAGTCCCTTATACTTAATGGGCATTTGGGATGGGGTAAAGGTTAGTGGTACCTTTTCAGCACATTTTTTGGTAATAAACAAGAGAGCAGTGATTTTACATTTTAACTATTTTGAAATATGTATATATCAAAACAACTATGACAAAATATTCCCATCAATATTACAACATCTATTTTGCGGTTATGTTAAAATGTCTTGACTCATTCAGTGACGCTACCATTTTATCAGCTGCCCAGTCTTTTCTTAGACATCAACTGCGTAAAATCATGCTACATTTTAGTTGTCCTTATGTTTTAACTATGACTTTCTTGTATAGCTTTTAGTTTTCTCCAGATTTTCTAACTGGTTTCCTATTGTCTCCCATCACTTTCCCTAATCATTTATTGTATCCTAGCCTATCAACCATGTTACTTATACTGAGTCACCCCTCCCTCCTTACTCCGCTAGAGACCTTCCTCCCAATCTGGTCATTTTCTAGGGATACTCCACAGCTGTCATCTTGCCACTTCTCTTTTCTTGCTTTCCAGAGTTATGCCTATTGCTTCTTCAGTCCTAAGTCTTTGTCTACACCTGTTTTACTGAATCACATTCTGAAATAACTTCCCACAAAAGTGTGTGGGATGCAAACCCTTTCATCCGAAAATGTCATTGCTATGCTCTCTCACTTAATTTTATTTCATACGGGTATCAAATTTAAGGTTGGAAATAATTTTCCCCCAGAGCTTCTTGAAAGTACCATTCCAATACCTTCTAACATCCAGTATAATTGATAAGAAATCTGATGTTATTTTTAATAGGCTTAATATGTTCCCAATCTTACTTACTCACACTCAGCTCTCTTCTCCAAGGTTTAGAATCTTCACTTAAACACTGATTAAATTTAGGTATAGTCTTTTTTTTATTTGTTTGTTCTTACAGTCATTGTGCTAGGTACAATGTGCTAGGTACAAACTAAAGATCAGTATCTTTCAGCTCTGGGAAAAATCTTTTCTACTATTTCTTTGATATTTTCTGTACTCCACTTTCTCAGTTATCTCCTCTGAAACGCTCATTAATTGGAAATTGAACCTCCTGGACTGAGTTTCTATTATTTTCTCTCAAATTTTAGTCCTTTATTCTCCCTGTATATTCCAGGAACTTTATTAAATCAATTTTATCTTTAGTCTCTTCACTGAAGCTTTAATGTCAGCAATCATACTTTTAATCTGAACTCTTTTTTCATTCTCTAATTGCTTCCTTTTCATAGCATCCTATTTTTACTCTATGAATATAACTTCTCCGAGTTATTTGACTAAAGTGGAGAATTAAAAATGTTTATAGAATTGTCTGTCTCCTGTGGGATCCCTTTTTTGACTATATTTTTACTGTGAAATTTAACATGTATACAGAAAAGCATATAAAACATAAATGTTCTCCTTATTATAGAGAATACTTGTATAACCCACAGTCAGAACAATACCTTCCATGTATCCCACAAAATCATAATTCCCACCCACCAAAAAAGTAACCAATATCTTAACTTTTGGGGTAACTACTTCTTTGAATTTTTAATACATTTACCATCTGATACCCTCTCCCAAGTACTATGAGCTTATTTTGCCTATTGGTATATTTAATATATTAATTAAATGTAACCGTATTGTCATGTCCAGCTTCTATAGCTCAAGATTCAACCATGTTGTTATATGTAACTATGTATCATTTATTTGCATTTCTGTATGTTATCCCACTGTAGTAGTCAACCATTATTTAATTATCCGTGCTTAAGAATAAAGTTCTGGGTAGCTAGTGTGGGTTTCCTCTACTGAATAGCAGGTGTTCCTCCACTGAGTAGACCTAATTGTCACTAATTCTATCCCCTGAGTGGGAATACTGACTGGCTGCTTTCTATGTAGAATACTTTGAGGAAGGATGGGCTAACTGGTAGGCTTTGTTTCAGAATCAGGAATGGATATTGAGGGACTGTGGACCTGGTTAAATTTCACAATGAAGGGAGACTTTATTTTGGGAAACTAACATCCATATTGAAAGCTTTAACTTTCCTCAATGAAATCATGTGATTTTTTAAAAAAGAGGGCTGTATAGTTATTCTAGTGGTAAATACCAGGGATGGAGGTGGAACATAAGGATTTCAGGTAGAGCCCATGTTCCACATAACGACCTTGAATAAATATCTGGTTTTTGCTGTACTTTGAATATATTTGTTTACTGGTATCTATTGTTTATGAACCCAAAATCTCTCTGGGATTCCATCAGTTACCTTTCCTGTAGTCCCTCTGTAGCCATTCCCAGCCACTCTATGTTCTGCAAATTTGTTGAAATATCTTGTCCATTATTACCTCCCCCTTGCCTTCAAATCTTTTTATTATTATGAGTTTATGCCTATTTATAAATATTTATCTACTTTCATTTCATTATGGTCTCAAGAAAGATGAATGGCCACAGTGGTGACGTTATAGTTCAATCTTCTTCCATGAAGCAGAAGTACTACTATAACCTTATCAAGTTCACTACTTCTTTGATAACTGCAATTAGTTAATACTATACATGCTTAACTTCTTATTCCTCTGTCTCATAATCTGCTCCCATTGTTTGTCCTATCATGAATAAAAACCAAAGCACATGGAAGCTAAAGGAATCTTGGTTTAATTCCTGTATTTATTTATGGCATGGAACTTGTAAGTTTATAACCACTTTGTTATTCAAGATGATTTTACATAGAAAACCTTTTTAAAATGTGTTGCACAGAAAAACCTTTGAAAAATCATAAAACATTTAACCCTTGAACACAGATTTGAACTGCGTGGATCCACTTACACGTGAATTTTTAAAAATAAATATATTGAAATTATCTTTAAGATTTGCAACAATGTGGAAAAACATATAGACAAGCCACATGGCCTAGAAATAGAGAAAATATTAAGAAAGAGTTGAGTGTGTCACGAATGAATAACATATGTGTAGATACTAGTCTATTTTACCATTTAGTATCATGAAATACAAATCTATTATAAAAAGTTAAAATGTATTAAAACTTACATATACACAGACATACATGGTGCCATTGATAGTCAAGAGAAATGTAAACAAATGTAAAGATGCAGTATTAAATCATAAATGTGTAAGATTTATTGCAGTACATACTTTACTACTGTAATAATTTCACAGACACCTCTTTTTGCTATGCAGTGAACTCAAGTGTTAAGAGCATCCACTTAAAACAACTTGTGACACTAATCATCTCCGTGTCTTCAGTAAATTGCATATTGCAGTAAAAAGCGATTTCTCATGGTTCTTGCATATTTTTCATTGTTTGGCACAGTAGTGTAAACCTTCAAAAACACCATGGGACCCATATGAAGTGCCACTAGCAATCTGAAAGTGTTCCCAAGAAGCAGCGAAAAGTCATGATATTACAACAAAAAGTTGGACTGTTTGATTTGTACTGTAGATTGAGGTTTGCCACTGTAGTTGCCACCATTTGACACAGACTATTCATCTTGTAAACAGACAACATAAATTTACAACATCAATAAACACAGTACAGTACTGTGTATGTATTTTCTCTTCCTTATGATTTTCCTCATGACATTTTATTTTCTCTGGCTTACTTTAAGAATACAGTATATAATATATATAACATACGAAATATGCACTATGTTATTGGTAAGACTTCTGGGTCAACGGTAGGCTATTAGTAGTTAACTTCTGGGGGAGTCAAAAGTTATATGTGAAGTTTTGATTACACAAGGGGTTGGTGACTCTAACCCCCCTGTGTTGTTCAAGGGTCAACTGTGGTTATACAATGATTATTTGTCAAGATGCTCTTAAAAGTTGATGCAAAATCCCTCCCCATACCTGAAACACATACCAGTGATAAACTAGGTATTGATGGAACGCATCTCAAAATAATAAGAGCTATTTATGACAAACCCACAGCCAATAGCATACTGAATGGGCAAAAACTGGAAGCATTCCCTTTGAAAACTGGCACAAGACAAGGATGCCCTCTCTCACCACTCCTATTCAACATAGTGTTGGAAGTTCTGGCCAGGGCAATCAGGCAAGAGAAAGACATAAAGGGGATTCAATTAGGAAAGGAAGTCAAATTGTCCGTTTGCAGATGACATGATTGTATGTTTAGAAAACCCCATCGTCTCAGCCCAAAATCTCCTTAAGCTGATAAGCAACTTCAGCAAAGTCTCAGGATACAAAATCAATGTGCAAAAACCACAAGCATTTCTGTACACCACTAACAGACAAATTGAGACCCAAATCATGAGTGAACTCCCATTTGCAACTGCTACAAAGAGAATAAAATACCTAAGAATCCAACTTACAAGGGATGTGAAGGACCTCTTCAAGGGGAACTACAAACCACTGCTCAACTAAATAAAAGAGGACACAAACAAATGGAAGAATATTCCATGCTCATTGATAGGAAGAACCACTATCATGAAAATGGCCATATTGCCCAAAGTAATTTATAGATTCAATGCCATCTCCATCAAGCTACCAATGACTTTCTTCACAGAAATGGAAAAAACTACTTTAAAGTTCATATGGAACCAAAAATGAGCCTGCATTGCCAAGACAATCCTAAGCAAAAAGAACAAAGTTGGAGACATCACGCTACCTGACTTCAAACTATACTATAAGGCTACAGTAACCAAAACAGCATGGTATTGGTACCAGAACAGATATATAGACCAATGGAACAGAAAGAGGCCTCAGAAATAACACCACACATCTACAACCATCTGACCTTTGACAAACCTGACAAAAACAAGAAATGGAGAAAGGATTCCCTATTTAATAAATGGTGCTGGGAAAACTGGCTAGCCATATGTAGAAAGCTAAAACTGGATGCCTTCCTTACATCTCATACAAAAATTAATTCAAGATAGATTAAAGACTTAAACCTAAGACCTAAAACCATAAAAACCCTAGAAGAAAACCTAGGCAGTACCATTCAGGATATAGGCATGGGAAGGACTTCATGACTAAAACACCAAAAGCAATGGCAACAAAAGCCAAAATAGACAAATGGGATCTAATTAAACTAAAGAAGTTCTGCATGGCAAAAGAAACTACCATCAGAGTGAACAGGCAACCTACAGAATGAGAGAAAAGTTTTGCAATCTACCCATCTGACAAGCGGCTAATATCCAGAATCTACAAATAACTGAAACAAATTTACAAGAAAAAAAACAACCCCATCAAAAAGTGGGCAAAGGATATGAACAGACACTTCTCAAAACAGTCTTCTTTTGAGACATATATATATGTCTGTATATGCAGCCAACAGACACATGAAAAAATGCTCATCGTCACTGGTCATCAGAGAAATGCAAATCAAAACCACAATGAGATACCATCTCACGCAAGTTAGAATGGCAATCATTAAAAAGTCAGGAAACAACAGATGCTGTGGAGGATGTGGAAAAACAGGAACACTTTTACACTGTTGGTGGGAGTGTAAATTAGTTCAACCATTGTGGAAGACAGTGTCACAATTCCTCAGTGATCTAGAACTAGAATTACCAGTTGACCCAGCAATCCCATTACTGGGTATATACCCAAAGGATTATAAATCATGCTACTGTAAAGACATACGGTGAGTTGTAAATGATGAGTTGATGGGTACAGCAAACCAACATGTCACATGTATACCTATGTATCAAACCCTGCACGTGTGCACATGTACCCTAGAACATATATATATATACCATTCTAAGCTAGTGGGCCATATAACAACAGGCCACAGGCTGGTCTCCCATAGTTTGCTAATTGCTGATTTGGATGTCACCAATATATAGGGCAAATTTTGTCATCCTGTAAAAAGAGATGAGGTTGGTGAGGCAAAATGGAAAGGGTTAGAAGAAAAATTTCTAGGAATATCAACATTTAAGAAGCTGTGTAAAGAACATGAAACAAATTTCCATCCTTTGAAACTGGACTGGCCTTGCATTTTGCTTTGTTTAACTGAATCTGGTAAAACGTTAACAGTGTGCCAGTTTCAATCCTAAGCCTCAAGAAGCCTTGCATGCTCCACTTCTTTTTGTGGAACTATCACTGCTATGTAAAAAGCATGGTATCTCCTGATAGATGATGAGACCACATGAAGCAGAGCTGAGTCCTCCCCAGTGGGGCCAAGCTAGCCTTCAGCCAACTTGTCATCTACCTGCAGACACATGAACAAACCCAGATAAGATAAGCAAAGCCCAAGCCAGAAAAGCACAATCACTCAGGCAACCTGTTGATTCCAGAGAAATAAAAAATTGTTTTAAGCTACTAAATTTTAGAGGGGTTTGTTATACAGCAATACCTAGTACATTGTCCTTTTTTTGGACTAGTCTATAGGACAGTAAGAGGGTCAAATTATTTTTAGTGAAGTGATGGGGAGCAGAGCCCAGAATGCAATGTATTGAGAAGTGAACAGAAGGCAAACAAGAAAAATAGACTATTCCTTTTTTTTTTTAAATAGGCTTTACCAAGACATGAAGAAGAGGTACAGAATATTTGCCAGAAGGAATCTATGGCATTGAAAAACAGTTGAAGTAGAGAGAGGAACCTACTGGCTATGAGAAAGGAACCAAGAGGTTTAATATAGCATAAGTAAATGCAAACACCAAAAAAGAAAAAGTTCAAGAGTTGAGAGAAGATAGGATCCAGACAGAGCACAGGTCAATGGATAAATACTGGGCAGAACAGTGGATGCTGGATTCTCTGAGACTGGAGAAACAGAAGATCAAGTGGGCAAATAAATGAGTTGATAGGTAAAGAGATTTCTTGCAGAAGGATCTTTTCTTTCATCTTGACTTAGGTCATCTGGGTGGGGTTGAGGGAAAGGTGTAGGTAACGAACCATTAGAAACTCCTAGAGGAAGTGTTCTAAAAATTACAGCAAAAAATCTAAGAGAATAGAATGGAGTGTGCAAAAAGCAATAATGAACAGAGGGATTAACTCTTTGAACCTCAAGTTCATGATAAGGCTAGGCAATGGGGTAGTGAAAGTACACAAGTTTTCATGTTGTTCAGAGGGAAGATACAGTAATGATTAAGTCTAGATGTTGTTAGAAAAAATATAAACAAGATGTAAGTTAAAATTCAAGGGCAACTGTTAGAAAAAGATGGAAATATACATATATGCAAATACTCAAATGAGTAAAAAAATGAGGCAGCATGGGGTAGGATATTTTAAGAATGCCCAGTAAATAGGAGGAAAAATAACATAATAGGAATTGACTTTTTTTTTAAAAAAGTGCTTCTGGCTAAAATAGAGTAATGGGTACTTGAGCTTAGCCTGAAACCTAAAACAACCAAAAACTTTGGACAAAATACATGAAACACTGGTTTTCAAGACAATGAACATCAGACAACAGAGGATAGTAATCGCTAAATGATGGAAAACAAACAAGGTGAGTCCCATTATTGCCTGTAAATTACTGCATCAAGAAAATTTTCAGGCAAAGGCACAGAGAGAAAAAATTAAGGCACAGACCTATGGACTCTCTAAGTTTCAGAAATAAGGCTGAGTCTGGAAAGACTGGGGAAGCTACAGTTTATAGGATAGTATACCAGAGAGAACAAATGTGCAAAGAAAGAGAACCCCAGAGATCTGCAAAGGATCTCCCTTGAGTATTAAGCAGAGTACTGAGCAGCACTTGCACGTGAAGAAACTAACTGAGACAATGGAAAGAACCACATGAAAGGACTGGTGGGAACACTGCCTGGTGCTTACAAAGAGCCTACTGGGAACAGTGGATGTTCATACCAGCCAGACAAGAAAAATTCATAATTCACAGGACATTTAGTAGAGTACTCAGGAAGATCTTGCCTCACTGAGCAATGCACCAGATTCACCTAAAAAATCCTAAAAGCAAAACAAGAAACAGGTCAAATTATTTCCAAGTAACTTAACTGTAACCCTAAGCAAAGTTCAAGAAGATTTCTAGGGATAAAAAAATATCCAGCACATAGAATCTAGTCAAAAATTACCAGGCATGCAGAGGCAAAAAAAAATAATGCACAATAAGAATAAGGATTGAATCAAAATCAATCCCAAACTGATCAATTGATCAAACTGATCCAAAGCTCAACATCACTGATCATTAGAGAAATGCAAATCAAAACCACCATGAAAAACCATCTCACACCAGTCAGAATGATTATTAAAAAGTCAAAAAATAAAAAATGCTGGTGAGGTTACAGAGAAAAAGGGATGCTTTTATACTGGTGGTGGGAGTGTAAATTATTTCAACCATTGTGGAAGACAGTGTGCTGATTCCTTGAAGATCTAGAGGCAGAAATACCATTTGACCCAGTAATCCCCATTACTGGATATATACCCAAAGGAATATAAATCATTCTATTATGAAGATATATGCAAGCTTATGTTCACTGCAGCACTATTCACAATAGTGAAGACATGGAATCAACCTAAATGCCCATTAATAATACACTGCATAAAGAAAATGTGGTACATACACATCATGGAATACTATTCAGCCATAAAAAGGAACAAGATCATGTCCTTTGCAGGGACATGGCTGGAGCTGGAAGCCATTAGCCTCAGCAAACTATACAGGAACAGAAAACCAAACTATACAGGAACAGAAAACCAAACACCATATGTTCTCACTTATAAGTGAGTGCAGAATGATGAGAACACATGGATACATGGGGGAACAACACACACTGGGGCCTGTTTGGAGGTATAGGGGGAGGGAGAGCATCAGGAAGAATACCTCATGGATGCTGGGCTTAATACCTAGGTGATGGGTTGATCTGTGCAGCAACCTACCATGGCACCCGTTTACCTATGTAACAAGCACATCCTGCACATGTAGCCCAGAATTTAAAATAAAAGTTGAAGAAGAAAAAAAAAGAAAGAAAGAAAATGCAAAGGACCTAGAGAGCAAAAACAACTATTGAGAAAGAACAAATTTGGAAGGCTAACACTATTTGACTTCATTTATAATAAATCTACACTCATCAAAACAGGATGGTACACACTGTGTTGATTGTGTAGATTTAATAACAAACAGAATAGAGTCTAAAAATAAACATACACTTAAATGTACAACTGATTCTTAACAAAGCTGCAAAGGCAATGCAGTGAAAAAAGGAAAGCCTTTTCAACCAATGATGCTGAAATAATAGAATATTTATATGTAAAAAAAATAAACTTTGATCCCTATAGAAAAATCAACTCAAAATGTCTCACAGATGTAAATACAAAACCCGAATCTATAAACTTTTAGAAGAAAACATAGGAAGAAATCTTTGTGTGCTTGGGTTAGGCGTGCTTGAGTTAGGCAAAGATTTCTTAGATATGACATAAAATATAATTCATAAAAAGCAAATTGGAAAAATGGACTTCCTAATTAGAATCTTCTGCTTTTCAACACTATTAAGAGAATTAAAAGATGGGGTGAAAATACCTTCCAAGAATATATCTGATATAGGAATTGTATCCAGAATATATACTGAAATCTCAAAACTCAACAATTAAGAAAATAATGTTTTTAATAGGCAGTAGACAAGAGATTTGATCAGATAATTCATCAAAGAAGATAAATGGATAGCAAAGAGTATATAAAAAAGATGTTCAACATCGTTAGTCATTTGGGAACTGCTAATTAAAACCAAAATGAGTTACCACTACACATCTATTAAAATGGCTAAAATTGTAGTTCTCCTTGAAGAGGTCCTTCACATCCCTTGTAAGTTGGATTCCTAGGTATTTTATTCTCTTTGTAGCAATTGTGAATGGGAGTTCACTCATGATTTTGGCTCTCTGTTTGTCTATTATTGGTGTACAGAAATGCTTGTGATTTTTGCACATTGATTTTGTATCCTGAGACTTTGCTGAAGTTGCTTATCAGCTTAAGGAGATTTTGGGCTGAGGCGATGGGGTTTTCTAAACATACAATCATATCATCTGCAAACAGAGAATTTGACTTCCTCTCTTCCTATTTGAATGCCCTTTATTTCTTTCTCTTGCCTGACTGCCCTGGCCAGGACTTCCAGTACTATGTTGTATGGGAGTAGTGAGAGAGGGCATCCTTATCTTGTGCCAGTTTTCAAAGGGAATGCTTCCAGTTTTTGCCCACTCAGTATATTAGCTGTGGGTTTGTCATAAATAGGTCTTATTATTTTGAGATACATTCCATCATTATCTAGTTTATTGAGAGTTTTTAGCTTGAAGGAGTGTTGAATTTTGTCGAAGGCCTTTTCTGCATCTATTGAGATAATCACGTGGTTTTTGTCCTTGGTTCTGTTTATGTGATGGATTATGTTTATTGATTTGTGTATGCTGAACCAGCCTTGCATCCCAAGGATGAAGCCGACTTGATCATGGTGGATAAATTTTTTGATGTGCTGCTGGATTCGGTTTGCCAGTATTTTATTGAGGATTTTTGCATCGATGTTCATCAGGGATATTGGCCTGGAATTTTCTTTTTTTGTTGTGTCTCTGCCAGGTTTTGGTAACAGGGTGATCTTGATGTCATAAAATAAGTTACGGAGGATTTCCCTCTTTTTCTACTGTTTGGATTAGTTTCAGAAGGAATGGTAGGTACAAGCTCCTCTTTGTACCTCTGGTAGAATTTGGCTGTGCATCTGTCTGGTCCTGGGCTTCTTTTGGTTCATAGACTATTACTGCCTCAATTTCAGAACTTGTTATTGGTCTATTCAGGGATTCGACTTCTTCCTAGTTTAGTCTTGGGAGGGTGTATGTGTCCAGGAATTCAAACCACTGCTCAAGGAAATAAGAAAGGACACGAACAAATCGAAAAACATTCCATGCTTATGAATATGAAGAATCAATATCGTGAAAATGTCCATACTGCCCATAGTAATTTACAGATTCAGTGCTATCCCCAACAAGCTACCATTGACTTTCTTCACAGAATTAGAAAAAACTACTTTAAATTTCATATGGAACCAAAAAAGAGCACATATAGCCAAGACAATCCTAAGCCAAAAGAACAAAGCTGGAGGCATCACATTACCTGACTTCAAACTATACTATGAGGCTACAGTAACCAAAACAGCATGGTACTGGTACCAAAACAGAAATATAGACCAATGAAACACAACAGAGGCCTCAGAAATAACGCTACACATCTACAACCATCTGATCTTTGACAAACCTGACAAAAACAAGAAATGGGGAAAGGATTCCCCATTTAATAAATGGTGTTGGGAAAACTGGCTAGCCATATGCAGAAAACTGAAACTGGGCCCCTTCCTTACACCTTAGACAAAAATTAACTCAAGATGGATTAAAGACTTAAACCTAAGACCTAAAACCATAAAAACCCTAGAAGAAAACCTCGGCAATACCATTCAGGACATAGGCATGGACAAAGACTTCATGACTAAAACACAAAAAGCAACGGCAACAAAAGCCCAAACTGACAAATGGGATCTAATTCAACTAAAGAGCTTCTGCACAGCAAAAGAAACTATCATCAGAGTGAACAGGCAACCTACAGAATGGGAGAAAATTTTTGCAATCTATCCATCTGACAAAGCACTAATATCCAGAATCTACAAGGAACTTAAATTTACAAGAAAAAAACAACTCCATCAAGAAGTGGACGAAGGATATGAACAGACACCTCTCAAAAGAAGACATTTATGCAGCCAACGAACATATGAAAAAAAGCTCATCATCACTGGTCATTAGAGAAATGCAAATCAAAACCACAAGGACATACCATCTCACACCAGTTAGAAAGACGATCATTAAAAAGTCAGGAAACAACAGATGCTGGAGAGGTTGTGGAAAAATAGGAATGCTTTTACATTGTTGGTGGAAGTGTAAATTAGTTCAACCATTGGGGAAGATAGTGTGGTGATTCCTCAAGGATCTAGAACCAGAGATACCATTTGACCCAGCAATCCCATTACTGGGTATACACCCAAAGGATTATAAATCATTCTACTATAAAGATGCATGCACTCATATGTTTACTGCAGCACTGTTCACAATAGCAAAGACTTGGAACCAATCCAAATGCCCATCAATGATAGACTGGATAAAGAAAATGTGGCACATATACACCATGGAATACTATGCAGCCATAAAAAAGGATGAGTTCATGTCCTTTGCAGGGACATGGTTGAAGCTGGAAACCATCATTCTCAGCAAACTAACACAGAAACAGAAAACCAAACACTGCATGTTCTCACTCCTAAGTGGGAGTTGAAAAATGAGAACACATGGACACAGGGAGGGGAACATCACACACCGGGGCCTGTCGGTGGGTGGGAAGGTAGGGGAGGAATACCATTAGGAGAAATACCTAACGTAGATGACGAGTTGATGGGTGCAGCAAACCACCATGGCACGTGTATACCTACATAACAAACCACGTTCTGGCATGTACCTCACAACTTCAAGTATAATTTTTAAAAAAAGGAAAAAAAAATACAATGTAATAAAATGGCTAAAACTAAAAGACTGATCATATCAAGTGTTGGCAGGTATATGGAGAAACACTACTGATAGCAATGTAAAATGGTATATGTACTCTGGAAAACAACTTGGTAGTTCCTTAAAAAAGTTAAACATACACATCTACTATTTGATAAAAGCAGCCTATTCCTAAGTATTCCCCGAGAGAAGTGAGAACATATGAAGGTGTGTAAGTCAGTGTTCATAGCAGCTTTATTTGTAATAGCCCCAAACCAGAAACAACCTAAATGTCCATCAACAGGAGAATGGATAAACAAACTATGGTATTCCATACAGTGGAATTCCACTCAGAACTACTGATATACACAACATAGATCAATCTCAAAATAATTATGCTGAAAGAAGCCACATAAAGAGTACAAATAAAGGATGCCATTTATCTAAGATTCTAGAAAAGGCAACCCAAGCTTTAATGACAGAAAGCAGATCAGTAGTTGTTTTGGGGGAGGGGGAAGGGAGGAGGTTGAGAGAAGGAACATGTAAGGGTATGAGGAAAAGGGGTGATAGATATGTTCACTATTTTGATTGTGATCATGATTTCCATAGGTGTACACCTATTTTAAAACACCAAGTTGTACATTTTAAATATGTACAGTTTATTATATGTAAATTGTATCTTAATAAAGCAGTTTTTCAAAAATAAACAAAACCAAAGAATATTTGGAATTAGTCCAAATCTATCAGTAACCTCCACCAATTTAGTTGTTTTGACTCAGTTTTTAAAACACTGAGACTCTCAAACTGAAATTTTTTAAATCTATATAAATACTATTTTTACTAAAGATATATCTAAACTAAAATTGCCTAGGAACTTGAAAATAAAGAAATGGTCAAAATAAGAGCTGGAGATGGATAGAGGGGTTACATAGAAAACTTAAGGAGAGTAAAGAATAGGAAAGTAAATTGATCAAAGTAAAAAAAAAAAACTCATGGAATACTGGTGATCCACATAAAACTGGAAATTGTACGTTTATAGTAACTTTAATCTGTACTGTTATTTTCACCAGCAATGCTTAGTTGACTCTGTATGTAAATGGGAAAAGTAGGTGGCTGGGTTGATACGAGTTTTGGGATTTGTTAGATAAAATAGAAAGAGAAAAGTATACATATATATATTCTCAAATAAGTTTGGATCCTTTGCAGTCAGGTTGAATACGAAAGGAAGCAACAGGTAATCCCACTTGTCCAACCATTCAAGACCCTTACTCCACTGTTCTCCTGTTGTACCCAGACAGTTAAACATCAACTGTGGGTCAGCCCAGCTGTCAGTCTGTTTTACTATTACCTCCAAATTTACCGTTTTCACCATCAACATGAGCCTCAACACTGCCTGTCAACTTTTTTATAACTCCTTCATTAATGTTCTTTCCTATTTCCTGAAGAAGATATTTGTTATTTGTCTTAAGTCCCCTACTGCTCTACCTTCTTCTCTGCTATCAGCAGTTAAATGCCTTCTAATTCACAGAGAAAATATGGACCACTCGGTGGAAGAAATCTATAAAACATGTCTTTCAATTTTCTGTACTTCCGCCTATCACGTAAGGTGACCAGGGAAGACTTCATTGAAAAGGTAACTTTTGAGTAAAAAAACCTGAAGAAAGTGAGGGATTGAGCTATGTGAATATCTCTCGAAAAATCATTCCAAGCAAAGGGAGTAGTGGCTGCAATAGCTCTGTGGTGGTGAAGTGCCTAATGGATTCAACAAGTGACAGAAGGCCAATGTAGTTGGAGAAGAATAAATGAAGGAAAAGAGATAATAAGAACCAGATCACAGGGCCCCAAAAGGACTTTAGCTTTTACTCTGACATGAAAAGTAATGAAGAGTTAAATAAAATGGCATAATGTGACTTACTTTGTAAAAAATTACTGGCTCCTGTATTAGGAATAGACTGAAAGGGGCAGAGGCAGAAACAGAAAGGCCAATTAGGATGCTATTTATTATAACAATCCAGGCAAGAGATGGTGACTTGGCTCAGGGTAGTGGCAATTGAATTCTAGACATATTTCAAAGGCAGACAGAACAGAATTTGCTGAGAAACTGGAGTGGGGTGTGAGATAAAGAAGTAAAGGATGACAACAAGATTTATGGCATGAGCAAGAATAGACCTGCCATTAACTGAAATGAGAAAGACTGGAGGAATAACAGGTTTTGAGGTGGATAGAATTATTAGGAAGAGCTCATTTACAGATATATTAAGTTTCAGGTATCTATAAGATATTTAAGTAAAAATGTCAAGTAGATAATTGGATATATGAGTACAGAGGCCAAGGACAAGGTGAGGACTAGAGTTCTAGATTTGAGAGATGCCAGCATGTAAATGGTATTTAAAACTATGACACTGGAGAGAAGAGAGAATGGAGGACTGACCTCTACAGCAGGGTTGTCCACCAATCTTTTGGCTTTCCTGGGCCACACTGGAAGCACTGTCTTGAGCCACACATAAAATACACTAACGCTAATGATAGCTGATGAGCTTTTTAAAAATTGTAAAAAAAAAAATCTCATGTTTTAAGAAAGTTTATCAATTCGTGTTGGGCTGCATTCAAAGCCATCCAGTGCCCTGGGTTGGGCAAGCTTGCTCTAAGGCATTCCAACACTAAGAGGCTAGGAGAAAAGGAGAAAACTAATAATAATAATAAAAAGACTGAGTGAAGCATGAAGCTAAGTAAGGCTATGAGAAAAGCAAAAGAATGTATTGTCCTAGAAACTAAAAGTGCTTTAAGAAAAAAGAAATTCTTACCATTATATTACATCACATCATGTATTTGTTTATTTCATATCTCTCCAGCAGAATGTAAGTTCTCCAAGGGTATTAGGGACACTGTCTACTTGTTCACATCTATATACCTAGCATCTGGAACAGTGGTTGATATTTAGTATCAGTGAAATTAGTGAATGCAAACATCCTGTAGAGAAAATATATTCCTATAATACTATCACACATAAAATTGATATTAATCTTTTAATGGGTATTTATATATATACCCTAATATTTTTCCTTTTCCCTAACAGGTGGTTGCAAGAGAGATTACTATATTTGAATAGTTTATTTAACTTAGGATTTTCCTTTTCTGTTTTCATTGAATAGGTAGGAATTTATTGATAAGAGGACATAGAGAAGGCGGAAGGTATTCCAAACGGAAAAAGGTGCAGTTAAAATGGGGAAACGAATATTTCAGAAATAGTCAGAACTGACAAGACTTAGTGAAGAATGAATGTAGGATACAAAGGGAAAGATAAAATCTATGATGACTACCACTCCCACAGACAGCTATCCTAGATCCAGATCCGTATTATATTAGCTTTCTAGTATGTCCTTCTGCTGTAAGCCTTTCCTTTTCCTAATTTAGCCTATTTATTACAATGTATTTTATAGACAGTTTTAACAGAATAAAACTAATCTTGTTCCTTCATTAGTTTTCTCAAAACCTGATCCGGTTTCTTCTCAGTATCTGAATATGACACCTTATGGTATATGCCTTGTTTAACTTTTAACAGAGTATATATATTCACTGAGTGCAAAAGGAAGAATGTGAATTAGAAATGTTATAATAACAAATCATATTAAAACAAAATTAACCTTATTATTGAACAGAGAATTTACATTTTCTTGTCAATTATCTTCAATAAAAACAAAATATACAAACAAAAAAAAAACCTTCTCAAGTGAGAATTCTGTCCATCTTGCTTTACAGAACATCTGAAATTACATTAAAGCAAAAGGATACCACTAAGGAACTTGAAGCTACTTCTCTTTCCTGTAGATTATATGCCTACATGTCAAATTTGATAAACCATGTCACTCTAAGGTCCTTTTGATATTCAGAAATTGATTAACATATTATAAAATACTCCTAAATAGCAATGATTCATATGATTTATTTCAACATGTTATACAGTTAATGGCAGGTTTCTAACAGAAGCTATTTCTTGAAGTCTTCTTATGGGAAATTCTAGAATAAAAACTAATTTGAAGCATTTTCAAACATATTATAAATATGATCCACATGAATTTTCTATTAAATAAGTACAATGAGAACAGATAAAGATGCATAGAGAAGTTAAATAAATTATCTAAATTATTAAGCAAGACAATCAATTCATTTTCTAACTCAAAGGGGCATAACATGTCCATTCTTGTTTTTTCCACAATTATAAATTTAGTAATATAAAACAATGAATCAGTAATGACTGATTTCCTATATTTTCTTCACTTTAATCATTAAATGACATAGGCTAAGTATTGTGCTTAGAAAACTAGCAAAAAAAAAAGTTTTAGAAAAGAAAAAAAAACTAGTAATTTGCCTTTAAATCTAGGTTTCTTGCTATATTCTTTTACATCTGTTGCCAAGCACTTTTCCTGAAGGTAATTACCAGTAATTATCTTCTGTGATTGCTATGTGCATGTCACAGACATTATCATTACTCTAATTATAATACAGTTAGCCAAAGCTGAATTGTTAAATTTCAGTTCAATTAAATGTTTGTTTTGCAGACTATTTATAAATATGACAGATGCATATAGCTCAAAGATAATAATAAAATTTGATATACTTTTCAGAGGCTGATATAAAATATACAAAAACATTAAAAGGAACAAATTGGACAATTCTGTAAGGACTACAGCTGCTAAAAGGATATCAGGGCAGCTCGCTAGGATTTTAAAGATCTTCTGCCAAAATAACCAGTGAATAGCTCTTTCTATAACACTGAAATTAAAAACTGCTGAGAGTGAATATATTATAAAGTAATTTGAATTTATTTTGTGAGGAAAAAACAGAGGAATAAAAGTTATCTTTTTTGTTGTAAATTTTATTGTGATGAAATGTATATAACACAAAAGTTGCCATTTTAACTATTTTGAAAGTGTACCATTCAGCAGCATTAATTATATTCACAGTGCTGTAAAACCATCACCACTACCTATTTCCAAAAATTTTCATCACTGCAAATACAAACTCTAGCAATAACTCTCCATTTTCTTCTCCACTTTCTTCTCATCCAAAGCCTCTGGTCAACTCTAATCTACTTTCTGTCTCTATGGATTTGACAACTCTAGATATTTGATATAAGTGGAATCATACAATATTTGTCCTTTTGTGACTGGCTTTTGTTGATTAGCATAATGTTTTCAAGGTTTGTTTATATTATAGCATGTATCAGAACTCCATTCCTTTTTATGGCTGAGTAATAGTCCATTGTATGTTTATACTCACATATTGTTTACCCATTCATCTGTTGGACATTTGAGTTACTTTCTCCTTTTGGATATCATAAATAATGTAATGAACACTAGGCTACAAGTATCTGTTTGAGTCTCTGTTTTCAAATCTTCTGGGTATATACAGAGGAGATGAAGTGCTGGGTCATATGGTAATTCTATGTTTAACTTTTTAAGGAACTGCTAGGTTTTCACAGCAGCTGCACCATTTTACATTCCTACTAGCAGTGTACAAGGGTTCCAACTTCTCCACATCCTTGCCAATGCTTATTTTTCATCCTTTTGATTACAGTCTTCCTAGTAGCTGTGAAGTGGTATCTCAGTGAGTTTATTTGTATTTTAATGTTAACCATCTTTTTCATGTACTTATTTTCCATTTGCATATCTTCTTTGCAGAAATGACTATTCAAGTCCTCACCCATTATTTAATTTGGTGATTCGCCTTCTGTTGTTGAGTTGTAGGTAGTTTGCCTTCTGTTAGTGAGTTGTAGGAGTTCTTTATATATTCTGTGTATAGACCCTTAAAAGACATGTGATTTGCAAATATTTTCTCTCATTCTGTGGGTCGTCTTTCTTTCTCATAGATAGTATGCTTTGATGCACAAAAATTTTCAATTTTAATCAAATCCAATTTATCTTTTATTTTTGTATTGTTACCTGTGCCTTTGGTGTCATATTGAAGAATCCAGTGTCAAATCAAAGGTCACGAAGATTTTCCCCTATGTTTTCTTCTAAGAGTTTTACAGTTTTGGTTCTCAAATTTAGAGTCTTTGATCTGTTTTGAGTTAATTTTTGTAGATAATATAGAGTAAGGGTTCAACTTCATTATTTTTCACATGGCTATCCAGTTTTCTCAACACAACGTTGAAGAGAAAGAGTTCTGTTTTTTGGATTTGGTTTTGTTTTATTTTGTTTTTTGAGAGAGGGTCTCGCTCTGTCACCCAGGCTGGAGTGCAGTGGCACAATCTCGGTTCACTGCAACCTCCACCTCCTGGGTTCAAGTGACTCTCCTGCCTCCATGTCATCAATGTTGTACTTTTGATCATTTTAAGGCTGGCAATTCTCAAACTGTGATTTACTTTTCTGAGTATCCTTATACTGGCATGGAAAATGGGATTCTCTTTTTATTTAAAAATGTTTTTAAGCTAACATCAAAAGTAATAGATGTTCATAATCAAATCTGGATAGTAACAGTAAATGAAAAGGAGAAAATAAAAACACAAATTCAAAGAAAACCACACATAACACTTTGGTTTCTATTTCTATAGTGTTTCCTCTCCTTTTCTAAATATCTTTCTAGATATGTCATTTATCTATGTCAGGTATTCTAAAATATAACTTTTAATGGCTGCATAGTATACTATATCTGGACAGGCCAAAATGTATTTAACCAAATCCCTATTACAAGACGTTTAAAAACTGCCCTGTCCAATGTAGAAGCACTAGCTACAAGTAGCTAATTAAATGTAAGTTAATTAAATTAAAATTTAATATGTAATTCCACAACCATACTAGCAACATTTCAAGTGCTCCATGGTCACATGTGGCTAGTGACTACTGTATTGGATAATACAGATAATAGGATCTTTTCCTCATTACAGAAAGTTCTGTTAGATAGAACTGCTTTAGATTGCTTCCAAATTATCCCTATTATAAACAACCCCAAGATTATTGTAAATAAACTTTAATATATAGCTCTGAAAATTTATTTGGAATAAATTGCTGGAAATGAGTTGCTGGCTCAAAAAGCATACAAATATATACACTCTGGAGAGTGGGTACAGGAAGATGTTACCCCCATGCTGTTCTCTTGATAATGAGTGAGTTCTCACAAGATCTGATGGTTTTATAAGGGGCTTTTCCCCGCCTTGCTTGGCACTTCTCCTTCCTGCCACCATGTGAAGAAGGATGTGTTTGCTTCCCCTTCTGCCATGATTGTAAGTTTTCTGAGGCTTCCCCAGCCCTGTGGAACTGTGAGTCAATTAAACCTCTATCCTTTATAAATTACCCAGTCTCAGGCAGTTCTTTATAGCAGCATGAGAACAGACTAATACAGAGGTTAACAATAATATACAGGAAAACTGACATCTTTTTTTTGTAGTTTCTGTTTTACATGACATGCTTAGAAAAGGCTTTCCTGATTATATATTCAACCCTTTTTTTAGTACTTTTATGATTTCATCTTTTACATTTAAATAGTAATACCATATAGAATATACACTGGCATATAGTCTAAGACAGGAACTGAACATAATTTTTCATATACATTATTATATCATTATATTATCATAATATTCTCAAATCTCAATACAACTCACAGGGGTAAAGATTTATGATTGATAGAATTCATCCAAATTACTAAGTAGACATCCAATCCAGTCACTCTTATCTGAAATAAGAAAACTACGTTTTTACATTTTAGAAATGCAGCTCTCAGGGTTTTGTTTTTCCAGAAAATATCATTCCCACTCAGTCTAGGCATTAGAGCTTTTATCTTCTTCAAAATAAAGAGAAAAATGAGTCATATGTAAATAATTTCAGGAAACAGGAAAAGTAAGTATAAAAAGAGTCAAAGAAGATTGAGATCTATTCCCAGATCCATGAAAGACATAATTATATTGACCTATCTGCTTTCCTTTCATAAAATAAAAGACAATTTCCTAGAAAGGAACAAAAAGACAATTCCAGGGCAAATGTTTTCCTATTCTTGGTACTCACACCAGCTTATTTTCTTACTGGCAGAATCAGCAGTGTTTTCAATACTAAAATTAAATGATCATTACTTTTGTCTCTTATTTACTACTTAAGATTTCATTAGTCTCAAAAATAACTGAATCATGTTTTATTAGCGGCAAAGTTGCAATCTCTATTATTTGTTTTTGTTTTCCTAACTTTTAAAAGAGAATAGCATTGATAAACCTACAATTACTAAAATTCTGTAAGTTCCACATTTCCACAGAAATATTAGTTGTTACTTTTAAAAATCAATTCCTTCAAAAATAAATGAGTTCTAATAAGAAAAATTACCCTCTCCCTAAACAAAATACTTTCCCCTCAGGCAGAGGGAATCATTTTTACCACAGTTTCATATAACAATTGGTTCCTTCCTGTACAGTAACATTTATGTGTCAGCCTATCCTGCCAGCCTGTGAATTCAGGCCAAGCCCTATGTTCTTTCTCCATCTCAATCTCTTCTAAGAACTTAGCACAGAGACTGGTAAATAATGAAGGCCAGGATGCCCTCTTCTAAAATGAATGAACAGACATGGCTTATCCAAGAACAACTGCCCCCCTTCTAGTAAATACTCATTTGTTTTTCATACTCCTCCTCTACCTCCCTCTCCTAAGCAGTGCTTTTATTTACATGAAGATATAATTTATTAATAAGAGTTTTTAAGTACAACCTTCAAACTGCCACACTATATTTTAGCAATACAGGAAATAAAATACTCTTAGGAGACATGTTATTAACATTTCCATTTTATAAGTGGGAAAACTGAAGCTAAGAGAGATCAGAAACATGCCTAAGAACAGCACCAGCAGACCACAAGGTTAGACACTGAGGGTTTCTAACTCCACGTAGTGTACTTTTTACAACATCAAGCAAAGAGTTTTCAGACAAATAATTTTTTAAGAAAGCCTCAGGTATACTAGAATACTTACACTGACCCCAGCGCCCTGTTCTGGGGTTCAAATAATTTGGATAAAGACCATTTGGACGATCCATTTTCTGAAGTAGTTTCCGAATGTGCATAACCTGAGTAAAATAAAATTAAGAATGCAATTAATAAAAATAAGTGTCATCAAGGCTTGGTTTTAATGTAGGCTTTGTGTTTTTTCTTACTCAGAATCTACACCTATTCCCTGCCTTTGTGTGTGTGTTGGAGGGGCAGGGGGAAGTCAGGGAAGCCTTCTATTTCTTAAATGACTCATTTTTATAAGATGATATGTGTTCATTATTTTAAAATCAAGCAATAATAAAAATAATACAGAGAAAACTGCACAGATAGAAACCATTTTAAATCTCAACATGCTACTACCTAGAAATACCATCTGAAACATCAGTTATTTTAAACATCATTCTAGACACAGTCAACACATATATATTCAAATATAAGAACAGAAATAACTTCACAGGAATTGAATCATAAAATGCCATTGTATTTTGAAAAGTTATTAATTTGAATTGAACAGATAAAAAAGTAAATGAAGTAAAACAAACTGTTGAACTTTAAATATTGTTCCCACAATAGATATCTTTAAGTTCCTGAAATTCCAAATTTTAAAATATCTCCCTGAGAGTAAGGGGGAAAGAAAAATCATGAAATATATTAAGAAGCTGGAGACTTTCCTAGGGATTTATTTTGATTCAACTATAGATTAGGTGAACTTTGTAAGTGCTTTTAAGGGGGCCCCTGGAGGTGGGAGGAGGTGTTATGTTCCTTGTACTCTTATTTGTTTGAGAATATTGTCATTACATTTGATGAATAACCTGGCTGGTATAAACTTGGGAAAACTTTCTTTTTCAGAGGACCTGATATATACTTCACTTTTCTGGACCTGAGTACAATATCAATTCTTCTGCCACAAGGTTTCCCATCGTCATTCATTTGGCTGGATTTTGTCTTTAAGTAGTTTTAGGAATGGACTCAGGGATGCTGTCTATATTACCTGTGTTCTTTCACATTTGAGACCAACACTATGTATAACAATCTCAATCTGAAAAATTCCATAGACCACTTTTTAGATAGTTCTGAATGATGTTATAAAAGGTGAGAAAGTTAACTCTTCTGTCATCCAAAAACTGTATACTATTCTTTTTCTTCCTTATCTATCATTTTCTTTCTGTCTCCTTTTATTTCCACACATTTACTAGCTTTTCTCAATTTTGTCTTCTAAGCTCCTTATATTTTGAACACTGTTTTTCTTTGTATTGCTTCCATTTTGGCCTTCATTTTGTTGATAACTATTTTTTCTTATACTTTGTTACTGATATCACATCTTATTGTCTCTGAGCTCTTGTATCTCTGTTTATATACTTGTTCTACAGAGATGAAGGCTTTACTATGTTTTCTCTCATGGTGATATTTGCTTGGAATTTTCAATTGCTCTTTTACGTATTTTGTGCCCACAATTTTCCCTCCTTTTCCTTTTTTCTGGTAATATCTTTGTATAAATTCTGTACCTGTTCTTTTTTAACAAATTACTCATTACTATTTTCCTGAATGAAAGTTTTGACATAAAACACCAGGTAAGAGTCCAGACATAAATGTTTTTTTTAGACTTTGCTTCTCCCCAGCCACTTGAGATTGGAAATGCAGCACAATAGTGAATCTGTCATTCATTCCCTTCCCTCACCAAAGTTCGCAGGCGCAAACAGCTTGTCTGTGAGAAACCTTACTCGATTCTGTTTTTCCAGCTTCTCAACACATTATATCTAGTAAGGTCCAAAGAAGTACTCACCATTAGCCTGTGATCCTGTTCTCATTGCTGCTCATGAGAATTTGAGTTTTGTATGTCAAGTTACACCATCTAATTTAGAGAATTGTGCTCTACTGGCTTTGTATTTTTCAGTCTGCAGACCCAAACATCCTCTCTTCCATTTATACCAAACCTCTCTCTGATCTTTACTGCTTATATGCCTACTTTTCTTCCTATTTGGTGTTATGAAGCATCAAGTATCCCTTAATTTTGTTAGAAATGGAATTTGCAGTGTTCTGTTTCTTTTTTTTTTGACAGAGTCTTGCTCTGTCGCCCAGGCTGGAGTGCAATGGCTCGATCTCAGTTCATTGCAACCTCTGCTTCCCAGGCTTCAGTGATCCTCCCACCTCAGCCTCCCAAGTAGCTGGGGAGTACAGGCACGCCCCACCACACATGGCTAATTTTTGGTAGAGAAGTGGTTTCACCATGTTGCCCAGGCTTGTCTCGAATTCCTGAGCTCAAGCGATCCACCCACCTCAGCCTCCCAAAGTGCTGGTACTACAGGTGTGAACCACTGTGCCCAGCAGTGTTTCTTCTTCTTGCAGCTTTTAGGTTAATTCCTATGATTTAGGTCTTCTACTTCAGGAAGGCCCATACGTTAAATTATGTTTATTTTACAAATCTATTATCTTTTTAATCTCTGCTTTTCCTTTGTTTTGACTATGACTATCTCTTGCTTTTATTCCATGTAAGTAATTCAGTTTTTAACTATGTGCAACGAGTTCTTTGTTGTTTTCCATTAGCTATGGGGATACATCATTTTAGGTCTCAGCTTGTTTCTTTAGCTCCACAATATTTTTGTATCACTTTATTGTTTTATTTTGGTTCTGAGTTCTAACTCTGTTAAATTTAATTTCTATTATGGTATGAATTACTCATGGTGACTTTTTTTTTTTACTGTTTTTAAAATTTGAAACTGGATTCTTTATCAGTCTTCTACATGCTATATACCACTCTGCTTTTGTTTCTAGCAGTATGTTTGCACAATTGCCATGCTTTCTGTTTTATCTTGTTCACATTTACCAGGGTCAGTTCTGACCTGAACTTTGTTGATTTCTCCTTGAGTTCCTCGTGTGTGTGTGTGTGTGTGTATGTGTGTGTTTCTCCCTTCTTGGATACAATTTGAGATCTGGAGTACTAGTGTACTTCTACTTGATCACTTGAAGCCTATGTGTTCAGGAAGGATGAGAGGTGAGAACTCTGCTGGAGCTGTAGGCAATTACATATTTGACGCCCTGGGCACTGGTCTCCCTGGCAAGACAGATAGGGAATACTAGGAGTTGGCTGACTCTCTTTTCCCAGAAAGGTTTCAGGATACGGTAGGAAGCAGACTTATGTCTCATTCCAGAAATCAGAAATCTTTTCGTTTTTGTTTATTTTGGTTATCAAATATGACATGAAGTTACATTTTTTCCTTCTTTTATTGCCTTTGATGAATTTGTACTGTCTTTAATATTTTTATTAATATAATTGATATAAAAATAATTTTTAACATAATTAATATAAAAATATTTAATTTTTATTATTTATTTAGTCAGAACAGGGAAAATTATGTCATCTAGTTCCATTTTCCTGAAAATTCTTCTCTGTTGATGAAGTACTTCATACACAGAAAGGAATATACATATATATCTCGACTCTACTCACATCTCAATTTAAGAAATACAACACTACGAACACCTTTGATGGTCTGTTCACTGCCCATTCACATACTATTCCCCATATCCCAGATGTATCTGTAGTCTTGAGTTTCATATTTGTCATTATCTTGACTTTGTGAAAGCAAATTATACGAATTGGGTCATTCTTGTCATACCCAACTAAATCAGAGTCAAGGGGCCCAGCAGAAAATCACCTGCGGCACATAACACCAGCTCCAAAAATTACGTTTTCCACAAGCTCAGCTGCTATAACCCTAAGATTATAGTTTTATCTACTGCCATCACCAATCAGAGCCAGACAGCTTCTAGAAGCTTTACTCGTGTCAACACATTTCCTTTCAAAACTATACATAACATTTCTAATAAAACTTCCAACCTTCTCTTTGTTCTCTGGATGTACTGAGGACCAACCACCCTACTCTGTGTGTATGCCCTGAATTGGAGTTCTGTGCTTCCAAATAAAACATTTAATTTAGAGATTCATCTCTATATATTATTTTTACTTCAACAATTTATCAAAACCATTTTGAATCCCTAACCAATATACTGTTCAGCTTTGTTTTGAACTTTATAAAAATTGTATCATATTCTTTTAACTAACAGATATAAACATAATTCATTTTTCATTACTATTTTGTATTTTATTATATAAATTGCCAATATAAACAATGCTTCTACGTATACAATGTAAATGTACATACCGAATAATGGAATTGCTGGGTTACAGGGTATTTTTACTAGGTAATATTTTTTGTTTCCCATTGTAAAAATCCTTCTTTACCCCAAGGGCATATATTTTTTTATTCTCAAAGTGTCAGGGTTTTATATTTTAAAGTTAAGCCTTTAATATTCCTGGAATTAACTATTATAATCCACAGTGCGACACTTGTTAAAACAAGTTTCTACATATATGTAGGTCTGTTTAAGAGCTATCTATTCTGTTTGTCAGTCTGTTTGTCCCTATTAACAAATACTATACTGTCAATGTTGATAACTGGGCAATGTAAATCCAGCCAGTGTGTTTTTCCTCACAAGTGTCTAGAATGTTTCTTTACTGTATAAATTCTAGAAGTGTCTTTTCGAGTTCCACTGGGAGGAAAAAGGCCATTAGAGATTTTATTGGCACTGAATTTATGCTATAAATCAATTTGGGGATGACTGAAATTTTTATGATATTGTTTACCTATATATAAATACGATATCTCTCCATTTATTTATATCCTCTTCAATATCATTTAATAAAGTTTTGTATTTTTAAATTTTTATTTTTAATTTTTATGGATATAAAGAGTTATACATATTTTGATACTAGCATATAATGTATAATGATAAAATTTGAGTAACTGAAACATCCATCACTTCAAACATTTATCATTTCTTCTGTTGGAAACATTCTACGTCTTCTCTTCTAGCTATTTTGAAATATACAACAAATCATTGTTATAGTCACTCTATTGTGCTATCAAACATTAGATCTTATTCATTCTATGTAACTGTACTTTTGTACCCACTAACCAACCCCTTTTTATCCTTCTCTCCTCACTACCCTTCCAAGCCTCTGATAACCACCATTCTATTCTCTACCTCCGTGAGATCAATTTATTTTAGCTCCCACATATGAATGAGAACACATAATACGTGTCTTTCTAAGCTTGGCTTATTTCACTTAACATAATGTCCTCCAGCAGTTCCATCCATATTGCTGCAAATGAAAGGATTTCATTCTTTTCCATGGCTGAGTAAAAATTTGAACTTTATCTTTTGTTAGATTTATTTGTAGGAAACATATATACTTTTGTTCTATTACATAAGATATCTTTTTGCAAAATGACATTTTCTTGCCTTTTGTAGCTGGTGTAGAGAAATGCTACTGATTTTTAACATCCATATTGATCATCTATTTAAAAAAACATATTAAACTCTTATTTCTAGTAATTTAAATATAGACTGTCTTAATATCTTAGGTCAATAATCACGTAATCTGTGAATAACTACTGTTTTCTTTCCTCCTTTTCAATTCCTAAACATCTGGTTATTTTGTTTTTCTTGTCTTACCAGGCTGGGTAGGTACCGCAGCACAATGCTGCATAAAAATAGCAGTGAAATTTTTGAAAAATGTAACAGTGGTTATAACTTCTCAAATAACAATACATATTTTAAATATGTTCTAAATAGAAAGGACATTTCTTTGAGTAACTTCAAAAGAAAAAATAAAGGCTACAGCCCTAATAAACATATATCTAGAAAGGCAAACCTTTTAAGCATTAATCAAATCTTTGGGCCAATCTTAAAGGACTCTTTATAACAAACAAAGAATAGAAGGCAAGAAAACAAACCTTTTTGTAGTAAGTCAGGTCCCCTGTCAAGTAGCTGAGGTGGATGAACTCCATATGTAGTGTACCAAATTCAGCCAGAATGCTGCTACCTGCAGATGCCCAGCCCCAGTTTCGCCCTACTCCACTGAATGAAAAGGAAAAGTAAAAGGAGACACAGGATTGGGAAAAGACCAAAACATTCGTTTAATGAATATGTAAATTTTAAATAGATCTCTTATAAATTATTATATCTGACACGATAGCTTATTTATATCTAAAATTGTATTAAAAATTTAAATAGGTAATAAATCCATGTTCTAAAAATTAAAACAGTAGTTTTTAAATCCAGTAAATACATTTCACCCATTCTCATCTCCATTCACCTCATCAGGCTCCACAGAAAATCACTTTCATTCGTTTCTTACATATTACTACAGAATGTTTTATGCAAATGTAGGCAATCCAAATATATATGCTCATTGTCCTCCTTTCTTAAACAAAACATAGCAAGTTGGTGGTCTTTCCATATCAGTTCATAAACAACTTTCTCAGTTTTTTTTTTTTTTTTACAGTTGTACGGAATTCCATAATATTAATGATTCTCAAGTGGAATGCCCCACCCTAGAGGCACATGAAAATGTGTGGGAGCATTTTGAGTTGTCTCAAAATTTGAATGTGCAACCTCCACTTATTGTGCCAGGTCCAAAGTTATAAACTGCCCTGTAGTGAATGATCGGGACAGTATCATACAATAAAGAACTGGCTTGCACCAAACGATGATAGTGCCTGTGTGAAAATTAATATATTACATAAATATACACAATTTAATAAATTCCCTATTGATGGTCCCTTGGGCTATTTCCAATATTTTGTTACCATGAACATTTTTCAGTGAATAATCTCATAAACATTTCATTTGTGCAGATATAATCTCTAGAATATGCTCTTGCGTTTTATTTTTTTAATCTGTCTAGTAATTTTTTATCTGAAGGCAAACTACATAAAATGAAAAATTGTAGAGGCTTTGAATGACATTATCTTCTAAAAAGGTTAAATTTCTTCTGAACACAGACTGAGTAAATGCAGATTACATTGTGTTTTAGGTTTTGTTAAAAATAGTCCATTTCCGTTTTTACCCCAACTTCCAGAAATGGCCCTGGGAATTTCAGTTGGAAGCCAGGGGTATTTACCAAGGGCACCTAAGCAGCCTAACCTCTGTTTCCCCACTAGCATGTGGCTGTTAAATTTCCTCCTTAGCCCTTAAATTTCTTCTGCTATTTTCTGCTGGGTTTCTTTGAGTCTTGCTTGCCCCATATATGTGGTTATGGAATCACCAATGACTTCAGGGAAATTTGTCCATAAATTTTGGGCTTTTCCTCTGCAATTTCTTTCTATATGAGATTTTGTCCCTATGTTTCAGTCATTTTAGCAGCTCTGGGGCCTGACCATTGTCTCCTCTGCCCGAAATGACTGCCACTTTAGATATGGCCTCTATTGCTCTGAACATGTTTTAGAACATATCCTCAGGGAAAAAGCCAATGTTTATATGGCGATGACCTTAGGATCACAGCCCCTCAAGCTCTACCTAATTGCATTTCAGTGTCTTCAAACCATTTGGTTTTATATATTTTGTCTAGCTTTCATGACTGCTTTTGGTAGAAGGGTAGTCTGATAAACAGTATTTCCTGGTTGGAACTGGAAGTCTAGATGATTCAAGCAGCAGAGTTCCTGGATTATTCCTACAAGAACTCTAGACCATTCTCTAGGATCTTGTCTTATTTTTTGGGAGAAGTATAAATATAAATATTTTTGCCAGGCGCGGTGGCTCACGCCAGTAATCCCAGCACTTCAGGAGGCCGAGGTGGGCAGATTACCTGAGGTCAGGAGTTCAAGACCAGCCTGGCTAACATGGTGAAACCCCATTTCTACTAAAAATACAAAAACTTAGCCGGACATGGTGGCAGGCGCCGTAATCCCAGCTACTCAGGAGGCTGAGGCAGGAGAATCGCTTAAACCCAGAATGCAGAGGTGGCAGTGAGCCAAGATTGCGCCATTGCATTCTAGTTTGGGCAACAAGAGCGAAACTCTGTCTCAAAAAAAAAAAAAAAAATATATATATATCTATATATATATATAGATATATATATATTTCTCATCTTATATTCACTTGTATTCTGTCAATTCAATATGTTATATTTTATTTGTGTTTAGAGAACATTAAAATAGATGTAAGAACATATCACAACCTTGCTTAAAGTTCCTTCATTGTTTGGTGCTATTTTTAAACTGTCTGAAAATATGGAAGGCAAATACCACTAGGATATTTTATAGCTAGAAGTGAGAATCAAAGAATAAATATGGATATAGTAACTACATAAGACAGTAATTCATTTCACAAATGTAAGTGTTTACTATGCTGTGAGAGAGTGGTGAACCTGACATATACTATTCCTGCTCCTACAATAAATAAGATCATTTTAAATAGTGATAGTTGCTGTGAAGAAAATTAAAAAGGAAAAATAGAATGTTGAGTACTAGAGATAGAAAGTGAGTTACAAAAAAGGCTTTTTACATATTATGTTCAGAGAAAATGTTTCTAAAATGATATGATTTGAACTGAGACCTGAATGATGAGGAGCCACTAATGAAAATATCTGGAAGAACAGAATTCCCAGTAAGGGAAACAGCAGATGTAATGGCCTTGAGGGAAAGGAAGGAGGCTAGTTTGGCTAGAGTTCAGAAAGTAAGGGGAAGTGAATGACACAGGATGAGGTTAGAAAGCAAGGTATAATCTGGACTATGAAATAATTTTGTAGGCCATGGTAAAATTTTAGTCTTTAAGTGTGATGGAAAGTCATGAATAACTTTAAGGATTATAACATAATACTTAAGGAATAAAGCATACCATTTAGAAAGATTAACTAGGTTTCAGCATAGCGGATGAATTATAGTGTGGTCAAGTATAAAAACAAAACTTAGGAAGTCCAACAGTTTGCCATTCTCTATAAAAAGAACATCTCGCCAAAAGTCAAAAAGTAACACTTTTCAAAATACTAAATTCTAAATAAGGTTTTTAAATTTTTTACATAGTGTCACAGGAAGAATCTAAAATATTAAATTTGATACTTACATATATCCTAGCAACTCAGAAAAATAAGAAAATCCCTAAGAACAAGATATAATGCTGCCGAGGACAAAATTTCCAACTATAAAATGATGATGAGCTGCCAAAAAATAACCGGATCATCATTTCATGCAAATGTTATGTTTTTTTCTCAACTGATCAAAATAAAAGGTCTGGATACTAAAATTTACGTATATACTCAGAGAACCTGAGTAACAAAAAATTTGCAATGAATACCAAAAAACAAAAACAAGCAAGCAAAACGTATGTTTCTCTTACCTGACCACCAGCAAAAGGAAAGATTCTAAAAATGTTTGGTAAACTCTTGACAGTAAATCACCCTAAGTGGTCTACAATCATATTAAATTGTTTTGATAATGAGTCTTCTATATTTTGGTTTGCATTTTGTTCAAAGTCAGTCGAATATATTTAATCAATGTATTGAAAGAATGGAGTAAAGCTTTCAGTAAACTGCAATTATTAGAAACAAAGCTTGCAAACACACTGATATTGAAATGCATTCCGACAAAAGCAAAGAATGAACTGAAGAAATTAAAACACTCAATGTGTAAGCTTAAGTTGAAGTATCTTCATTTGTAGGAATAATGGTTTGATGGAGCTCCTATTTTCAATTAGATTTATTTATATTGTATACTTCAATGGAATGAAATTGAGAAGCCCTATGATTCTGTATCATCTAAACTGGATGATTATTTAAAATAATTACAAATAAAAGTCAATGTAAAAATATCTCAGATTTGTGGAAGGTATTCTGAATGAAAGCAAAAGAATGGGATTTGTAAAAATATCTGGTCTGAAATATTTAAACATTTTAATATGCAAAAATTTAGAATTGAGAATATCCTAAAATTAAGCAGAATTTGCTCTGAGCAACTGTAGGGAGAATACCTTCTCTAATAAAAGCATACAAGAGTCAATTGAAAGTGCCAATAATTTCAAATTTAGATAAATACACAAGAATGTATGTTTTTAATAATTTCATTTTAGAAAATAGGTTTATAGCAGAATTATTTTACAGGATACCCAATAAAATAAAACCAATTTGTCAGTGATTAAATACTCAGAAAATTAAATAGTTTTAATTATTTCAGCTCCCCCATTCATTCTTAAATTGTACTCTTATGAACAACACACTATATGGTCATTCTCATTATATGATGCCATAATCTGGCTTATAAAACATTTTTAATATACTGTAAATATTTTATCTATGATATCATTTATGTGGCAACATATTGTTTTACCTTATGGACTACCAAATTTGCTTAACAAATGACCTTACTCTTGAACGTTCAACCTGTACTTATGATTTTGTGAAATACGCCGTGATAAACATAATTTTGTAGATGTCTTCCTTAGTCCATACATCCAATTTCTTCGGGCACATTAACAAAGGTTGAATTGCTGGGTCAAAAGAAACAAGCTTTAAGGGCTTTTGACAGATAATACACTAGTCTACAAGTAAAGCTGAAATGTAAGAATGGCTTTCTTCTCACCTTTTTATTATAGCAGATGCTTTAAAAATTTTTTAAGTAAAAACTTCCTTGTTTGACAGCAGATGAATATAACAGCTTTAATTTTTATTTTAAAATGAAGTCTGATTTTTGTTACATTTTCATTTAATTTGAGAGGATATGTAATATACTCATGATTTAAAATTTAAATGGCACTGAAAAAGCATAAAGTAAAAAAAAAAAAGTATCTCTCTAAGCCCTCTACCTCTTCCAATCACTCTCAGTACCAAAGCAATCTGTTAACACATTCTCATCTATCCTTCTGGAAAACTGCATAAGCATAATTTGAGTTGTCTATTACATTTTAAATACTCACTGGTCTCTTCTAATTTTAATTCTGTATTTTTACAAACTTTTTTCTAAATATGTTTTCAAAGTTAAGATTGTCCTTCAATTATAAGGTAATGTTATTTTTTGTTATTACACAGCCCCTCAGCCAAGTGTAGGATCTGGTTTATTTTTCTTTTTAAGTATATACTGACGTATAATTTACATACAAAAATGCATCCTTTCAGGTACACCATTCAATGGGTTATGACAAATGAAAACAAAGACTGGTATACAAACCAAGTCAATCCTTCCAAAACATGTCCTTATCCCTTTTGCAATCAACACACACACTTCCTCCACCAAGTCTCAAACAATTCTCAATTTGCTTCCTCTCACTACTGATTAGTCTTGCATGTTCTAGAATTTCATACAAACATCATACAGTATATGCTCCTGTGTTTGGCTCTTTCACTCAACATGTCTTTGAGATTCACCCATATTGCTGTGTGTCTCAGCAGTTAGATTCTTTTTATGGCTAAATGGTATTCCATTGGATGAATATGACAACTATTTACCTATATCCTATTGATGTGATAAACATTTGAAAAACAGTCAAACTGTTTTCCAAAGTGTCTCTACCATTTTACATCCTACCAACCTAAGTTTACTATCTTGCCTTTTCATTGTCTATTTTTCCCATTAGTTGTTTCCTTCTCTATTCCTGCCTTCATTTGGATTCAGTAGTTTTTAGTATTCCATTTTCTTTACCGGCTTATTTTTTTATGACTGCTCTAGGCATTACAACATAAACCATTAACCTTCCCACAGTAGACCTTTATATATTATACCACTTCACATATAATGTAAGGGCTTCACGTCTCCATACTATCCTCTGTGCTACTGTGGTAACAAATTTTTCTCCTATGTATACTATAGGCCCCACTATGCGAGTTATTATTTTTGCTTTAAACAAAGACCAAAACAGAAAAAATAAGCCTTTTATATTTATTCAAATATTTACTGCTTCCAGTGCCCTTCCCTTCTTTGTGTAAATCTGTTTTTCCATCTGTTGTCATTAGAAAGTTCCTTAAAATTTCTAACAATACAGGTATGCTGGCAATAAATTCTCTAAGCTTTTGTTTGCCTGAAAATGTCTTAATTTCACCTTTGTTTTTAAAGAATATTTTCAGTGGCTATAGAATTTGAGATCGACTTTTTTCTTTCAACACTTTCAAGATGGATTCGATTGTTTTCTGGATTGTATTGCTTATGATAAGAAGGAAGTATTTCTATTTTGGTTCCCCAATGTAAATGCCTTTCTTCTCTGGCTGTTTAACTTTTCTTTTTCTAGTCACAGATTTTCAGACGTCATGTTTCTTTATATTTATCCTGCTGGGTTCCATCAAATGTTGGAATCTGTGAATTTACAGCTGTTTAACAAATCTGAAAAATTTCTAGACATTACTTCTTTAAAAACAGGCATATCTCAGAGATATTATGGGCCTGGTTACAGACTACCTCCATAAAGCAAATATTGCAACAAAATGAGTCACACAAACTTTTTCGTATCTCAGTATATATAAAAGTTATATTTACATTATACTGTAGCCTTTTAAATGTGCAACAGCATTATGTGGAAATAATGTTCATATCTTAATTTGAAAAATACTTTATTGCTAAAAATGCAAATGATCATCTGAGACTTTCAGCAAGTCATACTCTTTTTTGATGGTGGAGGGTCTTGCCTTGATGACGATGGTTGCTGACTGATCAGGGTGGTGGCTGCTGAAGGCTGGGGTGGCTGGGGCAATTTCTTAAAATGAGACAACAATAAAGTCTGCTGTATTGATTGATTCTTCCTGTTTGATTTCTCTGCAAGACGAAAGATCTCTCTGTAGCATGTGATGCTGTTTGACAGCATTTTGTCCACAGTAAAAATTCTTTCCAACTTGGAGGCCACTCTCATATCCTGACACTGGCTGCATCAACTAAGTTTACGTAGTATTCTAAATCCTTATTGTCATTTTGACAATGTTCATAGCATCTTCACCAGGAATAGATTCCATCTCAAGAAACCACTTTCTCTGCTCATCTGTAAGAAGCAACTCCTCATCCATTCAAGTCTTATCATAAGACTGCAGTAATTTGGTCCCATCTTCAGGCCCCACTTCTAATTCTGGTTCTCTTGCTATTTCCACCACAGCTACAGTTACTTCCTCCACTTGAGTTTGAACCCTTCAAAATCACCCATGAGGACTGGAATCAAATTCTTCCAAACTCCTGTTTGATACTTTGACCTCCTCTCATGAATCACAAATGTTCTTAATGGCATCTAGAATAGTGACTCCTTTCCAGAAGATTTTCCATTTACTTTGCTGAGATCTGTCAGAGGAATCACTATATATGGCAGCTATAGCCTTACAAAATTCATTCTTTAAATAATAAGACTTGAGAGTCTTAATCACTCCTTGACCCATGGGCTGCAGAATGGATGTTGGCAGGCATGAAAACAACATTAATCTTGGGCATCTTCACTGTAGAAAATGGGTGACCAGGTACGCTGTCAATGAGCAGTAATATTTTGAAAGAGATTTTTGCTTAGCAGTAGGTTTCAACAGTGGGCTTAAACTCTGCCATCAACAGATGTGCTCTCATCTGAACTTTGTTGTTCCACTTACAGACCACACAGGGAGTAGACATAGCAAAATTCTTAAAGGTCCTAGGATTTTCAGAACAGTAAATGAGAACTAGCTTCAACTTAAAATCATCAGCTCTATCAGCCCCCAACAAGAGTCAGCCTGTCCTTGAAAGCCAAGCATTGACTTCTCTTTAGCTATGAGATGGCATCTTCTTCCAGTAGAAACCTGTTTCATCTACACTGAAAATCTGTTGTTTAGTGTAGCCACCTTCAACAATTACCTTAGCTAGATCTTCTGGATCACTTGCTGCAATTTCTACATCAGCACTTACTGCTTCACCTGTCACCTTTATGTTTTGGAGACAGCTTCCTTCTTTAAACTTTATAACCAACCTCTGTAAGCCTCAAACTCTTCTGCAGCTTCCTCACCTCTCTTAGCATTCACAGACGTGAAGAGAGTTAGGGCCTTGCTCTGCATTAGGCTTTGGCTTAAGAGAATGTTGTAGCTGGTTTCATCTTCTATACAGACCACTCAAACTTTCTCCATGTTGGCAATATAACTATTTCACTTTCTCATCATTCATGTGTTCACTGGCATAGCACTGTTAATTTCCTTCAAGAACTCTTCCTTTGCATTCACAACTACTCTAACTGTTTGGCACAAGAGGCCTAGTTTTTGGCATGCCTTCCTCACTAAGCTTAATTACTTCACATGCCTTCCTCACTAAGCTTAATTATTTCCAACTTTTTTTTTTTTTTGAGACAGAGTCTTGCTCTTGTCACCCAGGCTGGCGTGCAGTGGCGCAATCTTAGCTCACTGCAACCTCCGCCTCCCAGGTTCAAGTGATTCTCTTGCCTCAACCTCCCAAGTAGCTGGGATTACAGGCATGCACCACCATGCCCAGCGAGTTTCTGTATTTTTAGTAAAGATGGGGTTTCATCACATTGGCTAGGCTGGTCTCGAACTCCTGACCTCAGCTGATCCACCTTCCTCGGCCTCCCAAAGTGCTGGGATTACAGGTGTGAGCCACTGTGCCTGGCTGGGTTTTTTTCTGTTTTTTTGTTTTGTTTTGTTTTTTGAGACAGGGTCTGGCTCTGTCCCCCAGGCTGGAGTGCAGTGGCACAATTTCAGCTCGCTGCAAGCTCCGCCTCCTGGACTCACACAGTCCTCCTACCTTAGCTTCCCAAGTAGCTGGGGCTACAGGCATGCACCATCATGCTGCATTAGTCCATTTTCACACTGCTGATAAAGACATACCTGAGACTGGGCAATTCACAAAAGAAAGAAGTTTAATGGCCTTACAGTTCCACGTGGCTGGGGAGGCCTCACAATCATGGTGGAAGGTGAAAGGCACATCTCACATGGTGGCAGACAAGAGAAAAGAGCTTGTGTAACAAAACTCCCCTTTTTAAAACCATCAGATCTCGTGAGACTTATTCACTATCACAAGAATAGCATGATTCAATTACCTCCCGCTGAGTCCCTCCCACAACACATGGGAATTGAAGATGAGATTTGGGTGGGGACACAGCCAAACCACATCATTCGGCCCCTGGCCCCTCCCAAATCTCATGTCCTCACATTTCAAAACCAATCATGCCTTCCCAACAGTCCCCCAAAGTCTTATTTCAGCATTAACTCAAAAGTCCATGGTCCAAAGTCTCATCTGAAACAAGGCAAGTCCCCTCCGCCTACATGCCTGTAAAGTCAAAATCAAGTTAGTTACTTTATAGATACAATGGGTGTACAGGCATTAGGTAAATACAGCCATTCCAAATGGGATAAATTGGCCAAAACAAAGGGCTACAGGCCCCATGCAAGTCTGAAATCCATTGGGTCAGTCAAGTCTTAAATCTCCAAAATGATCTCCTTTGACTCCATGTCTCACATCCAGGTCACACTGATGCAAGAGGAGGACTCCCACAGCCTTGGGCAGCTCTGCCCCTATGGCTTTGCAGGGTATAGCCCAACCTCCTGGGTGCCTGAACTGGCTGGCATTGAGTACAGCTTTTCCAGGTGCATGATGCAAGCTGTTGGTGGATCTACCATTTTGGGGTCTGGAGGACAGTTGCCCTCTTCTCACAGCTCCACTAGGTGGTGCCCCAGCAGGTACTCTGTGTTGGGGCTCCAACCCCACATTTCCCTTCGGCCCTCCCCTAGCAGAGGTTCTCCATGAGAGAGAGTCGTGTCCCTGCAGCAAACTTCTACCTGGACAGGCAGGTATTTCCATACATCCTGTGAAATCTAGGCAGAGGTTCCCAAACCCCAATTCTTGACTTCTGTGCACTGGCAGGCTCAACACCACATGGAAGCTTGAGGCTTGCACCCTCTGAAGCCATAGTCTGAGCTTTAGGTTGGCCCCTTTCAGCCACAGCTAGAGAGGCTGGGATACAGGGCACCAAGTCCCTAGGCTGCACACAAGGGGACCCTGGGCCTGGCCCACGAAACCACTTTTTCCTCCTAGGCCTTGGGCCTGTGATGGGAGGGGCTGCCATGAAGACCTCTGACATGCCCTGGAGACATTTGCCCCATTGTCTTGGGGGTTAACATTCAGCTCCCTGTTACTTATGCAAATTTCTGCAGCAGGCTTGAATTTCTCCTCAGAAAACGGGCTTTTCTTTTCTGTCACATTGTCAGGCTGCAAATTTTCTGAACTTCTATGCTCTGCTTCCCTTATAAAACTGAATGCCTTTAACAGCACCCAAGTCACCTCTTGAATGCTTTGCTGCTTAGAAATTTCTTCCACCAGATACCCTAGATCATCTCTCTCAAGTTCAAGGCTCCACACATCTCTAGGGCAGGAGCAAAATGCCACCAGTCTCTTTGCTAAAACATAACAAGAGTCACCTTTGCTTCATTTCCCAAGAAGTTCCTCGTTTCCATCTGAGACCACTTCAGCCTGGTCTTTATTGTCTATATCGCTATCAGCATTTTAGGTAAAGCCATTCAACAAGTCTCAAGGAAGTTCCAAACTTTCCCACATTTTCCTGTCTTCTTCTTCTCCAACCTCTGCCTGTCACCCAGTTCCAAAGTTGTTCCACATTTTCAGGCATCTTTTCAGCGATGTCCCACTCTACTGGTACTTGCTGCTTCACCCATCACCTTTAAGTTTTGGAGGCAGATTCCTTCCTTAAACCTTGTGAACCAACCTCTGCAAGCCTCAAACTTTTCTCCTGCAGCTTCCTCACCTCTCTTAGCATTCACAGACGTGAAGAGAGTTAGGGCCTTCCTCTGCATTAGGCTTTGGCTTAAGAGAATGTTGTAGCTGGGTTCACCTTCTACACAGACCACTCAAACTTTCTCCATGTTGGCAATACGGCTATTTCACTTTCTCATCATTCTTGTGTTTCACTGGCATAGCATTGTTAATTTCCTTCAAGAACTCTTCCTTTGCATTCACAACTTGGCGGACTGTTTGGCACAAGAGGCCTAGCTTTTGGCCTATCTCAGCTTTTGACATGACTTTCTCACTAAGCTTAATTATTTCTAGCTTTTTTTTTTTTTTTTGAGACAGGGTCTGGCTCTGTCACCCAGGCTGGAGTGCAGTGGCAGGATCTCAGCTCACTGCAAGCTCTGCTTCCTGGGCTCAAGCAATCCTCCCACCTTGGCTTCCCAAGTAACTGGTACTACAGGCACACACCACCATGCTCAGCTAATTTTTGTATTTTTTGTAGAGGCAGGGTCTCACTATGTTGCCCAGGCTGGTCTCGAACTCCTAGGCTCAAGCAATCTGCATGCCTCAGCCTCCCAAAATGCTGGGATTACAGGTGTGAGCCACCACGCCCAGCCTATTTCTAACTTTTAATTTAAAGTGAGAGACATGCTATTCTTCTTGTCTCTTGAATACATCAAGGCCACTGAAAGGTTATTTATTGGCATTGTTCTGTCTCAGGGAGTAGGGAAGCCCAAGGAGAAGGAGAGAGAAGGGAGAATGGCCAATCTGTGGAGCCGTCAGAACAGAGACAACATTTAGTGATTAAGTTTGCCATCATCTATGACTGCTTGCTCATGGTGCCCTAGAGTAATAAGAAAGATCACCGATCACATATTACTATAACAGATGTAATAATAATGAAAAGTTTTAAAATATTGTGACAATTATCAAAATGTGATATATGCTGTTGGAAAAATAGCCCCGATAGACTTGCTCAACACAGAGTTGACACAAATCATCAATTTGTTTAAAAAAAAGAAAAAGGAAAAAAAGAATATCTGCAAAGAACAATTAAGTGAAGCACAATAAAACAATTCATGCTTGTAGTTTTTCTGCCACTCCTCCCACTCCCAAATTCGCCACTCCCATCACTCCATTACAGGTATGTTAAACCATCTGACACTGCCCCATAGGTCACTGGATATGCTTCTCTCCATACTCCAGCTTTTTTATTTCTCTTTCTGTGCTTCAGTTTAGGTGGTTTCTATTGTTTTGTCTTCAAGCTCACTGATCTTTTCTGATGCAGTGTCAAATCTGCCTTCAAGCTTGTCAAGTAAATTTTTTATTTCATATATTTCTCACCTTTAGAAGTTCCACTTTGGTCCTTTTTAAAATCTCTTTTCTCATTCTTCACATTTGCCTTTAAATCCTCAAGCACACTTACAATAGCTATGTAAAGTCCTTTACTGCTATCTCCATCACCTCTGTTATTTCCATGTCTGTTTCTATGAACAGATTTTTCTCTGGGCTACAGAATAATGAGCTACATTTTTCTGCTGCTTCTTTGCATGCCATAAAGTAAAGTAATTTTGGATTGGATTACGGATATTATAAAAGTATATTGTTGGATATCTGAATTTTATTTTCTTTCTTTAAAACATGTTCAGTTTTCTTTTAAACATATTCAGACAAGCAGAGAGCCAAATCATTAATAAGCTCCCGTTCAGAATTGCCGCAAGGAGAATAAAATATTCAGGAATAGAGCTAACAAGGGAAGTGAAGGGCCTCTTCAAGGAGAACTACAAACCACTGCTCCAGGAACTCAGAGAGGATACAAGCAGATGGGAGAACATTCCATGCTCATGGATAGAAAGAATCAATATCACGAAAATGACCATACTGCCCAAAACAATTTATAGATTCAATGCTATTTCCATTAAATCACTGACATTCTTCACAGAATTAGAAAAAACTATTTTAAAATTCATATGGAATCAAAAAAGAGCTCGGATAGCCAGGACATTCCTAAGCAAAAAGAACAAAGCTGGAGGCATCACATTACCCAACTTCAAACTATACTACTAATAGCAAAAAAATGTGCAATTTATATGACAAAGTACTAATCTAGCTAATACACAAAAATACCTTAAGGACTGATTTTTTAAAAAATAGCCAATAAAAAACAAACAAAGGACATAAAAAGGCTATCTACTGAATAAAATAAATTCAATCTCACTCAAAAATTAATAAACATTGGAACAAGATTTTATATTTATCTATCTGATAAATAAAAGTAAACCATATTTTCAAAAGGTTCGATAAGAGCCATTCTCACACACTTATTAAGGAAATGTCAACTGGCATATCCTCTCTAGAAGACAGTACCTATCAACAGAAAAAATGTATTTAATTCTTTGATCCACTATTTCTACTAAAGTCATACCAACACATGTCTATGTACACATACACACACACACCATTCCCAACATATGCAGGATACTTCTTCCAATATTTTTTGATAATATTAAAATCTAGAAATAATCTAATAGTTCACTAATACAGAATTAATTTTAAGTCACAACATTTTCATAAGCATTATATTATGAAGCTCTTAAAAATAATGAGATTATATATAAAGTGTTGATACAGAATAATTTTTTAGATCTATTGCTAAATGATGTAAAATGTCAATATTGTCAGACTGAATAACAAAATTTGTATTATGATCCAAACTATATGCTGTCTCCAAAAGCAGAACTATAGTTAAAACAATACAGTGAAGCTGAAAATAAATGGAAAAAAAGAGATAAACCATGAAAACAGTAAGCATAAAGTAGAGCAGCTACATTAATATCTGATAAACTTCAAGACAAAAACATTACCAGAGATGAAGACACAGTGGAATAACAAAAGGCTCAAGTAATCAGAAAGCATATAATAAACGTGTAAGTACTTAAGAGTAAAGCTTCGTCAAAATGCATGAAGCAAAAAATTGACAGAAATAGAGAAGAGACAATTCCACAATCATACTTGGGATATTTTGACACTTCGTTTCAGGAATGCATAAAACAATTATACCAAAAAAAAATCTGGAAAGATATACATGATCTAAACACCATTAACCACCTTAACCTAACTGATATATACAGAATGTTATACCCAACAACTGCAGAATACACTTCCTTATCAAGTGTATTTACCAAGAAAGACCATATGCGGAGCTATAAACAAGTTGTAATAAATTTGAAAGGATTCAAATTGTAATTTTTATGATCACAATGAAATTAAATTAGAAATCAAAACAATAAGATATCTAAGAAACGTCCTAAAATTTGGCAATTGAACCACACAATTATAAAAAACTAATGCATTGAAGAAAAAATTCTACAGGAAATGAGAAATTATTTTGAACTGAATAATAACAAAAAAAATCAAAATTTCTGGAATGCAGCTACAGCAGTCCTTGGAGGGAAATTTATAGCTCTATAGAAAAACAGTAGTTTATGGGGGGAAAAGAGAGAAAGATATAAGATCAGTGTAGAAAGATACAACCTACAGTTCCAATGTAAGGAGCCAGAAAAAGAGCAAAGTAGCTCCAATAAGAAAAGAGAAGGAAATAATAAAAATAAACCAGAAATCAATAAAACCAAAAAAAAGTAAAAATTAACAAAAACAGAAGTACTTTTTTGAAAAGATTAACAAAATTGACAAATGCCTCATTAAACTAGTAAAGAGAAAAGAAAGAATACAAATTACTAGAATCAGGAATGAAAGTGGTTGTTGCTATAGAATCTACAAAGATGAAAGGTAAAACAAAGTAACACAAGAACGACTTTACACCAAATTTTCTAATTTAAGTGAAATGAAGAAATTTCTTTAAAATTAACTAAAACTGACACAAAATAAAACAAAATCTGAATATAAGATATATGTTTATATATCATATATAAATATATATAAATTTATATATAAATTTTCTTTTATATGTATACATATAAATTTACATATATACATATATATATATATACACACACACAGACACACACACACATACACACACACACACACACAAATATGAAAATTTGGGCAGGGTGCAGTGGCTCACACCTGTAATCCTAGCACCTTGGGAGGCCAAGGAGGGAGGATCACTTGAGCTCGGGAGTTTGGGACCAGACTAGGCAAGACAGTGAGAGCCCACCTCTACAAAAATAAACAAAATTACCTAGGTGTGGTGTCACACACCTGTAGTCTCAGCTACTAGAGAGGCTGAGATGGGGGGATCACTTAAGCCCGGCAGGTCAAGGCTGCAGTGAGCTGTGATTGTGCCATTGTACTCCAGTCGATACAAAAGCGCAAGACCTTGTCTCTAAACCAGCCCCCTCCAAACACACACACACAAATTTTAATTTGTTATTAAAAACTTTCCAACAAAGAAAATTTCTGGCTCAGGTAGTTGCATTTAGGTCTATCTATCAAACAGTTAAGAAAGAAGTAACTACAGCACTCCACGAATTATTTCTGCAAACAAAAATTTTAATAATTTAATAATATCTCATTTAATAAGACCAGGTAACTCACACCAAAATCTGACAAAGGCATTCCAAAAATAAAATTCCTACCAATATCCATCATATAATTTCAAAGGGTATTAGGAAATAAAATACAGCAAAATATAAAAAGGATACATTATGGCCAAGGAATATCTAAGGAATTCAAGGTTGATTTAACATTTGAAAATCTTACAAGTAATTTACCATATTAAAAGAATAAAGGTGAAAAACCTTATGATTATCTCCATAGATGGAAAAAAAGTATCTGGCAACATTTAACATCCATTCATGATAAAACAACAACAAGAACATCTCAGTGAAATAGGAATAGAAGGAAATTTCCTCAATGTGATAAAGGAAATTGATATAACTGATGAAAACTCCACAACTAATGCCATACTTCAATTCTTTTAGAAAAGCAGTATTTCAAAGCTTTTATGGAAATCTCGAAGAATGTAAAAAATATAGATGGAGACAATTTTTTAACCAAGACTGTAAACTAAAAGTTATAAAACATATATTTGTATATATAAGCTTAAAACTTATGAGTCATATATTATTATAAAGACAACAGACCAACAGAAGAGTAGAGAGAGGAGAATTAATTATATAATCTACAAAACACTTTATAAATTAATTAGAAAAAGACAAAGAACTCAAGCAAGACTTAGGAATAGACAATTCACCAAAAAGCAAATCTACATGCCCAATAAATTTATGAAAAGGATGTTCAAAATTCACTAGTCAGAAAATACAATGAAGATTTTATAGCAACCATCGTGTCAAAAATTAAAAAGAATTTATACCTGCAGACATTTAGAGACTCTCACATATTGTTGGTGGAAATGTACTACAGCCTTTCTGGAACACATTTTGGCAATATCTATTAAATTTAAAAATACATATCCCTTTGATCCAGGAACGCTACATCTAGAAATCTGTCCCACAGATTAAAAAAAAAAAAAAAGCAGATGCTTTTTAATCCAGCAATTGTATTCTTGAGAACCATTTTCCAAGAAATAAAATTCCTACTACACAAGAACATGTATAACAGGATGCTATTGTAGCAATGTTTGTGGTAGGAAAATAATGGAAACAAATACCACTGATATGAAAATTAATGAATAAATTATAGTATAACTATCCCATTTCTCACTTGGTATTCATCACAAAGATTTATTTAGATCTTTATTGAGTAACCTGGAATCGTATTTCCATGGAGTATTATTGAGTGAGAAAGATAAGAAGCAGAAAAGCAAGCCATTAAAGTGATAAACCAAATAAACATTACAAAAAAAGCTCTGCTTTTGTTTCTGTCTGCTGTATCATATTGTAGAAGATAAATATGATAGATTATTAAGATGGGTTGGCTTTCAGTCATCAAGACTAAGGGAAGGCCTATGTGTGGGAAATGCGTAGACCCCAGCCAAAAAAAAAAAAATTTTCAAAAACAGGTAAATAATGCTAGGTGCAGTGGCTCACACCTATAATCGCAGCACTGAGGTAGGAGGATCACTTGAGCCTAGGAATTCGAGATCCGCCTAGGCAACAAAATAAGATCCCTTCTCTGCAAAAAATTTACTTAAAAAGTTTTAAATAGGTAAATAATTACATTCATGATATAAAAACTCAAGTAAAATTATGTATTTGTTTACATACCAAAGAAATTAAATTAAAATTAATCTTATAAAAAGCTCACAACATGGTCCTTGGAAACCTTTTTACTTTAATCTCAATCTTAAATTAGAAGTTCTGCAATTTAATCTTGATTTTCAAGTTCTTTTCCTCTATGTAGACAAAAAAAGAGCCTCCAGTCTGTCTTCCTATCGGAATTAAGTTTTAATTATTATCTAAGTAGATAATAATGTCTGATTCTGACGATGATCCTGAAGGAAATATCACAAAATCTGTCACAAAACTAAGGAACGAGAACAAGCGTATACACAACATCACTTGGCCATATCCTTCCATGGAGCTTGCTCTGGAACTTCAGCCAGCTTTTTCCTCACCAAAGAGGTAATCTGCACTATACATAGTGCATGAAATCAGAGATAGTAAAGTTAGATTTAATGTTCAGTATTAAATGCTGCTGACATCTCAATGTAAATCTAAACTCAATAAAGTTCTTCAATTAGAAAAATTTTACTAAAGTCGAGTCGTTTCTAAAAATAATGTCATAGATTCACATCTCCAGAAAAATAAATGTTCCTAACTTTTATTCTAAAGGGTCTGAGTGCAAAGAGAACAACAATCAAATTTTTAGGTAATTTCCAAATTCCAACATTATGATGAATAAATTTTACTAGGAGAAAAAATGAGCACAACAAATTTCAGTCAGCATAAATTACTTAAATGCAAGTTCAAATATGTTGACATTATTCAAATGTTAATTGTATATCTCTACATAATTTATAAAGTTGTCCAAAGAAAACATTTCATCTATTTCTAAGTAAAAAACCAATGTTTTCGATTAGAAAACAGATTATAAAGATTGATGCTTAAGAGTTCACTTTGAACTTCACTAGTGTAGATGCTATAATAAAAACCCCGCAGTCAACATCATAAATTACGTCTTTCTTTATCTTTAATATGACATTCAGCAATAGGAAGCCCTCATTTCTAGGTATATTATTTTCTATTTTCACTTAGAAGATCAGGAGGTGGTATATAAAAAGAAAAAGAGGGAGGATGTACTTTGACTCTATTCTAGCACTAAATGGAAATGAATAAGCAAATAAAAGAAACAAATATTGTATACCATACAGGTGAGGAAGAGAAATCTAGACTTACAGAAACGAGTAGTAAAAACTGCAATCAAGTTAAGACAATTAACCTGTTTCAAAGGACTTATTTTAAAAATCAGAAAATGTTTTAAAGAAACACATTTATGCATATACACAAAAGAAAACAAAGATTATATATAGAGAGAAAAACAATATGTCTTTAAAAAAAATGTGGGGGTGACTCATTAGAAATTTCTAAGACTAAAAAGGTCAAAATAATTCTTCCAGAATAAGAATACCCACATAGAGTTACCTTTTCAAATTCACCATTGCCCAAGGAATCCCAGTAGGTGTGTTAAAGGCAGGAAGGAGTTTCTCAGCCAATTGCACTGCTTTAATCTTGAATATCTGAGATTTAAAACATGAATATTCATAAATTATAGCCATTAGTAAGCATTTACTTATTGCTCTCTCTCTCATAGTATACATAGCACAAGGTACTGGGTACACGGGAGCACAGGGTAGGAAAAAGCATCTCATTGGTACCAGGCAGCATTTGGCAATCAGAGAGCATGTTTGCAAACTGGATACTAAGGAAAGCTAACCATGCAAAAGGCCTAAAACAACAATTAATTGAAAAGGAAGGACATAGTTTTGGTGTTGATAGTCTATTTTCATCTGGCAAAAAATTTAAGAAGAAACATTAGGCTATGGACTTTTCATCCAAGGTAAACAGGTTTAGTTCAAAATATAAACAAAAGAAAGAGGTAACTCAATTTGCATAAATGCCCTTAAATTACTCTGAATATGTTATGTCTCAAAATTTTCCATCAAGGTTTAATCATATGATAGAAAAGGAAAGAAAACATTTGAGTTCACATACTAAGTTTACTTTGAGAGTTATAAATGCTTCATTTGTCAGTTCCAATTGCTGCTTTTTTGGTATCCAAAAATAATTGCCTAAATATCAGTGGTTTCCAAACTTTTAAAATCATATAGATAGTAAAATTTCTACTATTTTCTTAGCATGTAGTATTATCAAGATGTATATAGAAAAATTTCTACTATTTTCTTAGTATATCCCAATAGGTAAGTGTGTGTACGTAACTTTAGAGACCACTGACTTACAGATTCCAAACTGTGACTGGGTCATAATGTTCTATTAGGAAAAGTAGCACATTCTCTTATATGCATCAAGTCTATCCCCTCTCAAATGGTCTCCAAATTGAGTAGTTATTTAAAATTCCATCTTTTTACTGCAGCCAAATACTTTTGATAAAAATATTATTAGATTCTTCTAATAATATAATAAGTAGTTGAAGATCTGGAATGAATCAAAATTTTGAGTTGAGATTATATTATAACAAAGCATACCAACATTACTGGGGATAGAAAATATTAGAGAGAAATATGTACAAGTAGATAAGGAAATATCATAGAGGTAATGCATCCCCATTACTCTCTCCTTCATGCACTCTCCTTCATTCACTCTGTCCCTCATTAAGATGTTCCAAAGTTCCCTCAACAAGGCACAAGCTTCTTAGCAGAACTTTTAATTAGATATATTCACACATCTACAATTTACCATTTCCTTCAATATCTACTTTAACATCAAAACCCCAAAGAAAAACATTATAATTTAAAGTCAAAGTTGTAATAATGTTCTCATATTCATCTCATTAATTAGGAAAAGCAAATGTAAAATCAGTTCTCTCTTTATTAACATTTACATGTTAGTAAACACAAGTTACCTTATAGAGCAAACAGTATTGCTTCTGTTTACCATAAAGACAAAGAAATCAACTTTCTTATCTAGAAACTAATATTAATACTATATCTTTGTTAATCACACATTTTGTATCATATCTTTTCTACATATAAAATTAAAACTGATAAAATGACCTATGAACTTTTTCTAAATAGAAAGCATGCTCAATTCACTTCCAGAATAAACCAATAATATATTGTCTAATTTTCAACTAAAAATATTGTATCATTAATAGCAATTAACATATAAACAGTTATAGTAGACAGGTCTAAAAGAAAACAACACCCTAATGTCATTGAGAAAAAATCCCTTACATAGTATATAAATCTTAATTTATAAATATATAAACTCTTTAACAATATATTTTAGACTTATCTTCCCTATTTTCAGAAAAATATTTTGGTAGGCAACTGCAAATTAGTTTTCAGTATGCAATGCAGGCAAATAATACAAAATCCAAAAAGTATCAAAAGTAAAAAATTAAGTCTCTTTTTCAGTTCTGTCCCTCAGCCACACAATTCCTTTTACAATGCAACCACCTGTTAGCTTCTTTGTATTTTGTGCCAAATCAGTCCCATGGTATACATGGTTCCTGGTCATGTCACATAAAATCCTCATTCCCAAACCTCACAAAAACAGAAATTCTGTTGCAATTTACACACACTCAGAGTCTTTGTCTCTCTCTAACACAGAATATCACACATTCTGAACTTGTTACTTTAACATATTGTTTTGTACCTTGGGGAGCTTTCCAAAGCAGCCTACAAAGGACTACCAGCTCATTCTCTTTGGTGGCTGCAGAATTTCCTCTTTTATGGATACACTGTAATTTATTTACTCAGTCCTCTATTAATGGACATTTAATTTGTTTCTACAGTATATGGCTATCTAAGATAAATTCCAGAAGTGAATTTGTTGTCTCAATCAGTATAAGCATTTGAAATTTTGGTAAGTTACTACCAATTTGCCCTCCATATATGCTTTACTAATTTATACTTCTACCAGCAATTTATGAGTGGCTTTTTCATGATATCTTGTTAACACAAAGAGCTTTAAAGTATAAGTAACGAAAGTTAGGCTGGGCGTGGTGGCTCACCCCTATCATCCCAGCACTTTGGGAGGCAAAGGTGGGTGGATCACTTGAGGCCAGAGGTTTGAGGCTGGCCTGGCCAACATGGTGAAACCCCATCTCTACTAAAAACACAAAAAATTAGCCAGGTGTGGTGGTGCGCGCCTATAGTCCCAGCTACTCAGGAGGCTGAGGCCGGAGAATCATTTGAACCCGGGAGGCGGAGGTTGCAGTGAACCGAGATCACGCCACTGCACTCCAGCCTGGGCAACAGAGCAAGACTCTGTCTCCAAAAAAAAAAAAGTAAGACAACACAATAGGTAACATAGAACCACTGTAGTTTCTTGAGGAGGGAAGTGACATTAGGATCTATATATGCTTCTTATGCCTGTTTTCTCTATTAGAGTACTTAAGTTACTAAGATAATATTTTTGCAGCCTATTCTCAATCTAGCAGTCAATGTGGGAGTGTTAAATAGAAGTCAACAGTTTAGAACCCTCAAATGGCTCCCTATCTCAGAGCAAAAGCCACAGTCCTTAATAAGGGTATATACCTATATCAAAGATGTATCCCCATTACCTTCTATGGCTTCACCCCCTCCTTCATGCACTCTCCTTCATTCACTCTGTCCCTCAGTCACTCTACATTAGCTCCACTCGCCTCTTTTGTTGTTCTCTAAGGATGCCAGGTATGTTTTCGTTTCACTGTCTTTTTATTTGCTATGCCTATTAAATGTTCTTACAAAAAATATCCTCACCCACTAATCTCCTTCAGGTCTTCACACAAATGTTACCTTTTCATGGACTCCCTAACCATCCTATTTGAAATTTAAACTCCTTTATGCCCCATCCCACTTTATTTTTCTCCTTGGTGCTTACTGCTAACAGTGTATGTTCCATCATGTATAATGACAGAGATAGTGCTAAGAAATGCATCATTAGGCAATTTTGTCATTGTGCAAACATCATAGGGTATACTTACACAAACCTAGATGGTAAGGCCTACCACACATCTAGGTTATATGGTACAGCCTATGACTCCTATACTACAAACCTATATAGCATGTTACTGTATCGAACGTTGTAGGTAATTTTAACACAATGGTAAGTATTTGTTTACCTAAACATAGAAAAAGTACAGTAAAAATACAGAATACAAGATTAAAAATGGTATATCTGTACAGGGCACTGACCATGAACGAAACCTGCAGTACTGAAAATTCTCTGGCGAGTCAGAGGATGAGTGGTGAGTGAATGTGAAGGCCTAGGACATTACTGAACATTACTGTAGATTTAAACACTGTACACTTAGGCTACACTAATTTATTTTTTACAATTATCCTTCAAAATAATTAATTAACTTTGGCTTACTGTAACCTTACCATATAAACGTTTTAGGGTTTTTCTTTTTAACTCTTTGACTCTTTTATAATAACATTTAGCTTAAAAACACAAATATATTTTACAGCTGTACAAAAAGATTTTCTTTCCTTATATCCTGATCCTATAAGCTACTTTCTATTAAAATTTTTTTTTTACTTTTTAAACTTTTTTGTTAAAAACTAAGACACAAACACAAACATTGGCCTAGGCCTACACAGGGTCAGGATCATTAAAACATCACTAGGAAATAAGAATTTTGCAGCTCCATTATAATTTCATGCAACCACCAACATATCCATTGTTGACTGAAACACAGTTATGTGGTACATGACTGTATATGTGTATACATACATGCTCTCTCACATATCTATCTTATTTATTTATTGCCTATTACCCCACAGTAAACCATAAGCCATAGGGGTACAACAATTTGTTTTAAATTTGTTTTCAATGCTTAGAAGAGTGCCTAGCATATAGCAGATGCTCAACAAGTGTTGAATAAATTAAGACAAAAGGTGGAGATTTAAAATAAACAAATTTTCTCCTCCCATTTCCATACCAACTCTAGCCCCCTAATATGTGATATTAATATACAAGGGCTTTAAGGACTTTTTAATATGTTCTACAAAAATGTTGGGATAATGATGGTGATGATGATGACAAACATATTAACTCATTTAATCCTCACAACAAGCCAGTGAGATAAGTATTAATTTTGCCCCCATTTTACAGAGTAGAAAAACTGATATAAAATGAATAAGTAATGTATTTCACAAGGTCATACAGGTAGTTAAGCAGTTAGTCTGAATTTAAACCTAGACAATCCAGCTCTAGAGTCCATGTTCTTGACCACACACACACACGCACACACACTCCTACACCTTGCATTATCTAATCTTAATTTTTATAGTTAATATTTAAATTCCTCAAAAATATTTTATTAATTGATGTGTATACCTCTTTGTCTTTTATCTTGTACCTTCCCTCTTGAATGACAGATTCAAATTCTGGGTTGGTAGCTATTTTATCTCAGCAGTTTAAAGATACTACTCTAAAATCTTCTGACTTCAATTACTACTGAGAACTCCACTGTCAGCTGTCATTCTTTTTTAAGTAATCAGCCCTTTCTCTTTGGTAGCTTTTAATATTTCCTCTTTGTTCTTATCTTTTCACATATTATTTGTTCCATTAAACTCATCTGAGACTTCTTCCAAATATTCTCTGAAACCTCTCAATCTATTTTCATCTCTCAACTCTTTTGCTTATTTTCCCTCTTTGACTCTCTATACTTCATTCTGGATAAATTTTTCAGTATCACTGAGAGAGCACGAGTACCCTTAAAGGCTAGATGGCTGTTCCTCAGAACCAAGTGAAGGTCACTGCAAAACTGAGGGTTAACACAAAGAGACAGAAACACATTCACACACACTTCCCTCTTAAAATGAACCTGCAAATAATAATTTTAAAACTCATAATGAAATCTAAGATTTTATTATATTTGCAAGCTAATAAGTCAGCCTTTCACAGTTTTATAAATGTTGGCAGAAGACACAAGACTACTGGGTCAGAGATAAAAGGCTTTATTATTTATAGAAAAGTAGCAGCCAAAGCTTCAAGTTCATTTGCATTGGACTATACATGCCCCACCTCCACCCCAATCACACTGGGATGATGCACAGGGCCCATGATGAATGCCTGTACACACAGTGGGTTACATTATAGGAGAACACTCAGCTTGTGGTATCTCTTCTATAGTAAGCGAAAGTAAGCCTGTTTATCCAGGGTGGACATTACCTCATCCCTACAAGCACAATTGTGATTATATGGATAAAGAGCAGTCAGGGACTTGCATTCCTGGTACTTCTAGCACAAATGTGCAGGGATATGCTCAGGCCCCAGTGCTGGATTGCTTTTCTAAGCCTTCACATCAGCAAGGGGAGTCCCTTCCTATAGCAGCAGCTGGATCCATTTGGAAGTTTTTCCAATACTTGTAGAACCAGTTTTATCACCCTCAAAGACATCAGTCATTATCACCCACCCCAAAGACATCAGCACCAGCAATAACCTGCTAGCCCACTCTCTTCAGGGGTCTGAGTTTCAGCTTCGGATACCCCTTCCTCTTAAGGTTTCTAAGTTTTACTAATTAAAACCTCTTCCCCATATTATGTCAACCCTGTTTGCTTCCTGTAGGAGCCACCTCTATGATTCCTACAGAGTATTCTTTTTAATCTAGCATTTACCTAGTTAACAACTTTATACCTAATTAATCTTTATATTAAATTTTCTCTGTTCAAGTAACTAGATGGATTCTGTCTCTTGACTAGACTTCTGAAAAATAAATAATCCATATACATTTTTTTTTGAAACGGAGTCTCACTCTGTTGCCCAGGCTGGAGTGCAACAGCGTGATCTAGGCTCACTGCAACCTCCACCTCCCAGGTTCAAGTGATTCTCCTGCCTCAGCTTCCCGAGTAGCCAGGATTACAGGCATCTGCCACCACGCCTAGCTAATTTTTATATTTTTAGTAGAGAGAGGGTTTCACCATGCTGGCCAGGCTGGTCTCAAACTCCCAGCCTCAGGTGATCCGCCCGCCTCGGCCTCCCAAAGTGCTGGGATTACAGGCATGAGCCACCGCGCAAGGCCAATAATCCATATTTTATTATCTATTACAAAATATTTGCTTAGTTTCAAAAATAGAAAAAATAAAAAAGTTTAAATCATAAACAGTTCCTCTATCTTGAACCAAATACATTAATGTTTTTATGTATTTCCATCCTTTTTTTCTATACATAACATACAATTAAGTAGCTGGATTTTTATTCCATGTTTGGCTGCTACTGACATAATAACACAAGTAACTTTTCCAGTTTTACAAAATTGTCTAATTTACTATATCCATATCCTCTCCTTTCTATTCACTCCTCAACCTATTCCAACATGGCTTCTGCTGCCATCATTTCACTGAAACAGATCTTATTAAGGATTGACCACACATGTGAGCAAAAGCATTTTGTTATTATTCACGAGTTCTTCCTTAAAATACATGCTTCCTCTGTGTTCAATAATCCTATAATCTCCCTGCTTCCTTTGGTTTATCCTCATCTATCTGGCCTTTGATGTTGTATTTCTTGGGGCTTAATTCTAGGCCCCTTTCTCTTCCTATCCTAAATTGTCTCTCTGGACAATTTCACAATGTGCTTGATTTCAATTATCAGCTACCCAGCAACTGACTCCCAAACTTATATCTCCAGTCAATACTTCTCCATTGAACACCAGACCCATTACATCTCTCTACTACTTATTTTCGCTTAAATATAAAAAAATCCTCAAACTCAAAATACCTAAAATTAACTCATGATCTTCCCCCTCTAATCTAGTATTCTTTAAGCATTTGATATTTAATAACTATCGTACCATCAATCTAGCACCAAAAACAGAAACCTGAGAGACAAAATCAATTCCTTCTGTTTTATACCCCCCTCCACGTATCACCCAATCCTTTTAAATTTATCTCCAAAATACCCTGAAATCATTTATATCTCTCATCTCTACAACACCATCTTAGTCCAAGGTGCCATTATTTCTTGGCAAAATACTGTGATGACTAGCTGACTGAATGGATACACACACACACACACACACACACACACACACACACACACACACACACAGCTGTAACCAACTACTGGTCTATAACTTGCTTTAGTCACTGAATACATCAAGCACATTTTTCCTCGTTAAAATATACAAATTTAGGTTTATAGTTTAATTTTATCCTATGGTAACAGATATATCAATTTATTCAGTCACTCTCCTATGGATGAATATTCAGGTCTTTTTCAAATATTTTCTACTACAAACGGTACTGCAATTAAACATCCTTTTGAGTATACCCTTGTGTATCTACTCTGTTACTTTTAGATAATAGATTCCTAGAAGTGGGTCGCTGGGTCAGAGTATTTTAAATTTTAAATATTTACTTCACACAGCCGAATTATTTTCTGAAAAGACAGTATCAATTTATATTCTAACAATTTATCACACATTTGTTAAAATGCAAAGTATACATTTAATTACATATTATACATACAACATAGGTACATTTTATTGCATATAAATTAACCTCAGTAAGGTCTTGAAAGTCTCTACCAGGCAAAGAATGTGGAAGGGTGAGAGACTATTACAGACAGAAAATCGTGATATAGCTCTATAAACACAGGGAGATAAAACAATGTGGTCTAAATAAATAGTTTCACAATACTGTGGTTTAATATAAGTGTCAAGTCTGGAGAATCTTAGGAAATAGTAAATAGATCCCTCAGATAATCTCTTTTACAGCTTTTGACCTCTTTAGAAAGTACTCCCTCTACTTTCTATGGAAACTGTCATTCTATCTGTCTGACAAACAAGAAACTCCATTCCATCTATTACCTTAAAGCTGCTGCAAATGCCATATAATCACATTTCCAAGCCTCCTCTGCAACTAAGGTAGTAAGCAACACGGCCTTTCTTGTTACTCAGGTAGTATGCAAATTAGGTTAGGTAAGGGGAAGTTAGAGACAGGAGATGGTGGGGAATCCATTTAGCAATTCAGCTAATAGGTAGTGGCAAGTTCATCTCATTTCCAAAAATTTTTAAGGACAGTATTCAGTATCAGTGGGACCATCAGTGCAAACTGCAAAGTGTGTGCAGTAATGACTACAATGAATCAGTATTGCGATGGCATTCCTGGCTACACAGAATTTAGAAAAAAAGGAGAAGTACAACTGTCATTATTTGCAGACAATATGACTGTGTATCTCAGAAATCAAAAGGAATCTAGCAAAAAAACTATATAAGTGAATATGAACAAGGTATTTTTCTTGCTTTCTTGCAATGCTAAGATTTTCATTACAATGCTAAATGTAAATAGTGAAAATGGAACACCTTCCTTTATTCCAGATCCTTGGGTAAAAACATTTTAATATTTTATAATTAACATATAGTTTGCTGTAGAGTTTTCGTAGGTGTCCCTTATCAGAATGAAAAATAATAATTACCTTTTAGTACAGGTTGAGTAGCTCTTATGTGAAATGCTTAGAACCAGAAATGTTTCCAATTTTCGATTTTTTTAAATTTTGAATTATTTGCATTACACCAGTTTAGTATCTCTAATCTGAAATCCTAAACACTACAATGAGCATTTCCCTTGCACTCCATGTTGGTGTTCAAAAAGTTTAGGATTTTGGAGCATTTCAGGTTTTTGGATTGGGAATTATCACGCTGTACTAGTTTACTGAGTGATTTTAATCATGAATGGGTGTTGCATCTTATCAAATGCTTTTACTAAATTTATTGCAATAATTATATGATTTTTCTCCTTTATTGTTAATTAATATGATTAATTACATTAACTGCTTTTTCAAATCTTTAACTTTGCTTTCCTACAATAAAAGAAATTTTTCTTGATATATTATCTTTTATATTATATAAAAAGAATATAAAAGATCTTTTATATATCTTTTATCTTTTATATTCTTATATATAATATATATATCTTTTATATTATTGCTAGCTATGCTTTACAAGTATTAATAGTTTGTTCAGGATTCTTGCTAATGTATTTAAAAAGTATACTGGTCTGTAGTTTTCTCTTGCTATATTGCCTTTCAGGCTATGATGTTAGTGCTATGCTGGCCTCTGAAGTAGAGCTGCAAAATGTTCCCTGTTCCTCTGGGGAAGAATGATATTTCTTTCTTATTTGATATAATTCACCAATAAAGCCATTTAACTTGGAGTTAATTTTGTGAAATAGCT